>NC_000007.14:67961324-68264354 GCF_000001405.40 Homo sapiens
AATTGCCTTTATTAATATTGCTAATAAATTGGCCTAGCAGGTGTCACATACAATCACTCAGAAGGCTCCTTATTATATGATAAGGGACTTGAGATTTGCAGTGCTTTTACTGGATAATTTTCCCAGATTTGTGATTCCAGAATGACTATAAACATTATTTGCCCCTTATGCATTGTTTAAAAAACTGGTTCTACCCACATGATTTATGGGCAAACTTCCTTTTTCATCTTGTATACCATATTTCCTGCCTTATGCTTGGCGTTCATTAAACAGATGCTCTGTTCTACGTAAAGGGTAAAATGAACTAGGCTTAAAAGCAGGCCGGGCGCTGTGGCTCACGCCTGTAAGCCCAGAACTTTGGGAAGCTGAGGTGGGCAGATCACCTGAGGTCAGGAGTTCAAGACCAGCCTGACAAACATGGAGAAACCTTGCCTCTACTAAAAATAATAATAATAAAAAAATTAGCTGGGCATGGTGGTGCATGCCTGTAATCCCAGCTACCTGGGAGGCTGAGGCAAGAGAATCACTTGAACCCGGGAGACAGAGGTTGCAGTGAGCCAAGATCGCTCTATTGCACTCCAGTCTGGGCAACAAGGGCGAAACTCCATCTCAAAAAAAAAAAAAAAAAGCCATTTTAAAAGGGCTTATTATGTTTTGATGTGTTGTTTTGAATCCATGGACACTTGGGCGCTGAGTTTGTATGTGGAAAAACAAATCAGGGACTGCTGCGGAAAAAAATGGTACACTGAACACATATGTGTAATTTTGCTCTATTTTGAAACTCCTTAATCCACAATTTATAGGCTGAATTGTATTTATCCCATAATCCATATGTTGAAGACTTAACTCCCAGTGCCTCAGAATGTAACCATATTTGGAGATGTTTTTAAGGAGTTAAAGTGGGCAGGGCATGGTGTTGCATGCCTGTGATCCCAGCACTTTGGAAGGGCGAGGTGGGCAGATCACTCAAAGCCAGGAGTTCAAGACCAGCCTGACCAACAGGGTAAAACCTTGTCTCTACTAAAAATACAAAAATTAACTGGGCATGGTGGCGCACACCTGTAATTCCATTTCCTCAGGAGGCTGAGGCATGAGAATCGCTTAAACCGGGGAGGTGGAGGTTGCAGTGAGCCAAGAACATGCCCCTGCACTACAGCCTGGGTGACAGAGAGACACCCTATGTCAAAAGAATAAAAAGTTAAAAAATAAATAAAAAATAAAGAGAGTTAAAATGATTAAGTTAAGATGAGGCTGTTAGGGTGGGTCTTCATACAATCTGACTGGAGTCCTTGTAAGAAGAGGAAATTTGGGCTCACAAAGGGATACTGGGGATGTGTGAGAACAGAAGAAAGATTATGTGAAGACATAGAGTGAACATAGCCATCTGCAAAGCCAAGAAGAGAGGCCCTAGAATCAAATCAACCCTGCCAGTACCTTAACATTGAACTTGCAGTCTCCAGAACTGTGAGATAATTAATTGATAATATTTAAGCCACCCAGTTCATGGTATTTTGTTAGGGCAGCAGCCATAGGATATTAATACACAAAAAGGAATTTTTTAAAGGCCCTGTTCTGATTATCTCTTGCAGTGCAACAAACTACCCCCAAATAGAGATAGAGATTTTATTTCCATGGGCGCTCCTTCACATGGCTGAGGTCTTCTGGGAGTTCAGCTTTGGTCTTTTGGTAAGGGGTCTTTATCTATCCCCAAATGGGCCTCCTCATGCCTGCTTGGGCTTCCTCACAGTATGGATTTCAAGAATCAGTGTCCCAGGGGAGAGGAGGCAGCACTGTAAGCTGCCTTAAGTCTCTTAAGGCATGGTTGTAGAAAATGGTCAATTGTCCTTTCTGCTGTATTCTATTGGATGAGCAAATACTAAGGCCAGTTCAGATTAGAAGGGGATTAGACTCCACCTCAAAATTGGAGGAATAGCAAAGAATTTGTGGGCAGCTTTGCTATTATTATAGGTAAATTTCAACATTTTCTGGTTGACAATTGGTTGAGTTTGTCTAAAGACCTGGGATTAATAGGAAAAAAATGTTCACTCGGGAGGCTGAGGCAGAAGAATTGCTTGAACCAGGGAGGCAGAGGTTGCAGCGAGCTGAGATCCCATTGCACTCCAGCCCAGGATGAAAACAGTAAGACTTCGTCTCAACAAACAAACAAACAAACAAACAAAAAACAACCTGTGCACTCTGCTGTGGACCAGAAGCCCCACTCAGTTGCCCTCCTTCAGGAGAGAGAGCTATTCTCATTTCTCTTTATTTTGCCTATTAAACCTCCACTCCTAACCCACTTCTTGTGTGTCTGAGTGCTCAATTCCCTTAGGGTGAGACAACGAACCTCAGGTATTTACCCCAGACAACGACACTGCTTCACTTCCACTGGTCTTGACCACTCTACAGCTCCTCACTTTTTAGCTTCCCTTGTTCAGTCTTCACTAAGGGAGGAGCATGATTCATCAGGTGGATTAGTTTGAAAGCAGAATTTGGGCATGATTGGCTGAATCTTGTCTTCTCTCTTTCTTTGACTCCTCAACACTTGGAGGGACTTTGCCACTTGGCCGTTTCTTCTATCTGGGTGGGTAGGGGAGTGGGGGATGGAAACAGAGGACTGCTTGCCCAGCTGTATTGTTTTTTGTTTGTTTGTTTGTTTGTTTGTTTGAGATGGAATCTTGCTCTGTCGCCCAGGCTGGAGTGCAGTGGCATGATCTCTGCTCACTGCAATCTCTGCCTCCCGGGTTCAAGCGATTCTCCTGCCTCAGCTTCCCAAGTAGCTGAGATTACAGGTGCCTGCCACCACACCCAGCTAATTTTTGTATTTTTAGTAGAGACAGGGTTTCACCATGTTGGCCAGGCTGATCTCGAACTCCTGACCTCAGGTGATCCTCCCGCCTTGGACTCCCAAAATGCTGAGATTGCAGGTGTGAACCACCGTGCCTGGCCACATGTCCAGCTGTGTTTATAATTAGATGGGTAAGTCTCTCTGGCTCAGGGGCAAAGTATTAGCAAGGCCATTTGGCTTCAGATCTAAAACCAGTTTATCCCAACAGTTTTATCAGTAATAAAGAATAATATCCTGATCTCCAGCTGCCTAATTTTTGGGTTTTACTCTTAATTCGTTCCAGAATCTAGCTGCAGAAATAAGTAGATATTGTTTATGGGCTTCCTAAAACCCAATATCTTCATCTGTAGGGCTAAGAAATTTGTGAAATACGCAGGAGTCAAACTGGGGACCAAAATAACATGTGAGAAGTAGACTATCATAACTTGACAAGTGTTGAAGGCTTTACACCTTAGTCTTGAGCAAACACAGATAATAGGAGGGGAATTGACTTAAGCAGCTCACTGCAGGCTGTGTCTAGAGGAAAGTAAAATGTTATATAGGCAGGATGAACCTTAAGAAACACAGATTCAGCTGGGCCTGGTGGCTCATGCCTGTAATCCCAGTGCTTTGGGGAGCCAAAGTGTAAGGGTTGCTTGAACCCAGGAGTTTGAGACCAGCTCAGGCAACAAAAAGTATTAGCCCTGTAATCCCAGCACTTTGGGAGGCTGAGGCGGGTGGATCACAAGGTCAGGCATTTGAGACCAGCCTGGCCAACATAGTGAAACACCATCTCTACTAAAAATACAAAAAAATGAGCTGGGCATGGTGGTGGGTGCCTGTAATCCCAGCTACTCAGGAGGCTGAGGCAGGAGAATGGCTTAAACCTGGGAGGCGGAGGTTGCAGTGAGCCGAGATAGTGCCACCGCACTCAGCCTGGGCAACAGTGTGAGACTCCATCTCAAAAATAAATAAATAAATAAAAATAAAAATAAAAAAACAAACAAAATTATTAGCAATGCCATTTGGCTTCAGATCTAAAGCCAGTTTATCCCAACAGCTTTATCAGTCATAAAGATAAAGGGTACAAAAGATAAAGTAAAAAAGATAAAGGGTTTTTATTTATAAATCTTTACAAAAAATAAAAAAATTAGATAGGCTTGGTGGTGCACAACTGTGGTCTCAGGTACTCAGGAGGCTAAGGTGGGAGGATCACTTGAGCACCAGAGTTAGAGGCTGCAGTGAACTATGACCGTGCCACTGCACTCTAGCCTGGGCAGCAGAGCAAGACCTTGTCTCAAAAAAAAAAAAAGGAAAAAAAAATACCAGACTCCTTGGACCTTAACAAATCTGGTCCATGTAGACATTGTGTACATGTTGGTGTAGCCTGACTTTGACTCACCATGGACAAGGGACAAGGTTGAGGCGAGGATTAAATGATTTTGGAAGTTAGTCAGTTAAAAAGATCTGATGGCTCTTATCTTTCTCAGACGAGACTTTCAACTGCTGATTAACTTGTGAACAAGTGGGTTTCATTCTAGCACAAACAGAGAGTACTATCTCACCTATACCAAATTCCATTCTCTTCTAGGTATTTTGAATGGCGTTTAGGGTTGTGAGTGGATGTGATTACAAAGGGGCAGTATGATGGAGTTTTTGGGGGGTGATGGGATTGTTCTACGTTTTGCATGTGGTGACAGTTACACAAATCCACATATTTAAAAAATTGATAGAAATATATAAGTTTTTCCATAAAAATCTCATTTTTACTATATGTTAATTTTAAAACACATGCAAAGATATCCAGGAAGGAAAGCAAGTACAGGAGCATTTGACTTCCATAGGTAAAGTGGGAGTAGACACTAGAAATAAGCCTGCTGTGGTCCGAACTTTAGTGTCCCCTAAAGTTTATATGCTGGAAGCTAATACCTAATCTGATAGTCAAGAGGTGGGGCCTATGGGAATGTGATACTATCATGAGGACTCTACCCTCATAAATGGGATTGGTGTCTTTATAAAAGAGGTTGAAGGAAGCTGCCTTCCCCCATTTCACCCAGGTAAGGAGATAGCAAGAAAGTAACACATTGAAGCAGACAGTGAACCCTCAACAATGAATCTGCCGGCACCTTGATCTTGGACTTTCCAGCCCCCAAAACCGTGAGCAATAAATTCCTGTTGTTTATATATTACCCGGTCTAAGGTATTTTGTCACAGCAGCCCAAACAAACACAAGAGCAGTGCAGTATTCAGAAAAGTCTGACTTGCAAAAATCTTTTAGCCAGTAGGTAACTGAATGGAAAACCAATTAAAAGATTCAACTTCTATTAGCCAAAAATCAGAAACCAAGGCGTACTCCTCTAAATTTGTTGAACAGGAGCTTGACTTAAGTCACCGCAATAGAGTTACAATAAAATCTCTTCCTAATTTTTCATGCAGGGGTCAGTTCCGAGAGGTGGAATTTCATGAAACAGGGGCAAACACTTTTGAAGCCCTTGGAATAATTTAGCAAGTAAACACTGTGAATCTGTATTCTAGCTTTTTGCCAAAAAATAAAAAACACTGTTACTAGGGCAATTGTGACCTGAGGAAATGGGCACATTCTCATTTTAGGGGATCACTGGACACTTTCTGAAAACTCAGAATACCATTTTACTTGACTAGAGTCATATCAGAAATGGAGATTTTTACCCGAATTGACTTTATATTAGGAGAGGATGGAATCCCAAACTTCTTCCATGGTTAATCTCTCCATTTCTGAATATGTAGTTAAAATAGATATTTCAGCAGTCATCAGAATTTTTTATTGTCTCCTGAATCTTTGAGGAAAAGACGACTCTAGTAGGAAGGGTCCAAGTAGATAGAAGTCCCCAAATCTCACCCTCTATGCTAAAAGAGTTTAAAAACAAAAACATTGCTGTGGGTATAACAGCATTTGGTGTCATTAGCAAAAGCCCGTAAAATGCAAAGGAGATAATTCCTTTATGTATCTATTAAAATTTTCAATCTGTGTGGGTTTTGGGGGCATGTAGCAGTCTTGTTGAGGGCTCCGAGAGAATGTAAATAGAACATCATAAGTGTAATATGGTATAACTCCAATGAAAACTGCTACTTTAGACTTTAGATGTGGTTTTTTTTTTTCGCAACAGAGTCTCATTCTGTTGTCCAGGTTGGAGTACAGCGGCATAATCTCGACTCACTGCAACCTCTGCCTCCCGGGTTCAAGTGATTCTCCTGTGTCAGCCTCCCAGGTAGATGGGATTACAGGCATGCACCATCACACCCAGCTAATTTTTATACTTTTAGTAGAGATGGAATTTCACCGTGTTGGCCAGGCTGGTCTCCATCTTCTGGCCTCAAGTGATCTGCCCTCCTCAGCCTCCAAAGGGCTGGGATTACAGGCGTGACCCGCCATGCCCCCAGCCCCTAGGTGTGGCTTCTTTACTCGGATAAATTAATATAGCTTCTGGAAACATCTGCATATATTTATCTGATTTTTTTTCTAAAATAAGCACAGAATTTGCATTTATTTGGTAGTAACAGCAGTACAGTTTCACCATGCTAACCTCAACATATGTCATCATTTCATTGTGTCTCATGGTTTTAGATACTATCTATATGCTAACCATCCCAAATCTAGTATAGCATTCCTCCCCCGAAAAAAGTCTAGACTGATACAACCAACTGTGCACTCAGTATCTGTACTTAGATATCTTATGAGAATCTGAAACTTATTTTATTTTATTTTATTCTATTATTTATTTATTTATTTTTTGAGATGGAGTCTCACTCTGTCACCCAGGCTGGAGTGCAGTGGCACGATCTCAGCTCATTGCAACCTCCACCTCCCAGGTTCAAGTGATTCTCCTGCCTCAACCTCCTGAGTAGCTGGGATCACAGGCGCCCACCACCACGCCCAGCTAATTTTTGTATTTTCAGTGGAGATGGGGTTTCACTATGTTGGTCAGGCTGGTCTCGAACTCCTAACCTTGTGATCCACCCACCTTGGCCTCCCAAAGTACTGGGATTACAGGTGTGAGCCACTGCACCTGGTCAAGAATCGGAAATTGAATATATGCAAAAGTAAGATTTTCATCTTTTCTCCATCCTTCCCTCAGTTAATGGCAATTTCATTTCTCTAAATGTGCAAGACCAATAAAGAATAAAAATAAAACAAACAAAAACTTCCCCAAACCAAACCATCTGTTCTGTTATATTGACGAATAGGGATGGAGAATGAAAAAGAGCACAGACACTAGCTATTTTAAGGTAAGGACACCACACCCAGCAATTTTTGTATTTTTTGTAGAGATGGGGTTTTGCCATGTTGGCCAGGCTGGTCTTGAACTTCTGAGCTCAACCAATCCGCCTGCCTCTGCCTCTCAAAGTGCTGGGACCCCAGCCTGCAAAGTAGGATTCTGCATTGGGGCACAAAGTAGTGCTTTTCAAACTTTAATGTGTTTAAGAACCATGGTTGGATATGGCTAAATGATGCAGCTTTTGATTCAGTAGATTTGAGGTGTGATCTGGATTCCTGCATTCCTGATAAGCTCCCAAGCTGATGTCACTGGTCCACTGCTATGTTGTGAATGTCCCCTCCAAAGCTTATGTTGAAATTGAACCCCCAATTTCAGTTTGAATCCCAGTGAGAGGTGAAGCCAGCTGGACTTCCTGGGTTGAGTGGGGACTTGGAGAACTTTTCCCTCTAGCTAGAGGATTGTAAATGCACCAATCAGCACTCTGTGTCTAGCTAAAGGATTGTAAATACACCACTCGGCACTGTGTAAAAACGCACGAATCAGCGCTCTGTGTCTAGCTAAAGGATTGTAAACACACCAATCAGCACTCTGTAAAAATGCACCAGTCAGTGCTCTGTGTCTAGCTAAAGGTTTGTAAATGCACCAATCAGCACCCTGTAAAATGGACCAATCAGCACTCTGTGAAATGGACCAATCAGCATGACGTGGGCAGAGGCAAATAAGGGAATAAAAGCTGGCCACCGCAGTCAGCAGTGGCAACCCGGTCTCCTCCGCTTCCACAGTGTGGAAGCTTTGTTCTTTAGCTCTTCATAATAAATATTGCTGCTGCTCACTCTTCGGGTCCACGCTATCTTTATGAGCTCTAACACTCACTGTGAGGGTCTGCAGCTTCATTCCTGAAGTCAGCGAGACCACAAATCCACCAGGAGAAACAAACAACTCCAGACGCGCCACCTTTAAGAGGTGTAACACTCACTACGAAGGTCTGCGGCTTCACTCCTGAAGTCAGCGAGACCACGTATCCACCAGAAGGAAGAAACTCTGGACACATCTGAAGGAACAAAACTCCGGACACACCATCTTTAAGAGCTGTAACACTCACTGTGAGGGGCCGTGGCTTCATTCTTGAAGTCGGCGAGACCAAGAACCCACTGGAAGGAATAAATTCTAGGCCCACCAGCACCACTCCATAAACATGGGGGTGTGAACTTGGCAAGTTATTTAAAGTCACTGAGCCTCGGTTTCCTCATCTGTAAAATGGTTAGGATCATAGCAAATTCCCCACAGAGCTTTTGTGATGCTCAAATGAGTTAATATGTGTAAAGCAATTAGAACTGTGTCTGGCACATAAACAGTACATGACAAATCATTATGTCTTGGTTAAGACATGCAACGCATAAAGTGTAAGAGAAATCTTAGGGAAAATACTGGAGTTTGACACCTGCATGAAACTTCAGGTTGTGTATGTTAAGCCAATTCCTGCTGAGAGACAATGATAATGCTATGGGCTATACCACATTTTAATGTGCTTCTCTTACACTTTTAAATGAAAGAATTGCAAAGTTTAAATGAAATCCAAAATAAGAGAATGCTTTCTTGTCTGAAACACAAACAGCTCTGCCTCTGTTACCTTATAACCTGGCAGCTCCTTTTGTAGCCTGTGGCAATTGGAAAAGAGAATCCAGAGGAGGCTTGTAGGAATGATGAGATAAGCTATACTTCTTACATTAGTTAACATTTTAAAAATAGTTCTTGGCTGGGTGAGGTGGCTGACGCCTGTAATCCCAGCACTTTGGGAGGCCAAGGTGGGCAGATCACTTGAAGTCAGGAGTTTGAGACCAGCCTGGCCAAAATGGTGAGACCCCATCTCTACTAAAAATACAAAAAATTAGCAGGGCTTGGTGTTGTGCGCCTGTAATCCCCGCTACTCGGGAGGCTGAGGTGGGAGAATTGCATGAACCTGGAGGCAGAGTTTGCAGTGAGTTGAGAGAGCGCCACTGTACTCCAGCCTGGGCAACAGAGCAAGACTCCATCTCAAAACAAAACAAACAAACAAACAGAAAGCGAAAGTAGTTCTTAACTTGTTCATGGTTCTTGGCTGGACACCGAATAGTTGCCCATGAGGCTTCAAGTAATCATATGACCTAAGCTGCCCATTATGAACTGGGTATTAGCTAATCCACTAAGCCGTAAGTCAGACATGCTCAGCAGAACTATGACAAGACTTCCAAGATGCATCCCTATCCCATTTCTTCTTTCTGAGCATGAAAAACATTATATTTGACAGCAATTTTTATAGTTAGGTTGCAGCCATTGGAATGCATTAGATTAATTGGTGCAATAACACAGTGTTCCATGTTTGTGTTTCTTTTGTCTGTAAGGCTAGAAATAAAGGCTGTCAACATAGTTGTGCCATAGAATCATTGTTTGGAAGACAGATATCCAATCCACATTAGACTGGAATAGGAGTGAGAAATGCATATTGTGTTAATAAACTGAGATTTGAGATATTTGTAACAGCAGCTAGTATCAATTACCTTGACTAATAATGTGCACGCATTATCTAGCGGTATTTATGGAACCAAGCCTAAGCAGGTCCTAAAGGCACAAGTAAATTACATGAGCAAGTGGTTCACGCTCCCAGGACACCTACTCCTGCCCCATTCTCAGCTCCTTCCTCACACGTCTGGCTTCCTGGGGCATTACTTATGTGAGCACTAGATAGCTTTCTTTTTTTCTTTTCTTTTCTTTTATTTATTTATTTTATTTTATTTTTTTGAGATGGAGTTTTCCTGTTGTTGCCCAGGCTGGAGTTCAATGGCGCGATCTCAGCCTACCGCAACCTCCGCCTCCCGGGTTCAAGCGATTCTCCTGCCTCAGCCTCCCGAGTAGCTGGGATTTCAGGCATGCACCACCACGCCCAGCTAATTTTGTATTTTTAGTGGAGACGGGGTTTCTGCATGTTGGTCAGGCTGGTCTCGAATTCCCGACCTGAGGTGATCCACCCACCTTGGCCTCCCAAAGTGTTGGGATTACAGGCGTGAGCCACCATGCCCGGCCTAGATAGGTTTCTAATAAGTTCCTTTTCTGCTTAAATTAGTCTGAGTCCATGGGTGGATGCAGTGGCTCACGCCTGTAATCCCATCACTTTAGGAGGCTGAGGCGGGTGGATCACGAGATCAGAAGTTTGAGACCAGCTTGACCAACACAGTGAAACCCTGTCTCTACCAAGAATACAAAAATTAGCAGGGCGTGGTGATAGGCACCTGTAATCCCAGCTACTCAAGAGGCTGAGGCAGGAAAATCTCTTGAACCCAGGAGGTGGAGGTTGCAATGAACTGAGATTGTGCCATTGCAATCCAGCCTGGGTGACAGAGTGAGACTCTGTCTCAAAAAAAAAAAAAAAAATTTAGCTTGAGTCCATTTCTGTTACTTGCAACCAGGATACACTCTTCTTCCTCAAATATTAGATGGAGACAGGAGGTTCCACAAAACACAGACCACAACCAAGAAATCTAAAGTCTACCTAGGAAATCAGTTGGTCCCCTGGCAATTCTGTAAGCAGGAATCACAAAGAATTCGATATATGTGGCCACGCATGGTGGCTCACACCTGTAATCCCAGCACTTTGGGAGGCTGAGGTGAGTAGATCACTTGTGTTCAGGAGTTCAAGACCAGCCTGGCCAAAATGGCAAAACCCAGTTTCTGCTAAACATATAAAAATCAGCAGGGTGTGGTGGCACACACCTGTAATCCCAGCTGCTTGGCAGGCTGAGGCATGAGAATCGCTTCAACCTGGGAGGTGGAGGTTTCAGTGAGCCGAAATTGTGCCACTGCACTCCAGCCTGGGCGACAGAGCAAGTTTCTGTCTGGAATACTATGCAGTCATAAAAAGGAATGAGACCATGTCCTTTGCAGGGACATGGATGGAGCTGGAAGCCGTTATCCTCAGCAAACTAACACAAGCACAAAAAACCAAACACCGCATGTTCTCACTTATAAGTGGGAGCTGAACAATGAGAACACATGGACACAGGGAGGGGATCAACACACTCTGGGGCCTGTTGGGGTTGTGGGGGTTGGGGGAGGGAAATCACTAGGAAAAATAGCTAATGCGTGCTGGGCTTATTACCTAGGTGACGGGTTGATCTGTGCAGAAAACGACCATGGCACACGTTTACCTTTAACAAACCTGCACATCCTTCACATGTACCCTGGAACTTAAAAATAAAAATTAAAACCCAGGCATAGTGGCTCATGTCTGTAATCCCAGCACTTTGGGAGGCCGAGGCGGGCAGATCACGAGGTCAGGAGTTTGAGACCAGCCTGGCCAACATAGTGAAACCCCATCTCTACTAAAAATACAAAAATTAGCCGGGCATGGTGGCACGGACCTATAGTCCCAGCTTACTCGGGAGGCTGAAGCAGGAGAATCACTTGAACCGGGAGGTTGTGGTGAGCTGAGATTGCACCACCGCACTTCAGCCTGGGCAACAGAGTGAGACTCTGTCTCAAAAAAAAATAATAATAATAATAAAATTAAGTTAAAATTTAAATTTAAAAATTGAATAAAAAATTCAATATATGTGTGCTACTAAGGGGGCTATACTTGGAGAATAAACACAGATTTAATATGTTCTAAATGGGTTCCATCTAGTTTAGTTCTCTCACGGTAGAGGGGAAACAGGCACAAACATCATTAACCCACTACTCAAGGTACATGGCTGAAAGAATGGCAAAGCTAAGACAAAAGACTGATTATCTTGAGTCTCGTTGCCATAAGATTTTAAGTGTATGTGGTACCTAGGGAAGGTGTTGGCTCATGGAGGGCAACTTTTCTTCCAACCACTGAATGCGGACTGTGTCCTGCAAGACAAAATAATAGGGTGCTTCTGTTGCCAGTGGGCCAGTTCAGGTTCTAGACTTTTGCCAAAGAATTTGAGAGGAAGTCCAAAGTAAAAGTAAGCAGGAGAGTTTATTGCAAAGAAAAAGTATACTCTGAAGGCTAATCAGAGCGGGATGCTCAAACATGAGACAGCCCTGTTTGATCCTGGGAGATCTCCCCTTTATGGGAGATTTACATGATGATTCACGGAGCAGTAGAAAGGGGTGTTGCCCTTAAGTATGTTATAGGTGGTTTT
Organism: Homo sapiens; assembly: GCF_000001405.40. NCBI lineage: Eukaryota > Metazoa > Chordata > Mammalia > Primates > Hominidae > Homo > Homo sapiens. The sequence continues at coordinate 67,973,546 of NC_000007.14, forward strand.
CTTTTTTTTTTCCTTTTGAGATGGAGTTTCACTGTGTCGCCCAGGCTGGAGTGCAGTGGTACGATCTCGGTTCACTGTAGCCCCCACCTCCTGGGTTCAAGCTATTCTTGTGCCTGAGCCTCCCAAGTAGCTGGGATTACAGGCACCCACCACCACACCCAGCTAATTTTTGTGATTTTAGTGGGGATGGGGTTTCACCATGTTGGCCAGGCTGGTCTCAAACTCCTGACCTCAGGTGATCTGCCTGCCTTGGCCTCCCAAAGTCCTGGGATTACAGGCATGAACCACCACACCTGGCCTATAAGTGGTTTCTTTCTTTCTTTTCTTTTTTTCATTTTTTGAGACAGGGTTTTGCTCTTGTTGCCCAGGCTGGAGTGCAGTGGCTCGATCTTGGATCACTGTAAGCTCCGCCTCCCGGGTTCAAGTGATCCTCCTGTTTCAGCCTCCCGAGTAGCTGGGATTACAGGTGCATGCTACTACACCTAGCTAATTTTTTGTATTTTAAATAGAGATGGGGTTTCATGATATTGGTCAGGCTGGTCTCAAACTCCTGACCTCAGGTGATCCGCCTGCCTCAGTCTCCCGAAGAGCTGGGTACAGGCGTGAGCCACCAAGCCAGCATGTGCAGTGGCTGTATATGCTACTACATACATTGTATGTCTCATTAGCATTTAAAATCTCCACCCAGGAGTGTGTTTTTTACTATTACAATAAGCATAGGTCAGCCCAAGGACACTAATCATGGGTTTCTGTGTTTGCACAAATTTGAGGACTTTGCCTTCTGTTCTCCTACTTTGCTACAGGATGTTCTAACCACAAGCTCAGAATGCAGTCTGTGCAATGTTGGGTTGTTTGTGCTTTCCATCAATTTGACAAGTTTTTAAATTTTTATTTCCCATTGAGGGAGGCTATGATCACCCTACCTAACCTATCTCACTTCCAAGAGGCACCTTTTGAAATAGCAAGGCTGAAATTGTGAGGAATGAGAGTGATTGCATAAACTCTTCAGAGGCAATAATATTTTTAATCGAGTCATAATACTTGAATGTTATCACTTATATTTGAGAGTGTGCCTGCAAGGAAAGCTTATAATGTTGAAAACTCCACGGATGGACCTCTCCCAAAAAGTAACTCATGTGGCTACGTGAAAACTAAAGTATGCCCAGCATGACTAAAAGTAAGTGCCTCCTAACTAGCAGGGTGTCAGTTGATGACTTCTTGTTTGTTTGTTTGTTTGTTTTGAGATGGAGTCTTGCTCTGTCACCCAGGCTGGAGTGCAGTGGCAGATCTTGGCTCACTGCAACCTCCTCCTCCTGGGTTCAAGCGATTCTCCTGCCTCAGCCTCCCAAGCAGCTGGGATTACAGGTGTGCACCACCACGCCCGGCTAATTTTTGTATTTTTAGTAGAGACGGGTTTTCACCATGTTGGCCAGGCTGGTCTTGAACTCCTAACCTCAGGTGATCCACCTGCCTCAGCCTCTCAAAGTGCTGAGACTACAGGCCTGAGCCACCGTGCCCTGCCCCAGATGATTCTAATATGCAATCGAGTTTGCAAATCACTGCTGTAGGGTCACTTTATTATACATAGAGAATAATTATTTAAAAGGAGAAGAGCCTTTGGATATCTCTAGGTTTTAGAGAATCTGTACCATTCTTTTATAACAGTTGAGTTAATGAGAGCTAGTTCAATGAGGTAATGGTTGACAAATTAATTATCACAAAGCTGGTGAGTAAATTGACCTTCATGGTAAATATAGTTTTCAACTCTGAGAGAACAAACACTTATGGCAACAAATGGAGTTTCCTGTAAGCAATATTCACAGCCTAATAAAGGTTATAAGTCAAAAGTCTTCAGAAACATTTCTTCAACATTTGTTTTACTATAACAAACTCTGATATTTTTAGCCAACAGATTTAAATATTTCTTTATGGTGGCAAGAGAGGGAATAAGTAGAGATGTAAGTAAGATTTTCTGGCGAATGTTATATAAATATGCACAAAACTGGCCGGGCATCGTGGCTCGCCCCTGTAATCCCAGCCCTTTTGGAGGCCAAGGCAGGAGAATTGCTTGAGGCCAGGAGTTCGAGACCAGCCTGGCAAACATGCAAAACACCATCTCTGCTAAAAATATAAAAATTAGCCAGGCGTGGTGGTGCACAGCTGTAATCCCAGCTACTTGGGAGGCTGAGGCATGAGAATCACTTGAACCCAGGAGGCAGAGGTTGCAGTGAGCCAAGATCGCGCAACTGCACTCTAGCCTGGGCAACAGAGTGAGACTCTATGTCAAAAAAATAAAAATGAATTAAAAAAATGCACAAAACCTCCAGTGTGTCTACACAACCATTATTAACTCAATGCTATATTAACAGCATTGATTTTTCAAAAGTGCTCCTATCCAAAGCTTCTGAAGTTTCAGTTAAAATGTTTGCCAAACGGCTGAGCGCGGTGGCTCACGCCTGTAATCCTAGCACTTTGGGAGGCCAAGGCGAGCAGATCACCTGAAGTCGGTAGTTTGAGACCAGCCTGACCAACATGGAGAAACCCCGCCTCTACTAAAAATACAAAATTAGCTGGGCATGGTGTCTCACACCTGTAATCCCAGCTACTTGGGAGACTGAATCAGGAGAATCGCTTGAACCTGGGAGGCGGAGGTTGTGGTGAGCCAAGATCGCACCTTTGCACTCCACCCTGGGTAACAAGAGCAAAACTCCGTCTCAAAAAAAAAAAAAAAAAAGTTTGCCAAACAAATCTCATGGCTTCTGACTTTAAGTTCAATTTTAATTAAGGCCGAATCCAAAGTAATTAGAAATCACACAAATTTATTTTTTTTCTCCTGATCTTTGCTTTTTCTCGTACCACCCCATGATCACCCCGCACATAGGTGGAATTCAGGACTTCACTTAACAGCCATTTCTTTACTTTACTGTGTTGCTTCTCCTGAATTGGGTACATTTGCTTATCAGGTCCAGCTAGCTACCGGCTAATCAATACCAATTATAGAAGAGCAGAAAGAGGCATCCAAATTTCTCATTCCAATGTTAGCATCACTGACAAATTTTCTGGTATCTTAAGAATTAATAAATTACTGTTGTTTCTCCTGGAAGTCACTCAGGCTGCCAAAGTGAATTAATATTAGGTTGGTGAAAAATTAATTGCAGTTTTTGCCATTACTTCTAATGTCTTTTGCAGCAACCTAATAAGAATTTATGTTTTATTATTATTATTATTATTTTGAGTCAGAGTCTCACTCTGTCACCCAGGCTGGAGTGCAATGGCACGATCTCGGCTCACTGCAACCTCCACCTCCTGGGTTCAAGAGATTCTTCCACCTCAGCTTCCCAAGTAGCTGGGATTACAGGTGCCCAACACGTCCAGCTAATTTTTTGTATTTTTATTTATTTTTTCTTATTATTAATTTTTTAGACGAAGTCTCGCTCTGTTCCCAGGGTAGAGGGCAGTGGCGCGATCTCGACTCACTGCAAGCTCCGCCTCCTGGGTTCAAGTGATTCTCCTGACTCAGCCTCCTGAGTAGCTGGGATTACAGGTGCACACCACCATGCTCAGCTAATTTTAGTATTTTTAGTAGAGATGGGGTTTCACCATGTTGGCCAGGATGGTCTCGATCTCTTGACTTCGTGATCTGCCCGCCCCAGCCTCCCAAAGTGCTGGGATTACAGGCATAAGCCACCTGCCCGGCCAATTTTTTTGTATTTTTAAGAGTAGAGATGGGGTTTCACCATGTTGGTTAGGCTGGTCTTGAACTCCTGACCTCAGGTGATCTACCCACCTCAGCCTCCCAAAGTGCTGGGATTACAGGTGTGAGCCACCACACCCAGCTCCTAATAGAAATTTAAAAACAAAAGCATTCAATGAGGAGAATGCACCATTGTCTTGGGTGAAAAATGAAGACAACTGCTGATAAGCAAGCATCTTTGGGAGGTCATTTTATCTATTCTACCTTGGCTGGAGAACACTGACCTTGGCAAACAAACCAGAGTTTAGATCTTATGAGTTGTGTCTCTTTAGGGTCACTATCTGACCCTCCAGATGGATTTGCACATTGACATAAACTGTTCATTCAGCAAAACTGGTAGGAGTAACTTATAGTTTACAACATGTAAAAGTTGCTGGCTTTGAAGGTTTAAATCTCCCATGAAGAGCACACTGCTTTGCAGCTTCTTTTAAGACCTCTGCAATGTGTCTGGGCACAGTGGCTCACGCCTGTAATCCCAGTACTTTGGAAGGCTGAGGTGGGCGGATCATGAGGTCAGGAGTTCGAGACCAGTCTGGTCAACATAGTGAAACCCTGTCTCTACTAAAAATACAAAAAATTAGCCAGGTGTGGTGGCACATGCCTGTAGTCCCAGCTACTCGGGAGGCTGAAGCAGGAGAATTGAGTGAACCCGGGAGGCAGAGGTTGCGGTGAGCTGAGATGGTGCCACTGCACTCCAGCCTGGGCAGCAGAATGAGAATCAATCTCAAAAAAAAAAAAAAAAAAAAAAAAAAAAAAAGACCTCTGCAATACTGGCCAACTAACAACTGCAGAAGCAAAGCATGTGTCCCATGAAAGGCAAAATACCCTGATTCCTCTGGAATAGGGAGCTCTCTGAAACATGCTCCAGAGAGATGTGGCAGGTGTGGAATACAGTCTAATGTCCCCTCAAAGAAGTTCACAGAACCTATGAATAGGTTAGATTACGTGGCAAAGGTTACGAATGAAATTAAGTTGCTATGCCTGGCGTGGTGGCTCACGCCTGTAATCCCAGCACTTTGGGAGGCCAAGGCAGGTGGATCACGAGGTCAGGAGATCGAGACCATCCTGGCTAACATGGTGAAACCCCGTCTCTACTAAAAAGTACAAAAAATTAGCCGGGCATGGTGGCAGGTGCCTGTAGTCCCAGCTACTCGGGAGGCTGAGGCAGGAGAATCATTTGAACCCAGGAGGCGGAGGTTGCAGTGAGCCAAGACGGAGTGAGACTCTGTCTCAAAAAAAAAAAAAAAAAAAGTGGAAAAAGAAGGCAGAGTAAGAGAACCAAACAGATGGAAAGATGAGTACTTGACCTGATGTTTGCTTTGAAGGTGGAAGAAGGGGGCCACAAACCAAGAAATGCGGGCAGCTTCTCGTAACTGGAAAAAGCCAGGAAACAGATTCCTCCCTACATCACCCAGAAAGGGATGCAGCTCTGCCGACACCTTACTTGTAGCCCAGAGAGACTCATTTTGGACTTCTGATCTCAAGAATGGTAAGAGAATACATTTGCTTTATTTTCAGCCACTAAGTGTGTGACCATTCGTTACAGCAGTGATAATAAGCAAATCAGCAGAAAAGCTGAATTCTTCCCTTTCCTGAGCTTTTCCCAGAGAATTGAAGGGAAAACCATCTCTTTTTTTTCCCAGATTTATTGAGATAAAATGGACTAATAAAAATCATATATATTCCAGATGTCCAGCATGATGTTTTGATATACATATACATTGTGAAATGATGATTGCAATCAAGCTAATTAACATATTCACCTCATATAGTTATTTTTGCGTGTGTGTATGTGTGTAGTGAGATTACTTAAGATCTACTCTCTTTACAAATTTCAAGCATGCAATACATTATTACTAAAGAAAATCATCTTAGGAAATATTTTTGAGTTGGGCACGGTGGCTCACGCCTGTAATCCCAGCACTTTGGGAGGCTGTGGGTGGATCACCTGAGGTCAGGAATTCAAGACCAGCCTGGGCAACATGGTGAAACCTCGTCTCTACTAAAAACAAAAAAATTAACTGGGCGTGGTGGCAGACACCTGTAATCTCAGCTACTTGGGAGGCTGAGGGGAGAGAATTGTTTGAACCTGGGGGGCGAAGGTTGCAGTGAGCAGAGATCGTGCCACTACATTTCTGTGTGGGTGACAGAGTGAGTCTTCATCTCAAAAAAAAAAAAAACACAACTTTTGTGAGTGTGTATGTGTGTATTGAGATTACGTAAGATCTAGTCTGTCTGCGAATTTTAAGTGTGCAATGTATTATTATTAAAGGAAATCCTCTTAAGAGATATTTATGTAGATGTGTGTCATAGAAAACCCTTCTTGAGATGGCTCTGCCTACCTTTCCCATCGCATCTTCTGTCCCCGTCCTGCATCCACCTATTGTCTATTGTTAAGTGTCCTGTGTGTGCTGCGTTTCTGGACCCCTCCATGCTTCTCCTGCTGCTGTTCCTTCTTCCTGGACTGTGCAACCTGCTAAAGGCTTACAGTTGACCACCTAAGGATTGTTTGCTCGCTCTTTCTTTTCTCTCTCTCTTCCTTCCTTCCTTTCTCTCTCTCTCTTTCTTTCTTTTCTTTTTTCTTTCTTTTCTTTTTCTCTTTCTTTCTTTCTTTCTTTCTTTCTTTCTTTCTTTCTTTCTTTCTTTCTTTCTTTCCTTTCTTTCCTTCTCTCTCTCTCTTCTTCCTTCCTTTCCTCCTTTCCCTTCCCTTCCCTTCCTTCCTACCTTATTTTCTTGGATACATGTGCAGAATGTGCAGGTTTGTTACATAGGTAAAAATGTGCTATGGTGGTTTGCTGCACCTATCAACCTGTCATCTAGGTTTTAAGCCCCCCATACATTAGATATTCGTCCTAATGCTGTTGCTCCGCTTTCCCCACACCCCTAGACAGGACCCGGTGTGTGATGTTCCCCTCCCTGTGTCCATGTGTTCTCATTGTTCAACTCTCACTTATGAGTGAGAACATGTGGTGTTTGGTTTTCTGTTCCTGTGTTAGTTTGCTGCGGATGATGGTTTCCAGCTTCATCTGTGTCCCTGCAAAGGACATGAATTCATTCTTTTTATGGCTGCACAGTATTCCATGGTGTATATGTGCCGCACTTCCTTTATTCAGTCTATCATTGATGGGCATTTGGGTTAGTTCTGTCTTTGCTATCGTAAATAGTGCTGCAATAAACATACGTGTGCATGTGTCTTTATAGCAGAATGATTTACAATCCTTCAAGTATGTACCCAGTAACGGGATTGCTGGGTCAAATGGTATTTCTGGTTCTAGATCCTTAATGTATCGCCACACTGTCTTCCACAATGGTTGGACTAATTTACACTCCCACCACCAGTGTAAAAGCGTTCCTATTTCTCCACATCCTCTCCAGCATCTGTAGTTTCCTGATCTTTTAATGATCACCATTCTAACTGGCTAGCCACATGCAGAAAACAGAAACTGGACCACCTAAGCATCTTTCAATTGCTAGCCCCCTCTGATGGTTTGAATAGATTACCCTGTCCTTTCTGCCACCACAGTTCTTAGCACAGCAAACTGTGCTCAAATCACTGCCCAAATCAGAGAGGGCTTTCTGACTCCGTTATGAAAGAGGACTTGTGTATTTATGTCTTGATATCCACCACACTAGTGATTATTAAGTCTGTTACATTATATTGAATACCTATGTTAACCCAGGAAATCTGAGAGAGGTCTCAGTTAATTTAGAAATTTTATTTTGCCAAGGTTGAGGACACACCCGTGACACAGCCTCAGGAGTTCCTGATGACATGTGCCCAAGGTGGTTGGGCACAGCTTGATTTTGTGCATTTTAGGGAGACATAAGACATCAATCAATTAAGAAGCACATGGGTTCTGTTTGCAAAGGTGAGACAACTGGAAGCAAAGTCAGGAAGACTCAAAGCCAGAGGGAACTTCCAGGTCACAGATAGATAACACATAAAGGCTTGCATTCTTTTGAGTTTCTGATTAGCCTTTCCAAAGGAGACAATCAGATATCCATCTATCTCAGTAAGCAGAGGAGTACCTTTTTTTTTGTTGTGAGGCAGAGTCTTGCTGTGTCACCCAGGGTGGAGTGCAGTGGCATGATCTTGGCTCACTGCAACCTCCGCCTCCTGGGTTCAAGCAATTCTCCTGCCTCAGCCTCCCAAGTAGCTGGGACTATAGGCACATGCCGCCATGCCCGGCTGAGTCTCAACATATTTGATTTAGATATTTAGATGAGACTTTAGAGTTAGACTTTAAAGTTGATGCTGGGATGAGTTACAATTTTGGGTGCCCTGGGGATGGAATAACTGTATTTTGTGTGTAAGAAACATATGAATTTTGGGAATTCGGGGGCAGAATCCAATAGACTAAATATTTCTGTCTGCTTGAAATTCATACATTGAAATCTATCTTCAATGTGATGTTATTTGGAGCAGGGGACTTCGGGAGATGACTAGGTCCTAAGGGTGGACCCCTCATGGGTGGAATTAGTGCCCTAAAAAAGACTTCAGAGGATTGCTTTGCTCTTTTTTTTTTTTTTTTTTGGAGATGGAGTTTCCCTCTTGTTGCCCAGGCTGGAGTGCAATGGTGCAATCTCAGCTCATCACAACCTCCACCTCCTGGGTGCAAGTAATTCTCCTGCCTCAGCCTCCCAAGTAGCTGGGATTACAGGCATGCATCACCACACCTGGCTAATTATTTTTGTATTTTTTATAGTAGAGATGGGTTTCTCCATGTTGGTCAGTCTGGTCTTGAACTCCCCATCTCAGGTGATCCACCCTCCTTGGCCTCCCAAAGTGCTGGGATTACAGGCATGAGCCATTGTGCCCGGCCTGCTTTGCTCTTTTTCTGCTATGTGAGGACACAGCAAAAAGACAGCAGCCTATGAACCAGAAAGCAAGGTCCTCACCAGACACTAAATCTGCCAGCACCTTGATCTTGAACTTCACAGCCCCAAGAACTGTGAGAAATAAATCTTTGTCATTTATAAGCCACCCAATGTATGGTATCCTGCTATAGCAGCCTTAGCAAGATGGAGTTGAAATTGCTTTGGAAATAAATCTCCTTTTGAAAAGGTCTCAAATGCAATGAACATTTACATCATGTTCAGGAATTAAAGAACATAATGTTGATACTCATTTGCAAGGGCTGCTGAAACAAATTGTCACACAAATTGGGTGGCTCAGGCAATGGAAATGTATTGGTTCACAGACTAGGGGATGAAAAGTCTGAGATGCAGGTGTCAGCAGGGTCAGTCCCTTCTGAAGGTGATGAAGTGAATCTATTTTATGCCCATCTCCTAGTTTCTGGGGGGTTTGCAGTGGATCTGCCATTCCTTGTCTGGTAGATGCATCACCTCCACCTCTACCTTTATGTTCACCTGGTGACCTCCCTGTGTATCAGTCAGTCTCTGTGTCCACATGTCCTCTTTCTATAAGGACACCAGTCATATTGGATTACAGCCATCCTAATTACCTCATTTTAACTTGACTACCTCTTTTTTTTTTTTTTTTTTTTTTTTGATGGAGTCTCGCTCCTATTGCCGAGGCTAGAGTGCAGTGGCACAATCTCAGCTCACTGCAACCTCTGCCTCCGGGGTTCAAGCGATTCTTCTGCCTCAGCCTCCCTGAGTTAGCTGGGATTACAGGCACCCACCACTGTGCCCAGCTGATTTTTGTATTTTTAGTAGAGACGGAGTTTCACCATGTTGTTGGCCAGGCTGGTCTCGAACTCCTGACCTTGTGATCCGCCCGCCTCAGCCTCCCAAAGTGCTGGGATTTCAGGCATGAGCCACTGTGCCCGACTGACTACCTCTTTTAAGACCCTATCACTCAATAAGGTCACAATCAGAGATAGTGAGAGTTAGGACTTCAACATCTCTTTTTGGAAGGGGAAGTACGTTAACCCTTAATAGTGCGCCTAGATTAGAAATATTAGTAAAGTGTGAGTATTTGGTTCTGATAATTTAGCTTTGTGCTAATTTCTAGTACAGAAAGAGGGTTGGTCTTCTGGCCCTTCTTACTCTCTAACAAGTAACTGCCCTTCTGAGTTTAGTTTCCTCTAGGGTAACTATTATACAAGTTTTGGACGAGATGGTCACTGCTCCGTAGATTTCTTCCTCTGACACCTGATATCTCTATGAACAGATGTCATAGTGACTCACATTTATAAAGCACTTTACAGTTTACTAAGCATTCTCAGTGCATTCCATTTCTATAAGAACCATGTTAGATGCCTATTATCCTCTGTGTCTTACAAGTGCAGAGAAATAAGTCACTTGTCCAGGCTTTTGCTGCTGGTAACAGCCGTCTCTTGAGACCACAGGTTGAGCTTATTCTCCTATAACACAGCTCCAAATTTTGTGAAGCTAAAGCCATAAAATGTTTCAGGAAGTTGACATCTGCATCTCATTATAATAACTAATGCTATGATTTAAAATTTCTACAGAATGCCAGAACTGATGCATGATTTGACACATCAGAACACTTACAAAAATCAATCTTGGCTGGGCTTAGTGGCTCACACCTGCAATCCCAGCACTTTGGGGGAGGAAGGAGGGAGGATAGCTTCAGTTCATGAGTTTGAGACAAGCCTGGGCAACACAGTGAGACCCCATCTCTAAAACAACAACAACAACAACAACAACAACAACAAAATCCAAGTGTGCCTGTCTGTAGTCCCAGCTACTCAGGAGGCTGAGGTGGGAGGATTGTTTGAGCCCTGGAGTTCGAGGCTGCCGTGAGCTATGATTGCACCATCGCACTCCAGCCTGGGTAACAGAGCAAGATCCCGTCTCTAAACAAACAAACAAATAAAATAAAATAAAATAAATCCTTTTGGTAATCTTAATTCTGGGGTTGCAAAAATTGAAATACTGCCCAGTACAATCTTGTAGACATTGTACAAAAGTGGATCACTTAAGGTTATCAGTAATTGTTTCCACTATAAATATCATTCCTTGGAGAAATACAATTTATTAGAGCTAGTGGATTTAAGTGTTCGTTAATTTATTGAGATTGAGGAAAGAACTGGTTTAATTCTACTCAAAAATTAAAAAGCATAAAACACTTATGTAGTTTTGAGTGGCTGAGAATCCTGTTGAGAGAAAAAGAAGGAAGCCAACCCAATTTATGATTTTATAAAATCTGCTCTTGGTGATTCAGAATAAAGGCAGCCAAGCTGCTTCCAGCCAGTTGAGTCCCTAATCCAAGGACATTACGTTTTGTTTCTAAAAATTAGCAATTGTTTCTATTAAGAAAATACTAGTTGGAAGGTCCATGCTAAGCACATTGTGAAGTGCAAACAAGGGTGACATAGGGGATTGCGTTCAAGGATTTAGCAGTCTTGGAGGATATCAGGTCCACAGAGAATGAGGTGGGTCACGGGAGCTCAGTGCATTTCGAAGATTTTAAAAGCAAGAATTTCCTGTATGCTTTTGGAGTGGAAGAGAAGGTTTTAATTAATGAAGTGACAATTGAGTGGCCTGTAAAGGAGGAGTGGGGTTTTAGGATGAAGAGGCATGTAAAGGAGAAACAACTAACATTTATTGAGCATCTACTATCTACCAGGTAACATGCTAAGGATTTGACACTTTATAGAAAGACCCTTAGATAGGTCTGAAGCAGGAGTTTCCAGGGTTTGCTGGAGGAGGCTACAATGTTAGAATTGTTACAATGACTCTGTTACATAATAATGTGGTTGATAAAAAGAGTTTGTTGACCCAGTTATATTAATAGATACAAAGTTACTTTAAAGCCTAGGTGTAGTGGCTCACACCTGTAATCCCAGCAATTTGGGAGGCTAAGGTGGGAGGATTGCTTGAGGCCAGGAGTTTGAGACCAGCCTGGGCAACACAGCAAGACCTTGTCTCTACGAAAAATTAAAAAAATTGGTGAGGTGTGGTGGCACATGCCTATAATCCCAACTACTCAGATACACCTGGGAAATTGCCCTGTGCTTCATTCATTCTCACAGTAATTACTTAAGAATGGGTTGGAGTTGCTGTTTATTGCTTACCTGCATGGGTTAGACAGGCACACCTACAGGTGCATAAGCAGAGTCAGGTGATCAGATGGGTAGAAGTCAGGTGTGATTCCCACGTAGGGAATCCACCCGGTGAGTGACTGCTGTGGTCTACAGGCCTAGATTCCCATGGAAATGCTAGAGGTGCAGGACACGGTATTTCTACCTGGGAATACTGTGTCCATATCTGCACATTCCCATGTTTTTGCCACTAAAGAAATCTTATTTTATTTTTTTAGAGACAGGGTCTCACTCTGTCACCCAGGCTAAAGTGCAGCGGTGCCATCATAGCTCACTGCAGCCTCGACCTCATGGGCTCAAGCAATCCACCCACCTCAGCCTCCCGAGCAGTTGGGACTACAGGCATGTGCCACCATGCCTGGCTCATTATTAAAATTTTCTGTAGAGTCAGGGTCTTGCTATGTTGCCTAGGCTTCTCTCAAACTCCTGACCTCAAGTGATCCTCCTGCCTCAGCCTCCAAAAGTGCTGAGATTACAGATGTGAGCCCACAGCTTTAAAGTAACCTTATATCTATTAATATAACTGGGTCAACAGACTCTTTTTATCAACTTATAGATTTTATCAAAATCTATAATATACTATAAGGGTGTAAGGTTACTATATGCCCAGGTTTTAAAGTAACCTTATATCTATTAATATAACTGGGTCAACAGACTCTCTTTCTCTTTTTTCTTTTTTTTTTTTGAGATGGAATCTCGCTCTGTTGCCCAGGTTGGAGTGCAGTGGCATGATCTTAGCTCACTGCACGCTGCAGTCTCTGCTGCCCAGGTTCAAGTGATTCTCCTGCCTCAGTCTCCAGAGTAGTTGGGATTATAGGTGCCTGCCACCATGCACTGCTAGTTTTTGTAGTTTTAGTAGAGATAGGGTTTCACCATCTTGGCCAGGCTGGTCTTGAACTCCTGACCTCGTGATCTGCTGGCCTCAGCCTTTGAAAGTGCTGAGATTACAGGCATGAGCCACCACGCCTGGCCCCACAAACTTTTTTTCAAACACATTATCATGTAACAGAGCCACTGTAACAATCATGAATCTGAATTATTTTATTAAATCTACACAAAAATAATTCTACCTACTGCTGTTGGCCAACAGCCAAAGACCACCAAGAACACAGAACAAAGTTAGATTTATTACTTGCAGCAGCAAAGAAGGCAGCACAGCATGGAAAACCATGAGGTGTCTCAAATTTGGGTGGATCACCTGAGGTCAGGAGTTCGAGACCAGCCTGACCAACATGATGAAACACCATCTCTACTAAAAATACAAAAATTAGCTGGGCGTGGTGGCACGTGCCTGTAATTTCAGATACTTGGGAGGCAGAGACAGGAGAATTGCGTGAACCCAGGAGGCGAAGGGTGCAGAGAGCTGAGATCGCACCACTGCACTCCAGCCTGGGCGGCAGAGGGAAACTCCGTCTCAAAAAAGAAAAAAGGACGGTGTTAAGGAAGGCAGCCTCTTCAGTGCAGTCAGCCGCCTCATCCTGAAGACATGTGAGTCCATACAACATTTGTCTGTGGCTTTATTTTGGAACGTACAGATCATAGTAAGCAGGTGTTCATAGAGTTTATGTTTGGATAGGTTATGATAGACATCACAGTTTGGGCTTAGTACAGTTCTATTTGGTCTACGAGTCACAGAGTGATCTGTTGTGAAAAACTGTGGTTTGTTTCTTCTTTTTTTTTTTTTTTTTGAGATGGAGTCTCGCTTCTTCACCTGGCTGGAGTGCAATGGCACGATCTCAGCTCACTGCAACCTCTGCCTCCCGGGTTCAAGCAATTTTCCTGCCTTAGCACCCCCAGTAGCTGGGATTATAGGCATGCGCCACTATGACTGGCTGGTTTTTGTATTTTTAGCAGAGACAGGGTTTCACCATGTTGGCCAGGCTGGTCTCAAACTCCCGACCTCAGGTGATCCATCCGCCTTGGCTTCCCAAAGTGCTGGGATTATAGGCATGAGCCACCATGCCTGGCCAATCTTATTCTTTTTAATGGTATGCAGTATTCCATGGTGTATGTATGCCACATTTTCATTATCTAACCCACTGCTGATGGACATTTAGGCTGATTTCATGTCTTTGCTATGGTGAATAGTGCTGCAATGAACATATACATGGATGTGTCTTTATGGTAGAAGGATTTATCTTCCATTGGGTATATAACCAATAATAAGATTGCTGGGTTTGTGGTAGGTCTGTTTTGAGTTCTTTGAGAAATCTCTGAACTGTTTTCCACAGTGGCTGAACTAATTTCCATTACTATCAACACTGTATAAGTGTTCCCTTTAATCTGCAACCTAGCCAGCATCTGTTATTTTTTGACATTTTAGGCTGGTGTGGTGGCTGACACCTGTAATCTCAGCAGTTTGGGAGGCCGAGGTGGGAGGATCAGTTGAGCCCAGGAGTTCAAGACCAGCTTGGACAACATAGTGAGACCAAATCTTTACTAAAAATAAAGAAAATTAGCTGGGCGTGGTGGGGTATACTTGTAGCCCCAGCTACTTGAGAGTCTGAGGTGAGAGGATCACTTGCACCCAAAACTTTGAGGCTACAATGAGCTATGATCGCACCACTGCACTCCGGCCTGGGTGACAGAGTGAGATCCCATCTTTTCTTTTGTTTTTTTTTTTTTGAGTCAGGGTCTCACTGTGTCTCCCAGGCTGGAGTGCAGTGGCACAATCTCAGCTCACTGTAACCTCCACTTCCCAAGTTCAAGCAATTCTCCACCCTTAGCCTCCTGAGTAGCTGGGACCACAGGTACACACCACTACACCTGGCTAATTTTTGTATTTTTTGTAGAGACAGGGTTTCACCATGTCGCCCAGGCTGGTCTCAAACTCCTGAGCTCAAAGTGGTCTGCCTGCCTCAGCCTCCTAAAGTGCTAGGATTACAGGCGTGAGCCACTGTGCCCTGCCCTGTCTGTGATTCTTAATGTGGGAACAGTAGTTGTGAAAGTGAAGCCCTGGGATCAGCAGCCTCAGTGTCACCTGGGAGCTTATAAGAAATGCAGATGCCCAGGCCCCACCCAAACCTACTGACTTGGAAATGTGAGGAGTAGGGCCCAGTAATCTGTTTTAACAAGTTCTCCAGGTATTCCAATGCACACTTGCTCAAGTTGGAGAACCACTGCGTTTGTGTGATGTCTGCAGGTCCAGCAGATATTGAGTATGTATAGCTTTTTTTTTTTTCTTTTTTTTGAGATGTAATTTTACTCTTGTTGCCCAGGCTGGATTATAATGGCACGATCTCAGCTCACTGCAACCTCCGCTTCCCAGGTTCAAGTGATTCTCCTGCCTCAGCCTCCCGAGTAGCTGGGATTACAGGTGCCTGCCGTCATGCCTGGCTAATTTTTTGAATTTTTAGTAGAGACGGGGTTTTGCCATGTTGGCCGGGCTGGTCTTGAACTCCTGACCTCAGGTGATCCACCTGCCTCGGCCTCCCAAAGTGCTGGGATTACAGGCGTGAGCCACAGCGCCCTGCCAAGTATGCATAGCTCTTGACAAGTGTTAAGCTGTTTAAATAAAATAAAATCCCTTCACAGCTTAACAAACTCAGTAGCAGTCATGGCCGGGAATTTAGTGCTATCGTTGCAGATTAGTCCAGCCTTGTCTTATATTAAAATATGTTTCCCTGTGTCTTTGGAAATATTGAAAGCCACTATGTACAATTAGAAAATATCAGTTTAGAAATGTACAAATCACAGTGAACTTTTTTTTCTTGTATGAGACACAAGAGACAGAGGAGGGAGGCACCTTGAGAAATTGCGTGCATGCTAATTGTGGCCTGTAGCTTCCTGGTGACAATGTTTTATTTTGCAGTCCTTTACAACTTTTATTAGAAACAAGACCTTTTTGTTACTGTTTGTTGCCCTGGGAGTTTTAAAAGAACTGATTTTCTGTCAGAAAAGATTGGAATCAATGGCAGTCTTCCCTTCTAGATAGTGCTAAAACATTTATTTAAGAGTTTAGCTGCTTGCCTGGCCTTATCTGTATTCTGAACAGCTTGTCCAATGAAATAAAATTCATTCATGCCTCTCCTCCCTGTGTTATTGACAAAGCACACACTTTATGTGACTCGAAGCCGGAATCCTGTCTTTTGGGAAAACTTCTCTCTAAAGTTGTCTGAAAGAATTATTTTATTACACTTTTTTCGTGCTAGCTCAAGAAGACCTGAATGAGAAATTCCAGGGGCGAAGGGAAAGCAGGGGCCAGGCCTGCTCTGGTGGTTTGAGAAAGGCCAGTGGGGCTGGGCATAGTGGGTGGCTCATGCCTGTAATTCCAGTGCTTTGGGAGGCTGAGGCATGGAAATCACTTGAACCCAGGAGCTTGAGACCAGCATGGGCAACATAGCAAGTCCCCATTGCTCAGGTAAAAAAAAAAAAAAAAGCTGGGCATGGTGGTGCACAGCTGTAGCCCAGCTACTCAGGAGGCTGAGGCAGGAGGATTGTTTGAGCCCAGGAGTCTGAGGCTGCACTCAGCTGTGATTGCACCACCGCACTCCAGCCTGGGCTACATAGCAAGACCCATCTCTACAGAAACAAACAAACAAAAAAAGCTGGGCATGGTGGTACATGCCTGTGATCCCAGCTACTAGGGAGGCTGAGGCAGGAGGATTGCTGCGATTGCACCACTGCCCTCCATCTCCTCTCTGACCTGAGTTTTTCTTCAGAATATAGGGGTTGAGTAAACTGCTTTCCAGAATAAGGAACTCTGTGTTTCACCCCTCCTAGAAAGCTTAAAGGCTTGTTTGCATTTCTAGATACAACAGCATTTTTAATAGATCCATATAAAAGAATAGAGCTTGCTTTCTTGATGACATCTGTTCTTCATCAGGTGGTAATAGCGTTGACTTCATTTGTTGTATCTTTACTGGGTGCCAAGAACTTTATACCATTTCTAATCCTGAAAACCACCTCCCAAAGCAAATAATGCCGTTTTTACAATTTAGGAAAAACAAGGGAGTCTTAAGAGAATGAGGGATTGGCTCAACACGACATCCTTAGTAAGAGCAGATACAGGCTTTGACCCTAATTCTGGCGGGTTGAGGAAAGGGTCTTTGAATAAAAAACATTCTAACTGCAGCAAATTATGAATGAAGCAAGCTGCTACACATAGCTACAGCAAATTATCAGGCAGTCTGCTTGTCCAATAATTGTGCTGTTTAGAAATTAAGTTAAGCAAGCGGCACCTAGCTAACGATCTGGAAGAGTCAAAGAGTGAGGCAGGCCGGGTGCAGTGGCTCACGCTTGTAATCCCAGCACTTTGGGAGGCTGAGGCGGGCAGACCATGAGGTCAGGAGATTGAGACTCGCCTGGCCAACACAGTGAAACCCCATTTCTACTAAAAATACAAAAATCAGCTGGGCATGGTGGCGGGCATCTGTAATCTCAGCTACTCAGGAGGCTGAGGCAGGAGAATCGCTTGAACCCGGGAGCCAAAGGTTGCAGTGAGCTGAGATTGTGTCACTGCACACCAGCCTGGGCAACAGAGCTAGACTCCATCTCCAAAACAACAACAACAAAAAACAAAGAGGCAGAACTTAATTTCCCATGATTTAGAAGAAAACAGATGTGTCCAGCCCAGCCTCCTCCCCTTTGTGAGTCTATGGCTCAGCCAGGAAAGGAGGCTGGGATGACCCAGCCAGGGTTGAGGGTTGAGTCCATAGATTATTCTGAGCCATCTGCTTCTCTCTGACATTGCTTTTGTCTGAGTGTTTCCTTGATGTGGAGCTTAACCAATACCTTGCTTCTTTTCTCTGCCTGATATCTCTTGCTGACACCAGAATATTTTATTCTCAGCTCCCAACATCTAGGACTGTTCTTCAGGCTTTCTTATTGGGGTGACTCTTTTTTTTTTTTTAATGAGATAGTCTCACTCGGTCGCCCAGGCTGGAGTGTGCAGTGGTGTGATCTTGGCTCACTGCAACCTCTGCCTCCCAGGTTCAAGAGATTCTCCTGCCTCACCCTCCCAAGTAGCTGGGACTACAGGCGTGCGCCATCACATCCAGCTAATTTTTGTATTTTTAGTAGAAACGGGGTTTCACCATATTGGCCAGGTTGCTCTCAAACTCCTGACATAAGGTGATCTACCCACCTTGGCCTCCCAAAGTGCTGGGATTATAGGCGTGAGCCACCATGCCCAGCATGAGGTGACTCTTTATTGGAGAACAAGTGTGGCAACTCTTCCCCTTTTAAGCCTATTCTCAGCTCCCCAGCCTCCTGCACTATCTTCTTCTTTTTTTTTTTTTTTGAGACGGAGTTTCTCTCTTGTTGCCCAAGCTGGAGTGCAATCTTGGCTCACTGCAACCTCTGCCTCCCGGGTTCAAGCAAGTCTTTTGCATCAGCCTCCTGAGTAGCTGGGATTTCAGCCATGCACCACCATGCTCAGCTGATTCTTATATTTTTAGTAGACAGGGTTTTACCATGTTGGCCAGGCTGGCCTTGAGCTGCTGACCTCAGGTGATCCACCCATCTCAGCCTCCCAAAGTGCTGGGATTACAGGCGTGAGCCACTGTGCCCAGCCTCCTGCACTGTCTTGACAGAACACCCCTGCTGGTCATGGTCCAGCCTCTGCCCAGATCAACAGCAGGCCCTGGTGATGTCTAGGAAGCTCTCTGCCTCTTACCAGCAGAGAGACTCTCAGTTAGGAAATGATGAGGAATTTAGAGTCTAGTGGGCTAATAAGTCAGAAAGGGGAGACCAAGCAGATCCCTAAAACAAACGGGGTCCAAGCAGGTCTCAAATGGCAGGAATCAGAACAGTAAACAGAGGAGCTGCTGCTTGATAGGAATTGGGAAGCAGGTCTGGAATTTGTCTGAAATAAGAAGTGCTTATTCCTGGCCGGGCGCAGTGGCTCACGTGTGTAATCACAGCACTTTGAGAGGCCAAGGCGTGCAGATCACTTGAAGTCAGGAATTTGAGACCAGCCTGGCCCACATGGTGAAAACTTGTCTCTATAAAAATGAGCCAGGCGTGGTGGTGGGCGCCTGTAATCCCAGCTGGTTGGAAGGCTGAGGCAGGAGAATCGCTGGAACCTGGGAGGCAGAGGTTGCAATAAGCTGAGATCATGCCACTACACTCCAGCTGGGGTGACAGAGCGAGACTCTGTCTCAAAGAAAAATAAAATAAAATAAAATAAAATAAATAAAATAAAATAAAATAAAATAAAATAAAATAAAATAAGGAAGAGCTTATTCCAGTGACCTGGCAGTTGCATGGGTTTGAAAAACCAAATGTGAACGCAAATGCACCAGGTGTATAGCCAATGACCTCAACCTACAGACGCCTTATAAAACCGCGATGTTCCTCTTTCTTCATACCAGGTGATGGGATAAAACAAAAACAAAACAAACAAACAAAATCCACAAACACCAGAACTAATAGCAAGCTTCTGGCCAGGGAGACATAACACTGCTATTTTCCTCTGGCAATTCTTATTGTTTTCCTGGTGTTCCCAACAGAGAGCTCCTTATTTCTACCTGCTCAGAAATAAGTAGCTTGAGGCACTTTGATGTCAAACTAGCCTAAAGACGAGAAAAAGAGCTTTCGAATCCAAGCGAAAGTAAATCCAGTGATTTTAAAATAAATGTTCTAATCAGGGACTATGTGTAGGGCTATGCTTTGAATAATGCAGAAAAGGTAAAAGCTGGTGAAAGAGGAATTACTGTTGTAACTTGGATTTAGTTTATGTTGTGTTATTCTAAAGGAAAAATTTATATACTATAAAAATTATAAATATATATATTTTAAAAACTAGGAAACTTCACAAGCATCAGAGTTATAGTTTATTTAATTTAATTTATTTAATTAATGTTAATTAATTTAATTAATCCAGCTCTGTCGCCCAGGCTGGAGTACAGTGGAGCAATCTTTGCTCACTGCAACCTCTGCCTCCTGGGTTCAAGCAATTCTTCTGCCTCAGCCTCCCAAGTAGCTGGGACTACAGGCACCTGCCACCTATTTTTTGCCTGGCTACTTTTTGTATTTTTAGTAGAGATGGGGTTTCACCATGTTGACCAGGCTGGTCTCAAACTCCTGACCTCAAGTGATCCATCCACCTCAACCTCCCAAAGTGCTGAGATTACAGGTGTGAGCCACTGCACCTGGCCAGATAGGGTTTAAATCTTGGTTTTGCCACTTACGAAATGGGTAATTTTGGAAAAATCCTTCTCTACTGTAAGCTGCAGTTTCATTTCTTGGAGAAAATATATACGTCGTGTATTTCAGATAATAAAGATGAAATAAGATAAGCTGGCATCTCTGACTTAGCGTGTCACTTGAAGTAGGTATTGGTTTTTCTGATGGCAGCCTTTATAAGTAAAGCTTGCTGCATCTGATTCTTTTGTTAGGCCAAAGGGTTAGGGATGCTTAGGGAATAAATATGCCAGTGTTCTTGAGCAGGAAAACAAGGTTTTAGCTTATCCTTGTGTAGCATCAGGCAACAAATGACAAAAGAGACAAAGAGAGAGAGAATGTGTGTCCTCATTGACCTATGAGCCATTTTTTGGCTCATGGGTCAAAGTCAGCTGACTCCTGCTTTGTATGTAAGAAAATGTCTTCTGTAGGGAATCAACTTTAAAAGTTTCTTTTTTTTTTTTTTTTTGAGACAGAGTCTCTCTCTGTCACCCAGGCTGGAGTGTAGTGGCACAGTCTCGGCTCACTGCAACCTCCACCTCCTGGGTTCAACCGATTCTCCTGCCTCGGTAGCTGGGACTAAGGTGCAGGTCACCACACCCAGCTAATTTTTGCATTTTTAGTAGAGACAGGGTTTCACCATGTTGACCAGGATGGTCTCGATCTCCTGATCTCGTGATCTGCCCACCTGGGCCTCCCAAAGCACTGGGATTACAGGCGTGAGCCACTGCACCCGGCCCACTTTAAAAGTTTTAATAAAATCTCATATTTGTAAATGGCTAGATTGATTATGAGAAGAAAAGATCATTGAAATTCATGGCTGTGTGTATGTTTTAGAATCTAATTTCATGGACTTCCCTCCTTGGGAGCAGTGTACTGAAACTGTCAAAGACCCCTTTAAGGAAAATCCTGTGTCTCAGTGCTTCAAAAACGTTATCTCTGTTACGTGCAACAGTGCCGTAAAGTTATCCTTACCTCCATTTCTCAGGGCATTTAAAGGACTTGCCCAAAGTTCTGCAGCTAGTAAGTGGCAAAGTTCTGATGA
This sequence comes from Homo sapiens, assembly GCF_000001405.40. Classification (NCBI taxonomy): domain Eukaryota; kingdom Metazoa; phylum Chordata; class Mammalia; order Primates; family Hominidae; genus Homo; species Homo sapiens. The sequence goes on from NC_000007.14 coordinate 67,994,502, forward strand.
AACGTAAGTTACCTAATCCACAGTGGACTGAGTTAACCTGCTTTTTTTTGTTGTTGTCTTTGTTGAGATGGAGTCTTGTTCTATCACCCAGTCTGGAGTGTAGTGGTGTGATCTCGGCTCACTGCACAGCTGCGTTTTTGAAAGGAGCATGTTAGGGAGGCATGGGGCTTAGGAGAGAGGTGAGTTCCTAAAAGAAGGGGGACACAAGACTGGATCCCTGGAGGCCAGTGATCAGCTGAGTCTACCAGGCACATTGTTTAGTAATATAAATACAGCTAGCCCTTGGGGGAAGTGATTGATTCCAGGGCTGGAGCAAGAAACTTACAAGAGAAACTTACAACATCACGTTCTACAAGAGAATACAAAATTTTTCAAAAAGGCAGGCGGACACATAGAAAGATATAAGTACCAGCTTAGAGGAATTCCCACTGGCCAAATCTGGAACAATGTGAGCATCAAATTGAGTAACATCAGAATTCATGCATCCACAATGACAATATACAAGCAAACAGGCTAGGCACAGTGGCTCACCCCTGTAATCCCAGCAATTTGGGAGGCTGAGGTGGGAGGATTGCTTGAGGCCAGGAGTTTGAGACCAGCCTGGACAACATGGGGAAACCCCATCTCTACAAAAAATTAAAAAAAAAAAAAAGGCAAGCATGGTGGTACATGCCTATAGTCTCAGCTACTCAGGAGGCTGATGTGGGAGGATTGCTTGGGCCTGGGAGGTTGAGACTGCAGTGAGCTATGATTCTGTCATGGCACTCCAGCATGGGTGACAGAGTGAGATTTTGTCTCAAAAACCAAAACAAAACAAAAAAGATGAGCAAACAAACAAACAAGAAGATAAAACTCTTTCTTGGGTGGATGTGGTGGCTCACACCTATAATCCCAGCACTTTGGAAGGCTGAGGCGGGTGGATCACGAGGTCAGGAGATCGAGACCATCCTGGCTAACACGGGGAAACCCCTTCTCTAGTAAAAATACAAAAAAATTAGCCTGGCATGGTGGTGGGTGCCTGTAGTCCCAGCTACTTGAGAGGCTGAGGCAGGAGAATGGCGTGAACCCGGGAAGCAGAGCTTACAGTGAGCCGAGATTGCGCCACTGTACTCCAGCCTGGGTGACAGAGGGAGACTCAGTCTCAAAACAAACAAACAAACAAACAAACAATCAAAAAACTCTTTCTTATAGTAGAAAGCCACTAACGGAGAGAGAATTAAGGTAGAAAATCATCAGAGTAGTAACTGGCTGAGTTACAAAGTAACAATAGATGCTAAAACTAGGCTGAATATTTAATGATGAATGAGATATTTACATAGTGTCAAAGTATCCCTTCACCAAGTCTCTATTTATTACAATGAAAAAATAACTTGGGGGAAACTTGAAGGATGCCACCTTAAACCAAGTGCTTCAAGTTCACATCACAAATAAAGGGAGAACCTGGGCTCCCCAGTGGGATTAGGGAACACAAATCTACCAGGGGAACTAAACTCTTACTTGGGGGATATTTTCAAATGCCCAAGGTCACGTGGCTAGCAGATAGTAATATAAGATTTTAATTCAGATCTGTTTAGCTTCAAAGCAGAAGTCATCTCTGCTTTGTGATTTCCCCTACGTCCTGGATCCAAAGGGTCTTGCTGGCCCATAACCGACTCATCGTTGTAGAGGGACTCATGTTGGTGGAGGGAGAGACCGGGAAGCAAAGACAGATATAGTTAGAAGTCACTGGCCAGGTGTGGTGGCTCACATCTGTAATTCCAGTAGTTTGGGAGGCTGAGGCAGGTGGATCATGAGGTCAGGAGTTCGAGACTAGCCTGGCCAACATGGGGAAACCCTGTCTCTACTAAAAATACAAAAATTAGCCATGTGTGGTGGCAGGTGCCTGTGATCTCAGCTACTTGGGAGGCTGAGGCAGGAGAATCACTTGAACCTGGGAGGCAGAGATTGCAGTGAGCTGAGATGGTGCCATTGCACTCCAGCCTGGGCGACGAGAGCAAGACTCCATTTCAAAAAAAAAAAAAAAAAAGTCACTGAAATGCCTGGAAGGAAGTGAGCTGCCACATGGTTTGAGAGGTGGCACAATGGTGTCCTAGCTCCTTGGGTATAGAGATGCCCTCTTCCATCATGTTCATGTCCTGATGACTTTTTGAATTTCAAAAAAATGTTAAAGGATCATCCTAAAAATTCCTTGCTTGTCATACAATGTACTGCGTTAAAATACGGATTTACTGACAGACACACTAAGAAACAAACTAGATGTAGCAGAAAGAATGGGTAGTTAATTACATGGTCAATTGCTCATCCATATTTACACAGTGATATTACAGGATTATTTTCACCTTGCAAAACAAATCCATTTGGATAAATCAATATTATTTCCCCATACAGCCCTTAATCTCCACTCAGGGAAAAAGGTACTAAGAGACAGGCAAATCTAGGACTCTTGTTAAAATGATTGGTGATAATCATATCCAAGAACAGCCTTTTAAGAAAAAGTCTGGTTAATAATTATTTGACAGCAATTGGAAAATACTACTAAAGATTTTTAAAAGGCCCCTGAAGAAGGTATATTAATATTCTTAATAAAATGTGATTTTTTTTGTTTTTTTTTGTTGTTGTTTTGTTTTGCTACATAGAGAGGTTTTTTGACTAAAATTTCTTCCATCTTTTAGTTGCAAACTAAGCCATTCTTTGCACTTGGGTTAAACTCAGCAGAAATGCCTAGAGAAAATAAATGTCCTCTACACGGGAAAAGCCAGTGACTTTACAAATTATTCAAATGCTTGGTACCTGTGTACATTTTTTTCCCAAACTATAGAGGCATGTCATTTATTTTAGGTGGCCATGGGAAGACATATTCCACCCAACTGAATTAGATAACTAAAGTGTAAATTTTGAAAACCATTTGAATATAAATCTTCCTAAAATATGTTATGCATTTCATTAGATTCTTCGATGGAGTTTGCACATTACAATTCAACTTTCTTTCTTTCTCTTCCTTCCTTTCTTTTTTCCTTCCTTCCTTCTTTCTTCTTTCCTTCTTTCTTTCTCTTTCTTTCATTCTTTCTTTCTCTCTCTCTCCTTCCTTCCTTCCTCCATTCCTTCCTTCTTTCTTTCATTCTTTCTCTCTTTTTTCCTTCCTTCCTTCCTTCCTTCTTTCCTTCCTTCCTTCCTTCCTTCCTTCCTTCCTTCCTTCCTTCCTTCCTTCCTTCCTTCCTCCCTCCCTCCCTCCCTCCCTCCCTTCTTTCTTTGTCTCTTTCTTTCTCTCTCTCTCCTTCCTTCCTTCCAACTCTTGATCTAATAACTGGTATTTTAATAGACCATCTAAGTGGAGGATACTTGGACTAAATGTGTGTCTCTCTCTGCACCCTGATAGGCCTCCTGTGGGCCTTTATTTACCTGTGATGATCCTGGATTCTTGCACACCAGGATAATGGAGTGGATGTGGGATACCTCTCCCTTGGAGGAGCACAGCACTGAAAATATGGCACTCAAGTGTTGGGGGAATGCCCAGGTTCAGCCCAGAGCTGGAGCCTGAGTCAAGCCAAGGCTTCAGTATGATAAGAGAAACTCCAGAAGGAGGCCATGGACTGGCAGGAACTAAGTCACAGCACATAAAAAGGAAGGAGAAGTTGGAAAAGTGGCTCAGCTGGAGATTGGACCATCATCCCAGCTATGCTCATTCACAGCTAAATAAGGCAGGTAAAAATGCTTCTGCTTTTTCTTCCCCACATATCTCCACTGACTCTACTCCAATCCCAACCAAACCGTAGAAGTGTCCAAAGATGGAGGGGAAGACAGAGAGGAAGTGGGAAATAGCAGATCAGGCTACAGGTGAGAGGTGAGAAGCTTTGCACTGGATGCAAGAATGAAGGTGCTGTTTTTTCAGACAGGGTCTCTGTCATCCAGACTAGAGTGCAGTGGCGAGATCACGGCTCACTACAGTCTTGAATCCCTGGCTCAAGCAATCCTCTTGCCTCAGCCTCCCAAGTAACTGGGACTACAGGCCTGCGCCATCACTCTTGGCTAAGAATGAGGTTTTAAATATGACTCAACAGGACTTTTAAGGCCTGAAGATAACTAAAAAGCGATAAAATTGACCTTCCATGTTGACAGTGATTGTAGAAAGGACACCTCATGATTATGAATACAGATAACGATTGGAGAAAATAATGAAGCATTTCCTTTTTCTGATTTCCTGAATCCAACTGCCCTCTAAACTGCATTGTGTCTCTATGCTCATACTGGTTTGATCAGTCCTTTGGACTGATCAGAAACAAAAACTACTGAAATAATAAAAAACTTGCTAAATGCTCAAGGAAAGTCCCAGGTAGCCAGACAATACTATGAAAAGAGCAAGGACTTTTGAGTCACCAACTTAGGTTCAAATTTGAATTCTGTCACTTCCCAGATATGTGACCTTGGGCAAATCTTTTAACTTAGGTTTGCCTCAGTTGCCCCATTTGTCAAAAGAAAGTAATAATGCCCATTTCACTGGTCTAACATTAAAAATCAAATGTTATCATAGGCATTGTATGCACTAGTATTCACATCTGTTCATTTATCTTCTTCCTGTTAGAAAAATCTATTCCTATTGCTAATCATTCAGTAGTTCCTTGTTATAACAAACTAAAGAATAATAGGGATTGTGTGTATCTCTATCTCTGAATTTGTGTGATTTCTATTTATCTACTTATTTTTAATTGAAGTATTACAAACACTTAGAAAGTGCCTAATGTACGTATGTATATACCTGTTCTAGTTATCTGATTATCTGCTGGTAAGTAACAACAAACTCCAAAACTTAGTGGCTAAATAACTTCTTTCAAGTTCTGTGGGTTGATTGGATGTAGCCAAGTGGTTCTCTCTTGTGATCTTTCACCGAGCTACAATCAAGTAGTGGCTGGGCTAGAGGCAGCTGAACACTTCTTTACTTACATATATGGTGCTTGGGTTGGGATAGTGGAAAAACTGGAGGCTGTCATACATCTCTGTCTCCTTTTGTGTTCTCCATGGGGCTAGCTTGGGCTTCCTCACAACATGGCAGTCTCAGAATAGTCAGACTGTATTGGCATGGATTTTTCTCTGAAACAAACATTTGAAGAAACCCAGGTGGAAGTTGTAAGGTCTCCAAAGTGCCAGAATGTCAATTGCATCAAATTCTTTTGCATGAGCAAGTCATTAAGATTTCCCTTTCAATTTGTGGTCACCTTTAATCTATAGTAACGCCAGTGTAATCACCATTTAGGTCAAAATATAGAAAACTTTCAGCACCCAGAATGTTCCCTTGTACACCTTCCAACTCAATTTTTCTCTCTTCCTAGTGATACTTATTTTAACTTCATATATTTATTTTTAACATTTATCATCTGAAACACATCCTTCTGAATCTAATAGATGACTTTAGAAATTTTTCTCCTGCTGATACCATGTTCAATTAATTGTGCATAAACCCAAATTAGCATTTTAAGTAGCATTTTGTGATACCACTGAACAGCTCAAAACCTTGTATTGTTTCTTAGTGAATATAAAATCAAATCCAGACTCCTTAGCATGGTTTTCAATGCCTTTCACATGTATGAAGAAAAATATTTTAAATATCAATTGACGTATTTTTGTGCATTTCCTGTACTTCTTATTATTCAATCAGGGCTATTTATTGCCTTAAAATAGGAGTGGGTACATTTTTTTCTGTAAAGAGCCAGGCAATAAATATTTTAGGGTTTGCAGGCCCCATGGTCTCTGTTACAAGTACTCACCTACCCCATTGTAATGTGAAAACAGCTGTAGATAATTCTTACACGAGTGAATGTGACTTGTTCCAACAAAACTTTATTTACTGACTCTGAAATTTGAATTTCATGTGAAGTTAACCCTTGAGCAACATGAGGTTAGGGACACTGACCCCTGATACAGTAAAAAACCTGAGTAGTGGCTCACGCCTGTAATCCCAGCACTTTGGGAGGCCAAGAAGGGTGGATTACCTGAGGTCAAGAGTTCAAGACCAGCCTGGCCAACGTGGTGAAACCTCATCTCTACTAAAAATACAAAAATTAGCCGGGTGTGGTGGTGGGCGCCTATAATCCCAGTTACTTAGGAGTCAGAGGCAAGAGAATCGCTTGAACCCAGGAGGTGGAGTTTACAGTGAGCCGAGGTCACGCCATTGCACTCTAGCCTGATCAACAAGAACAAAACTCCATCAAAAAATAAAAAAAAATCTGTGTATAACTTTTGACTCCCCCCAGAACTTAACTGCTAATAGGTTACGGTTGACTGGAAGCCTTATTGATAACATAAATTGCCAATTAACTCATATGTTGTATCTTACATGTATTATATGCTGTATTCTTACAATAAAGTAAGCTAGAGAAAAGAAAATGTTATTAAGAAAATCACATGGAAGAGAAAATACGTTTACTATTTATTAAGGGGAAGTGCATCATCATAAAGGTCTTCATCCTCGTGATCTTCATGTTGAGGAGGCTGAGGAGGAGGAGGAAGGGCAGGGGTTGTTCTTGCTGTCTCAGTGGTGGCAGAGGCAGAAGAGGTGGAAGAGCTGGAAGGGGAGGCAGAAGAGGCAGTTACACTCAGTGTAGCTTTTACGAAAAAAATTCATGTATAAGAGGACCCGTGCAAATCAAACCAGTTTACTTCAAGGGCCAACTGTGATTTTCATGTGTTGTGGAATGTCTTCCCTTGATTATGTATTCAACAATTTAAATATTACAAAAAACCACTGCCAACAATCTGGCTAGGTGCAGTGGCTCATGCCTGTAATCCCAGCATATTGGGAGGCTGAGTGAGGTGGGAGAATCACTTGAGGCCAGGGGCTCGAGACCAGCCTGGGCAACTTAGTGAGACCCCTCAGTCTCCACAAAAAATAAACAAAATTCACTGGATGTGGTGATGCCTATGTGTAGTCCCAGGTTCTTGGGAGGCTGAGGTGGGAGGATCTCTTGAGCTCAGGAGGTTGAGGCTGCAATGAGCTATGACTGCACCATGGCACTCCAGCCTGGGCAACAGAGCCAGACCTTGTCTCTACAAAAAGAAGAAATCTTAGCTCATGAGCCATACAAAATGGGATAAACAGCATTGGTCTACCAAACCTGCCTTAGAAGATAGAGAATAAGCCAGACACCCAACACTGGGACTCTTAACAATCACCTGCAGGGGAGAAGACACAATGCAAGAGGTGGCCCAGGCTCTGTCCGAGGAAGGAGCAACTGTCCTGAGTCTTGGAGAGCCCAGGAGAGCCCAACTAATCCCATTTATGTAAGGGTGCTCTAATTACTGACCACACGGAAAAGCTACATTCACTGTCTTCATTTTTCCTTAGTAGGACGATCTATCAAGACCTGCACCTCACAGACGTCAGGCAGGAATGATGCCTCTTTGTACCTCTGGATGCCTCTCTGCTTGCCCACATGGCCCTGGATAGACAACCATGCCCAGAACACACATAACATCCCAAATGGACAGTGCCGGGGAGCAACCGTGAGCCACCCCCAGGGATGCTACCTGAATGATACTAAGTGGAGGCATCCAACTGTTTCTCCAAGTTGAGGTGATGTTGGAAATCATGTCCAGTTCTCATTCCCATTACCTGCTTCTTCAACTCACATTCCCTTTGTTTATATTCTGTTCATGCCTAGAATAACTTCCTCTCTCCTCTCAATTTCTTCCAGCCTTTCTCTTCATTCAAGTCCTATCCAGGTCTCATATTTCCCATGAGATGATTCTTGGATACCGTGGTGTTTAGGAATAGATAGCATTTGCTACAGTCATAAGCAATTGCAAATAAACTGTGCATTATCTACCTGCGGCATCTACCTTGCTGCCTTGAATGCTTATATAAATCCCTTCCTAATCACCTTATCTATGCACATGCAACTTCTTTCTCAACATTGTCCTCTAAGAAACCTCAGTAATTTACTTTGATATCTCCCTTCCCCTGCCATGCCCATGGGCAAGTTCAGTTATTTCAAAATATATCTTGAATTCCTTCATTTCTCTCCATCTCCATGATAACCTAAGCCACTCTAATCGCTTATGGAACAGTCTCCTTCCTGATCTCCCTGCGTCTGCCATCTATTCTGCCCCAGCAGGCCAAGTAATCTCCTTAACATATAAAGCAGAGCAGAGTGATCTGAGCTTGGCCCATCTCTTCAGCTTCATTTACCTTACTTCCTTCTCTTCTCTGGCTCCTGATGCTCTAGTCATACCAGCCCCCACTAGGCCCTCCAACAGAACAACTTTCTCTACCCTCTGGACTCTTGGGATGTGCATTTTTTCTCTGCCTGGATCCCTAAATCTTTCCGGATGTCCACCCTCTACCTCAGCAGTCTCCAACCTTTTTGGCACCAGAGAACTGTTCCCTGGAACATAATTTGTCCAAAGACTGGTGGAGGGTGAGGGGGTGGGGGATGGTTTTGGGATGATTCAAGTACATTACATTTACTGTACACTTTATTTCTATTTGTATTAGTCAGGGTTCTCTAGAGGGACAGAACTAATAGGATAAATGTATATATAAAGGGGAGTTTATTAAGGAGTATTGACTCACACGATCACAAGGGGAAGTCCCACAACAGACCCTCTGCAAGCTGAGGAGCGAGGAAGCCAGTCCAAGTCCTAAAGCTGAAGAACTTGGAGTCCAACGTTTGAGGGCAGGAAGCATCCAGCATGGGAGAAAGATGGAGGCCAGAAGACTAAACCAGTCTAGTCTTTCCACATAATTCTGCCTGCTTTTATGCTGGCTGTGCTGGCTGCTGATTAGATGGTGCCCTCCCAGATTGAGGGTGGATCTGCTTCTCCCAGTCCACTGACGCAAATGTTGATCTCCTTTGGCGACACCCTCACACACACGTTCGGGAACAATACTTTGAGTCCTTCAACCCAAACAAGTTGACACTCAATATTCGCCATCACACTATTACTATTACATTGTATAATAATATATAATGAAATAATTCTACAGCTCACCATTATGTAGATTCAGTGGGAGCCCTGAGCTTGTTTTCCTGCAACTAGACGGTCCTATCTGGGGGTGAGAGGAGACAGTGACAGATCATCAGGCATTAGATTCTTATAGGAGCACACAACCTAGATCCCTCACATGCACAGTTCACAATAGGGTTTATGCTCCTGTTGGAATTTAATGCTGCTGCTAATCTGACAGGAGGTGGAGCCCAGGCGGGAATGTGAGGGATGGGGAGCGGCTGTACAGGCAGATGAAGCTTCGCTGTCTCGCCCGCTGCTGTGTGGCCTGGTTCCTAACAGGAGTGGACCATTACTGGTTTGTAGCCTGAGAACTGGGGACCCCTGGTCTACCTGACAGGTCTCCAGTTAAATAGCTCTTCCTCAGCAAGACCTTCCCTGTCTGATTTCTTGAAAGCAGCTCTCCACCCTCTCCTTCCCCTAGGGTTTTTCCTTAGACTCCTGTTTGTCTCTTATGAACACATATATGGGTTTTTCATTTGTGATGAATTTATGAGCTTATGTATTTACTTGCAGTGTACCTCCCCTGTCGTTCCCACTAGTCCCAAGCTTTGGGGGACAGACACATTGCCAGTCGTGTTGACCACTGAGCCCTTTGTGCAGAAATCAGACAGCTCCTAGGTGACAGCAGGTGTGCAGCAAACATTTGTTAAATGAGTGAATGGGCTAGATAAATAATGCTCTGAAGTTCAGAAGTTGTGCCTTAAACTTCCTTGATGGCTTCATCTGCCTAGTAATTGGAAATATTGCAGAGATGCTAGTTTATTGACTTTTTAGTAAAGTAAAGATAACGATTATATTTTCTTATTATATATTATAATTATATTACGTATAATTATATATCATATTTAATAATTAATAATATAGAATATATTTATAATAATGTATAATTAATGTGTCATTATTAACATATTATTATATTAATTATATAACTATGTAATATAATTAATATGATACTTATTATAATATATAATATATAATTATATGAACTATAAGTTAATTATATGTTATATGTAAAGATAGTTTATATTTTCATAAAAAGATTTTATAATATATAATAACATATATTTTATAATGTATATATTTTATATATTAAAATATTTATATATTATATATTTATATATAAATATGTTTTACAACATATATAACATATATAATTATATATGTTTATAATGTATAAACAAACATTATATATAGATATCTTATATATAGATATATAAAATGTATATATAATTAATTATATATTATATAATTATATAATATAATAATGATTATCACCATTATTATTATTTATTAGAGACAGAGTCTCACTGTTTCACCCAGGCTGGAGCACTGTGGCATAATTCTAGCTTACTGCAGTCTCCAATTCTTGGGCTCAAGTGATCCCCCACCTCAGCTTCCCCAGTAGCTGGGACTACAGGTATGAGCCACCATGTCTGGCTAATTTTTACATTTTTTTTCAGAGACAGGATCTTGAATTAAATAAAGCAATGTGAATCCCTGTTTTCATACCCTCTGATTGCCTCCTTGCCCCGAAGATCATGTAGTTTTACTTCAAAAGTCCCGAAATCTCTGGGAGCCTTTCAACTTTCATGACAAGAAATCTACTTTCTTCTTTCTTTTTTTTTTTTTTTTTAGGTGGAGTCTTGCTCTGTCACCCAGGCTGGAGTGCAGTGTTGCAATCTCAGCTCACTGCTACCTCTGCCTCCCAGGTTCAAGCAATTATCCTGCCTCAGTCTCCCGAGTAGCTGGGATTACAGGCATGCGCCACCACGCCTGGCTGATTTTTGTATTTTTAGTAGAGACAGGGTTTCACCATGTTGGCCAGGCTGGTCTCAAACTCCTGACCTCAGGTGATCTGCCCACCTCGGCCCCCCAAAGTGCTGGGATTACATGTGTAAGCCACCGTGTCCAGCCCTATTTTCTATTTTTTTCCATTTTTTGACATTATGTCCAGGCATGGCTGACAGAGAGCCCTCCTGGTCTCTGTCTCTATACATAAAGAGGTTTCATTTAATATTTATATCTGCTTGCGGGAAAAATGAAAACTTCGGGGAAATATATAGACCTGCCAGTTACTTCCAAGCCAGGTGTTAAAGAACAGAGAAACAGAGTTACAGGCTACTGCTGAAAAGTACTCCTATTTTAGGCTAAAGTGTTTATTTGAGACAGGAAAAACTAAGGTCGAGAGTTGATATGATCTGAGGCCTTAGCAGAGAATGTCTGTTTTGATCCCCTGTCTTAAGTCAACTTACGTGTCTGTCCATGAAGTGCAGGGAGCCCCTGCCTCCCCATCCCCGTCACAGCCATAGTCTTGCAAGCTTGCGTTTTGCTCCTGTCCAAGTCCAAGCACTCTTTGGTCCAGCACTTCTTGTTTCTAATTCTCTGCTCATCTCTTTGAGTTGGCAAAGTTCAGCATCTCTGGTTTTTGTTACTGGTGTTCCCTATAAGTTGGATATGCCCACGCATTTGGTATTCTTATCCCAAGGAACTTCGGGAAGCCCCTCTGTAAGATGGACACCTGGTCTGGGAACTGTCCCCACCTCCCACCTCAAAGTATGCCAGTTAGGAAGCTGCAGTCTCTTAGCTCTAAAGCCTCCCTTCTAAACTTTCCTTTGTGATGCTTGGGACAGGGCTTTGCAAACCACATTTATGCTCCATGAATGGGCTTCTTATTTATTTATTTATTTATTTATTTATTTATTTATTTATTTATTTATAAATTGAGACGGAGTTTTGTTCTTGTTGCCTAAGGTGGAGTGCAATGGCACAATCTCGGCTCACCGCAACCTCCGCCTCCCAGGTTCCAGCGATTCTCCTGTCTCAGCCTCCTGAGTGGCTGGGATTACAAGTACAAGCCACCATGCCCAGCTGATTTTTTGTATTTTTAGTAGAAACGGGGTTTCAGCATGTTAGCCAGGCTGGTCTCAAACTCCTGACCTCAGGTGATCCACCCACCTTGGCCTCCCAAAGTGCTGGGATTACAGGCATGAGCCACCGTGACCGGCAGAATGGACTCCTTATTAAGCTCTGCCCGTAAGGGGCACTAGTGGAAGTATATCAGGCTGGAGGATTAAGGAGGTGCTGGCTGCCTCACATGGTTTTGTTAAGTTAGAGAAATGGAAACATAAAAGAGATAGAGATATTGGGATGGAGAGATAAAGCTGGGAGGGCAAGCAATCTAGGTCATTAGGCCATCCCTGCAATGTGGATGAGTCTTAACACTTGTTAGGTGAGGGATCTGCTGACTTCCAGTAAGATGACGCACCTGCCTAGGTGGCTGAGCTGGCCTGTGGCAGGGCTCTGTATAACACCTAGCTTCAGCTTCACCGTGTGTAGAGCTGTTTGTGGAGAGGTGAGAAATTGCTGTGAATGACACAGAGGCCAGAGCAGGTGCTAGCTTCAGAGTCTACTACCAGCAAGAACATAAGCTTTACTGTCACACATGCTTATGCCAACCTTGGTGCAGGAAACCCCTTCACCCCAATCTCATGTCCAACTACCAAACTGGCCTCTTCTGGTATATCAGTCAGGGTCCAGGCAAAAGAAAGAACCACACCAGTCATTTAAACAGAGATATGTTTAATCTCTGGAATATGAGGAGTTAACTAGGCAACTAAAATGGCAAGAAGAATATTACAGAGAATAGCAATGTGAATAAATAAATAAATATTGCCACCCTCTGTGGCTGGGAACAAAAGGAAGAGGTTGAAGTGATTTGAACATATTAGCTGGGGAGCTGGACCTCACACCCCTGAGAAAGGGTGATACAGGCTGGTGCTGGTGCTATCCATCTTGGTGGTAGGAGTGGGAGGGAAATTAAGTGATGAGGCTAGTTCCGCAAAAGTTGAAAAAACTACTAACTGGATTCAATCATTGCTACAGAAAAGAACTGCCACTGCCAAAGTGAAGAAGCACTTCCAGAATAACTTACACACACAGGAACAGGAAGAAAAAAAGCCAATGGGATACAAGTACAAAGTCACATCCACTCTGGTGCTGTCTCTAGGCGGAGAAAGGACTAGAGTTGTTACCAGTAATTAATTTCTGTCCTTCCTGGTAGAGTGGGGAGGTGAATGTCTATTTTTTTTTTTTTTTTCGAGATGGAGTTTCGCTCTTGTTGCTCAGCCTGGAGTGCAATGGCATGATCTCGGCTCACTGCAACCTCTGCCTCCCGGGTTCAGGCGAATTCTCCTGCCTCAGCTTCCCGAGTAGCTGGGATTACAGGCATGTGCCACCACGTCTGGCTAATTTTTGCATTTTTAGTAGGGACAGGGTTTCTCCATGTTGGTCAGGCTGGTCTCAAACTCCTGACCTCAGGTGATCCATGGGAGGGGAATATCTTTACAAAGTTAGATCCTACTCTTAGGTAAATAGGGAGAGGGCAAAGAGCTTTTCTTTCACAGTGGTCTCCCCTTATCCATGGGGGATAGGTTCTAAGACCCCCACTGGATGCCTGAAACCATGAATAGTACCAAACCCTATATATACTATGTTTATTCCTATGTGTACATATTTATTGTCAAGTTTAATTATAGATTAGATCTAGACAATGGAATTTGGGGCCATTATTAAGTAAGATAAGGGTTACTTGAACATAAGTACTGTGATACTGCAACAACTGATCTGATAACTGACGAAGCTACTAAGTGGCTAACAGGTGAGTAGTATAGACAGTATAGGTATGCTGGACAAAACATTCACATCCCAGGTGGGGCACAGCTGGTCAGTGTGAGATTTCATCATGCTACTCAGAATGGTGTCAACTTTGGGAGGCTGAGGCGTGCAGATTATGAGGTCAGGAGATCGAGACCGTCCTGGCCAACATGGTGAAACCCCATCTCTACTAAAAATACAAATATTAGCTGGGCATGGTGGTGTATGCCTGCAATCCCAGCTACTTGGGAGGCTGAGGCAGGAGAGTCCCTTGAACCAGGGGGTCAGAGGTTGCAGTGAGCCGAGATCACACCACTGAACTCCAGCCTGGCGACAGAGTGAGACTCTGTCTCAAAGAAAAAAAAAAGTATGAATTGCTTATTTCTTAAATGTTCCTTGTAATACTTTCGGGCTGCAGTTGAACATGGGTAAATGAAAACACAGACGGCAAAACTGTAGATAAGGGGGAACTCCTGTATCTGCTTCTTCTCAGTTGCCTTCTGCTCAAAATAATCCTTATAGCAAACTGGCATATTTTGAGGGGGCACACTCTGCTACCCTTCAAAATGTCATCAACAGCATCCCTGTAGTTATAAAAACATGCCTTTGAGACATTCTTTGGGAATATGCAATGCAACATTAATATAAGGAGGGAAAATTCTGGCTACAAATAGGACACCCATGGAGTAGACCGTGTGACTTTTGGAGCATTAAGCGCGCTCAGCTCAGCTCTGCGGGGCAGAGATGATGGGTAAGAACCCTTGTAATTGGCTGGGTTTGGAGTGTGCCCTGCATAGAGAGCATGCATCTTCCTTCTCCTTCAAACAAGAAAGAGAGAAGAGTTACTGCAGTGGAAAAAAGTATCTCTCACATCTAAGGGCAGGTGGTAACTCATGTTACTCACACAGTAGGTGGGTTTGATTGCTTTGCAGGTTGTGGTACAATGATCAAAACCAAGGAGGATTTAACAAGAGGACTTTACTCCTTGCAACAAGTAAGGAGGTTACTGGCAATAGTTCCCAAAACAGTGCCTCCCCTAACAAAGATGAAAACACGTTGGGAGGCCGAGGCAGGCAGATCACGAGGTCAGGAGTTTGACACAAGCCTGGTAAACACAGTGAAACCCCGTCTCTACTAAAAATACAAAAAATTAGCTGGGCATGGTGGTGGGCGCCTGTAATCCCAGCCACTCGGGAGGCTGAAGCAGGAGAATTGCTTGAACCTGGGAGGCAGAGGTTGCAGTGAGCCAAGATCGCGCCTTTGCACTCCAGCCCGGGAGACAGTGCGAGACTCCGTCTCAAAAAACAAAGATGAAAACATGGCTTTTGTTGGGATGGCTGGTTGAGTCATTGTATGTAGAGGTGAAGCCAAGGCAGGGCAGGTGCAGTGGCTGGTCATACTTCTATGTATGTTGCATATGGAGAAAATAGTGCTTAAGCTCCTCCCTGGGTGAAGTTTTTGGTATAGTAATGAAGGAAATGGGTCAATGCCCAACTCACGCATCTCTGGATCAAACTGGTTTTTGTTTTGCCAGGGCTGGTCTTCTTTCTGGAACTTTTCTGAAATAACAAGAACTCAAGATGCCACAGTCACCAGTAGGCACTCTTTGACAGTGCATGCCTGAAAACCCAAGGATTCTGAGTGACAGTGTCAGCGTTCCAACTCAGGGGCATGTCTGAACAGATAGTTCCCCAAAGGAAGCAGCTGAAGGTCTATTTGAAAGATCTGGCTGCCCACATTTAAAACAACAGCCAGTGATTCCTGACCCTGTATGATTAAGTGCTGCATCACGCAGCATTGATGGTAAGTGATACACAAGTCAGGAAGAAAGAAAACTTGCTAAACCTCGTGGTCAGCAGGAAATGGGAGTTAGAAGGGCCTTGGCAGGGGACGAGATGGCAAACTCAAGGGAGGTGGGGAGGTAATAAAAACAAGCCAAGGAAAATCCTCCCTAGGAATTGAAAATCAATTGGTATGTATTTATTGAGTTCATACTATTTTCTCAGCACTGTGCTAAAGGCTGAGGATGGCTAAGGAGCTTTCAAAGAATTTACATCCCAGTTGGGGAAACAGTCAAGGCTAGGGCGAAAAAGAGACAGGAGGATATTCTTTTTTTTTTTTTTTTTTTTTGAGATGGAGTCTCACTCTGTTACCCAGGCTGGAGTGCAGTGGCACGATCTCGACTCACTGCAAGCTCCGCCTCCCAGGTTCATGCCATTCTCCTGCCTCAGCTTCCCAAGTAGCTGGGACTACAGATGCCCGCCCGCCACCATGCCCGGCTAATTTTTTGTATTTTTAGTAGGGACAGGATTTCACCATGTTAGCCAGGATGGTCTCAATCTCCTGACCTCATGATCCACCTGCCTCGGCCTCCCAAAATGCTGGGATTACATGCATGAGCCACCACGCCTGGCCCGACAGGAGGATATTCTGAATGGCAATGAGGTCCATGTGTGCCCCAGCCAGCTTAACTTTGAGACCTGCTGTAGCCATAATATTGAACAAATTATTGTTTCCCTTCTGTCTTGAGGGGAAGCAGTTCTCAACTGCGGAGAATACAGAATTAGAATATGCAATCTCTGTTTCTTTGAACTGTCTTAATGGAGACACAGCATAAGCTGATGGAAAGAGAACTTGATGAGAAAGTCAAAAAACATGGAATTTAGGCTGTCTATGGTGGCTCATGCCTTAATCCCAGCCCTTTGGGACCCAGAGGCGAGTGGATGGCTTGAGCTCAGGACTTCAAGACCAGCCTGGGGCAACATGGCAAGACCCCATCTCTACCAAAAATACAAAAAAGAAAAGAGCCGGGCATGGTGGTGTGAACCCATGGTCCCAGCTGCTAGGGAGGCTGAGGTGGGAGGATCACTTGAGTCTGGAAGGTAGAGGCTGCGGTGAGCTAAGATCACACCACTGCACTTCAGTCTGGGAGACAGAGCAAGACCCTGTCTCAAACAAACAAACAAACAAACACCCCAGCAACAACAAAAAACAAAACCTGGATTTTTAATTCCAATTCTTACCTGTCTAGTCTGTTTTGTAACCTGGTGTTCTCATATTCCTATGACCTCTGATGTCTTATTTGAAAAGTCTTATCTGGAGGTCTGAGTCAATGCATGAACTATTGATGAATCCAGTATAGATAGCGCTCTGTTTTCTGTTATAGGTATACTGCCAATGTTTGTTGTTGTTGTTATTGATGTTGTTTTGTGTGTGGATTTTTTTTACACTTGTTGGCTTTAACTGGCTCTGATTTTGTCTTATAAAAGAAATAAAATTACCTGGTCCTCCAGTGGCTAAGATTTAAAAAAAGAAAGGAAGAGAGAAAGAAAGCAAGCAAGAAAGGAACAAAACAATAGAGAAAAAGACAAGAAGGTCAGTGTGGGTGTGAAGTAGGAGAAGGAAGAAAAAGAAAAAATGGCAAGTGAGTCAGAGAAATTGATTTGTAAGCTTAGCAGGCAGAGCTAGGAAGGAAAAGAAAAGGAAGAGGAAGAATCAGAAATGTGTGTATATGAATAGAAAGCTATGTTTGAGTGAAATCAACTGAGCGTGATGGGTGTAATAAAGCCACATAGTGAAGGGTGAAGATGGCTGGTTGATGAAAAGCGAAGTGAATAAGGGAGGAACATTTCATCTGAGAGTAACTAAAGGAGATGGAAGAAGAAAAACACTGGGTTATAGGGATCATTGCCTCTGCTCAATGTCCTTGCTCATGTATTAGTCAGAACAAGCACCAAGCTGCTGTAACAAAGAATCCCAAAATTACCATTACATAAAGAAGAGAGAAATTGATTGTTCTCTCAAGTAACAGACAGGAGTTAGCAGGTGGTGGAGGTGTGCGGGGAGCTCTGCTCCAGGAAGTTGTAGGATCTTTGGTTCCTTCTCTCCTGGGCTCTAGAGTCCCCTGAAATGTCATTCTCATCAGAACGGCCAAGTCTAGATGACCATGGTCCAGTCTCTGGAAGGCGAGAGTCTGTGAAGGACAACAGTTTCTTTTTAAGGTGGCGACGTAGCACCTCTGCTCACATTTCATTGGTGAGAATTTAGTAACACAGCCCTAGGGAAGGCTGGAAAATGTGGTCTGACATTGGGCAGCCATGGTTCCTGCTGATTTAATGTTTTAAAATTTCTATGGCTCCCCAAGCATGGGTAGCTCATGCCTGTAATCTCAGCACTTTGAAAGGCTGAGGTGAGAGGATCACTTGAGCCCAGGGGTATGATACCAGCCTGGGCAATGTAGTGAGATGTCATGCATACTAAAAAAAAAAATTAGCTGGGTGTGGTGGCGAGTGCCTGTGGTCCCAGCTCTAGGGAGGCTGAAGCAGGAGGACTGCTGGAGCCTGGGAGGTCAAAGCCACAGTGAGCCATGATTACACCACTGTACTCCAGCCTGGGCAACAGAGTGAGACTGTGTCTCAACAAAAGAAGGGAAAGAAAGCTTATATTACTCAAAGAAGAAGGGGAGAATGGATTAAGAATGATTTGTGATCATGGCTCTCTGTGGCTTCAACCTCCCAGGCTCCAGCAATCCTCCTGCCCCAGCCTCCCTAGTAGCTGGGACTTGCCGCCATACCCAGCTAATTTTTTTTTTCTTTTAGTATGCATGACATCTCAGTATGCTGCCCAGGCTGGCATCATACTCCTGGGGTCAAACGATCCTCCCACCTCAGCCTCCCAAAGTGCTGGGATTACAGGCATGAGCCACTCGTGCTTGGAGAGTCATAGAAATTTTAGATTATAGCAGGAATCATGGCTACCCAATGCCAGACCACATTTTCCAGCCTTTCCTGGGGCTGTGTTACTAACAGGGAAGGGGGCGATTAGTCTCTGATTCAGACCAATTCTGCTTATCTTAGTCAAGATATATTATAGCCAATAAGGCCAGGAGTGACCTTCGGAAGGCATTCATTTATAGATGGGGAGGTATGAGTCTAGCTATAGTGAGAACACATCCACATATTCATATGCAGAGAGGGCAATCGAATGATTTAGAAAGCTGTCATGTATTTATTGCCTCATGTGTGAAAGGCACTGGCTGAGAGCTTAGGTAAGTATTTTGTGTATGTCTTATTAATATCATACTATTATTTTCTTTTTTCCTTTCCTTTTTTTTTGAGATGGAGTCTCGCTCTGTTGCCCAGGCTGGAGTGCAGTAGTGCCATCTCAGCTCACTGCAACCTCTGCTTGCTGGGTTCAAGAGATTCTCCTGCCTCAGACTCCCAGTAGCTGGGATTACAGGCATGTACCACCACATCTGGCTAATTTTTTTTGAATTTTTAGTAGAGGCAGGGTTTCACCATGTTGGCCAGGCTGGTCTCGAACCCCTGACCTCAAATGATTCGTCCGCCTTGGCCTCCCAAAGTGCTGAGATTACAGGCGTGAGCCACCGTGCCCAGCCACATACTATTTTCATTAAGTGAGGTTCAGCAAAACGATCTTTGGATCACACAGCAAGTACTTTGCAGCACTCAGCGGGCCTGCGCTGGGACCCAATAGAGCACCCCTATTCATAATCTGGCTGCACTGCCTACAATAGCCCTATGGGATAGGAATTTTTTTTTTTTTTTTTTTTGAGAGGGAGTCTCGCTCTGTCGCCCAGGCTGGAGTGCAGTGGTGCGATCTCGGCGCACTGCAAGCTCCGCCTCCCGGGTTCACGCCATTCTCCTGCCTCAGCCTCCCGAGTAGCTGGGACTGCAGGCGCCCGCACCCATGCCCGGCTAATTTTTTGTATTTTTAGTAGAGACAGGGTTTCACAGTGTTAGCCAGGATGGTCTCGATCTCCTGACCTTGTGATCCGCCTGCCTCAGCCTCCCAAAGTGCTGGGATCCCAGGCGTGAGCCACCGCAGCCGGCCGGTATAGGGATTGTTAACATCTCCATTTTACATGAGCAGAATAAGGATCTGAATGGCTAATTAACTTGCTCAAGGTCATACTCCCAATACGTGGCAGTGATGGGATTTGCACCTGGCACACAGGTGTAGCACTCATCCCCCTCACCCATTGGCTGTGCTACCACCTGGGGCAGCTCCACTGTGGTCACTGAAGGCCTCCAAGGGGTGGAAGGTTTAAAATTAGGTCTTGCATCACATTTAGCTAGCGGCCAGGTGTTAGGTCTTGGGCAGCTCCGCCCTCTGCCTAAAGGGTTCACAGGTGGAAACACGCAGGGCATATTTCAGACAGCAACTAATTCCAATCTGTTATTAATAAAAACAGTTCAAAAAACATTTGGCAACAGACCACAGGATCCGGTGCTATTTATGAGAAGCGTTTAATGGGAGAAAGCTCAGCTGCAGCAGATGGATGTCGACGGGGCCTCTCCAGAGTGTCTCACTCTGTTTTCCTTTGTCTTTGAATAAATTCGAGGGTGCCATGTGCTAGCCTGGATGGATGGTTTTGAACCACAGCTCACTAAAAGCAGGCGCTTCCCTGAAGCTTAACTATAAAGGGGAAGTGGAATTACCCAGGCAATTCCCTCTTAGTTTGGGCTGATTCCTCCTGGAACAGAAAGGCCTTTGGCCAACAAGCAAATGTAGCTACTAACCCCTTAGGTATCGAGCCAGTGTTGGAAATGAGACACACAGCCTCTTTATCCCACTATCCCCATGTTGGTTATTAAGAGCCCTGCCCTTTGTTTTTTTTTTTTTTTTTTTTTTTTTTTGAGATGGAGTTTCACTCTTGTTGCCCAGGCTGGAGTGCAATGGCGCGATCTTGGCTCACTGCAACTCCGCCTCCTGGGTTCAAGTGATTCTCCTGCCTCAGCCTCCCGAGTAGCTGGGATTACAGTCATGCACCACCATGCCCGACTAATTTTATATTTTTAGTAGAGATGGGGTTTCTCCATGTTGGTCAGGCTGGTCTTGAACTGCCGACCTCAAGTGATCCACCCACCTCAGCCTCCCAAAGTGCTGCGATTACAGGCATGAGCCACTGCGCCTTGGTTTTGATGTGGCTGTGCCACACCAAGTGTCTAGGTGCTTCCTTTCCTGGCCTTGACCCTTAGCATCAGTGGAGAAGGGTCAAGTCCAAGACCACAGGATCCTCCATGGGATCAGTGACTTTCCAATTCAGACCACACCTGCTTCATGGGGTCAGTGACTCCCCACTTCACACCACACTTGTCTGCAGCTGATTTCTTATGAATGGCCCTGGACCTCCAGGAAGATACAGACCTGTAATGACAAGCCTTTTAGGACCTGGGAAGTCCTCTGGGAAATGCATCTTTTTTTTTTTTTTTTTTTAAATTTTAATTCTTGTAGATGAAGCTAGCAGCTTCTTAGCACCTTACTTTTGCATATGAAAGGCCTGGTAATTACTACTTTCATCCTTAAAGCATGCAAGTGACATGCAAAATTAGCACTTGAGAAGATGCACTTTTAGACCTTGTTGTAAAGCAAAACTTATTATTTGAAGATAAATCAATTTCTGTTGCCTGTATTTGTGGTTTTCCCCCAGATGGCTAATTACCAAAGATAAATGTGTATAAACACAAGCCTTATTCCTCTCCATCCATCTTCCCTGCCTGCCTGTTTATCCAGAGGTTAATAATCGCAATCCTGTAGTGTATTGCCATAGTAATGGCTTTGATGGGCCCGGCGAGTTTATGACCTTTTGTTACAAGCAGAAGGACATGCATTTCAAGAAAGGAAGGTCATTTCAGAGATGAATGTGCAGATAACTAGCCTCTCTGAAACTGAGCCAATAGGAAAAAGAAAACAGAAAACAAAATAAAAAGAAGGGGGAGAGAAAAACCCACACACAACTGCACAAAACAAACAGCATAAATGTCACGGAAATCGGTTCACAGTAAAATTAAATAAGGTTCCTGCAAGCATTAATTTTCA
Source organism: Homo sapiens (assembly GCF_000001405.40). Classification (NCBI taxonomy): domain Eukaryota; kingdom Metazoa; phylum Chordata; class Mammalia; order Primates; family Hominidae; genus Homo; species Homo sapiens. Next base: position 68,015,997 of record NC_000007.14, read on the forward strand.
TATTTCCTGTTTATGCACTGTTAAAATTATTCCCTGGCCTTGATTTATGAGGCAGTAAGACCATGGCCCATCACTCAGCCACTAACCAAATTCATTTAAGGACTGGAACATCCATTCAGATAGAACTAACTTCCTCTGTGGTCAAAAGGGCAAGTGGTAAGTGATGTGTTTCTGGAGAGAAGCTTAGGACATCTGTACAAGGACTGAGGTTTAGATCGTCTTCCTTCCCTTCCTTTCCTTTCCTTCCTTTCCCTCCCTCCCTTCCTTCCTTTTTTCCTTCCTTTCTTCCTATTCCCCTTCCTCTCTCTCTTCCTCCCTTCCTCCCTCCATCTTTCCTTTCGTCCTTCTTTCTCTCCCTCTTCCCTCCCTCCATCCATCCTTCCTTTCTCCTTCCTTCCTTCTTTCCTTCCTTCCTATTCCCCTTCCTCCCTCTCTCCCTCCCTTTCTCCCTCCATCCTTCCTTTCCTCTTTCTTCCTCTCCCTCTTCCCTCCCATTCATCCTTCCTTCCTTCATTCCTTACTTCCTTCCATTTTTTCCTTCCTTTCTTCATTTTTCCCTCCCTCCCTCTCTCCCTCCCTCCTTCTGTCCTTCTTTCCCTGCTAATTATAAAGTGATACATACTCAATAGAACAACAAACAACACAAAGGAGTTAAAATCTGCGCCAATCTCCCACCCAACTTTTGGAGATAAACAGTGCTAAGAAATGACTAATTAAACATAGAGCTCTGATATGTCTAAGACATTGTTCTAAGCTGTTTACAAACACTAATTCATGTTATCCTCATAAAAGCCCCACAGAGGTATCACTGTCCCTATTTTACAGGTGAGAAAATAGAAACTCAGAGAAGTAACCCCTTCGAAATCACATAGGCAGTAACAGAAAGAGGAGGGCATCAGACCCCTGTCTGCCGGCCTCCTGGGCTGTGTGCTGTGATGACATACTGAATCTAAGGCCAGAACCACCAGTGCCCTCTAAAGCCAGGCACTTTATTGTGCTGGCAAAGTGTTGAAGGACCTTAAATGACATTGAAGACGCAATATTCTGACCACTATGGTGCTGAAAACCCTGGATTGTGTCAAAGGAAAGTTGTATCAGACAGACTTAAACAGACAAGAATGACTTTATTGGAGAATGCTGCAATAGGGAAGAGAGAGTGAGTCCAACTCTAAATACAGATGCCACTCATTAAGAGGCAAACACATGTACTTTTTTTTTTTTGAGACGGAGTCTCTCTCTGTTGCCCAGGCTGGAGTGCGGTGGTGCAATCTCGGCTCACTGCAAGCTCTGCCTCCCGGGTTCACGTCATTCTCCTGCCTCAGCCTCCTGAGTAGCTGGGACTGCAGGCACCCGCCACCACGACTGGCTAATTTTTTTTTTGTATTTTTAGTAGAGACGGGGTTTCACCATGTTAGCCAGGATGTTCTCGATCTGCTGACCTTGTGATCTGCCTGCCTTGGCCTTCCAAAGTTCTGGGATTACAGGTGTGAGCCACCGCTCCAGGCCCACATGTACTTTTAAAGTGGTACGATTGTATAGAGCTGAATTGTCATGTTGTAGGTTATACGACGCCAAAGGAGCCCAAGATCAGAATGCAGGGTGAGATTCTTGAAGAGAAACATCCAAAGCTTTCCCGCCTCTAAGTTCTGCTTTGCTTGTTAATTGCTCTCTTTATTATAGGGTGGTGCTTGTATGGTGACATGGGTACAAAATAGGAATAGAATATTTTGTTTTTCCCAGTTGTCTATTGCTATGTAACCAACCATCCCAAAACTTAGCTGTTGAAACAATAACATTTATTTTGCTTACAAATGTATTACGTGTGCAGGGTTTAGGAGGGACAGCTTATTTCTTCTCCACTTGGTGTCCCCCAGGGCAGCTGAAAGTTTGAGGACTGGCATTATCCAAAGGTTCCCTCTCTTACCAGCTAATAGCTGATGATGGCTGTTAGAACTTACCTGGGTCTTACCTGGGCTGTGGGCTGAACACCTAGACCATGGCCTCTACCTATGGTCCAGGCTTCCTCCAAACATGGTGGCTGGGCTTCAAAGATACATTTATCCTGGAAAGAGAAAAAGCCAGGTAGAAACTGTATTGTTTCTTGGAATCCAGCCTGGGAAGAAGCCGCATAGAGTCACCTCTGCTGCATTTTATTTTTTAGGCATACACAGCCTGTATTCAAGGGGAGGGATATTCCATTTGGGAATATCCCTTTGGATAAGATGACTTTTTTTTTTGAGACAGAGTTTCGCTCTCGTTGCCCAGGCTGGAGCTCAATGGCATGATCTCAGATCACTGCAACCTCAGCCTCCCGGGTTGAAGCGATTCTTCTGCCTCAGCCTCCCAAGTAGCTGGGATTACAGGCACCCGCCACCACACCCAGCTAATTTTTCTATTTTTAGTAGAGACAGGGTTTCACCATGTTGGCCAGGCTGATCTCGAACTCCTGGCCTCAGGTGATCCACCTGCCTTGGCCTCTCAAAGTGCTGGGATTGCAGGCATGAGCCACCGCGCCTGGCCGAGATGCCTATTAAACACTTTGCAGACATATTTTAAAACCACCACAAGCATGATCTGTAGAAATCTGTGAATGTTTCCTCCTCTGATTTGGGCTGAAGATGGTGCATTGTCTATTCCCAGGTTTCCAAAGGGCATCAGAGTCATAAGAATAATTCCTGCGGCCAGGCGTGGTGGCTAACACCTGTAATCCCAGCACTTTGGGAGGCCAAGGCAGTCAGATCACGAGGTTAAGAGTTCAAGACCAGCCTGGCCAACATAGTGAAGCCCCGTCTCTACTGCAAATACAAAAAATTAGCAGGACGTGGTGGCAGGGACCTGTAATCCCAGCTACTCGGGAGGCAGAGGCAGGAGAATTGCTTGAACCCAGGAGGCGGTAGTTACAGTGAGCCGAGATCGTGCCATTGCACCCCAGCCTGGGCGACAATGCAAGCCTCCATCTCAAAATAAATAAAAAATAAATAAATAAATAAATAATAAAATAAAGAATGATACCTGACTGAGTGCTGAGTGCAAGCTGGACTGGTCTTTGCCTACATTGGGTGACCCTGAGTGGTAGGGAGTTTCCAAGCATGAAGTGGAGATCCTGGGTACCTCTGTGTTTAGCTCCTGATGCTGCCAAGCATGGACACAGAGGGAAATTCAGCTCCTCCACCCCCTTCTCTGCTGGTCCTGAAAATGAGCCAAAGGCTCTTCTTGATTGAACGGTTTTGCAGTCAGTCACTACAAGAATCAGAGAAGACATAAGTAGCATGGGCTGAGTGTGGTGGCTCACGCCTGTAATCCCAGCACTTTGGGAGGTGGAGGCAGGCAGATGGCTTGAGTCCAGGAGTTTGAGACCAAACTGGGTGACATAGCAAGACTCCATCTCTACACATTTTTTTTTTCTTTTTAATTAGCCAGGTGTGGTGGCACACACCTGTAGTCCCAGCACTCTGAGAGGCCAAGGTAGGAAGATCACTTGAGCCCAGGAGTTTGAGACCAACTCGGGTGACATAGCAAGACCCCATCTCTACAAAACATTTTTAAAAATCTAGCTGGGCACGGTAACATGCACCTGTAGTCCCAACTATTCAGAATGCTGAGATGGGAGGACTGCTTGAACCCCAGAGTTCAAGGCTGCAATGAGCTATGATTACGCCACTGCACTACACCCTGGATGACAGAGCAAGACCCTGTCATAAGAAAAAAAAAAAAAATTCAGGCACACTGGCTTATGTCTGTAATCCCAGCCACTTTGGGAGGCTGAGGTGGGCTGAGCACCTGAGGTCAGGAGTTCGAGACCAACCTTGCCAACATGGCGAAACTCTGTCTCTACTAAAAAAAATAAATAAATAAATAGAAAAATTAGCCGAGCATGATGGTGGGTGCCTATAGTCCCAGCTACTTGGGAGGCTGAGGCAGGAGAATCGCTTGAACCCAGGAGGCGAAGATTGCAGTGAGCCAAGATCACACCACCGCACTCCAGCCTGGTCAACAGAGCAAGACTCCGTCACACACACAAAACAAAAAAAGAAAGAAAGAATGAAAAAAGAGAGAAAGAAAGGAAAAAGAAAGAAAGAGAGAAAGAGAGAGAGAAAGAAAGAAAGAGAGAGAGAGAAAGAAAGAAATAACACATACACACACGTAGGGACGGACAGTCCAGAGGCTCTAGAGTTTTTGCTGACTGAGTGCTCTAGAGTGCTGACTGAACAGTGGATTGTTGTTACTGATTCCCTTCTAGGTGGTGAAAAGTGACAGCTGCTCTGTGCAGTTACGATGCTGCACTGCCACAGTAACCTTCTCCCTCTGTGGTGATCCAATATTCTACCATATGTCAGCAAAACTGTAAGTGCACACCTTATCTTTCTTAGAACACTCAAAGCATGCCCCACCCAGGAAAGCAGGCCTGTACCCTCAGGACATTTTCTCACAAAGGTGCCTTACTCTCTGCCTGAAATTTCACTGCTAAAGCTCCATTTCCTTGGCCTTTAAGGACTTCTCAGTATTCAAGGGTCTCCTCTTAAAGAAGTGCTGGAATAGGCCGGACATGGTGGTTCACGCCTATAATCACAGCACTTTGAGAGGCTGAGGCGGGCGGATCACTTGATTGAGGTCAGCAGTTCAAGACCAGCCTGGCCAAGACGGTGAAACCCCGTCTCTACTAAAAATACAAAAATTAGCTGGACGTGGTGACGTGTGCCTGTAATCCCAGTTCCTCAGGAGGCTGAGGCACAAGAATTGCTTGAATCTGGGAGGTGGAGGTTGCAGTGAGCTGAGATTGCATCATTGCACTCTGGCCTGGGCAACAGAGCAAGATTCTATCTCAAAAAACAAGCAAGCAAACAAACAAACAAACAAACAAACAAGAAGTGCTGGAACAGGGCCTATTCCCTGGAGCCTGGGCACAGTGGCTCACACTTATTATCCCAGTGCTTTGGGAGGCCAAGGTGGGAGGATTATTTGAGGCCACGAGTTTGAGACCAGCCTGGGCAGCCTAGCAAGATCCCATCTCTACAGAATAATATAAAAAATATATATAGCCAAGCACAGTGGCACATGCCTGGAATAGGGCCCATCTTAAACCCTCAGCAGCTAAAAAAATTGGAGTTCAACCAGAAGAGGGCAAGGCCTGGGACCAAATGCACCATGAGCAGGTTAGAGGAACTGACCATGGCAAAGCATTTTTTTTTTTAGAGACAGGATCTTGCTCTGTCATCCAGGGTGGAGTGCAGTGGCCTTGTATTAGTCAGAGTTCTCTAAAGGGACAGAACTAATAGGATATATGTATACATGAGAGGGAATTTATTAAGAAGAATTGACTCACACAATTACAAGGTAAAGTCCCACGACAGGCTGTCTGCAAGTTGAGGAGCAAAGACAGTGGTGGATCAGTCCAAGTTCCAAAACCTCAAAAGTAGGGAAGCCGACAGCAGCGCAGCCTTCAGTCTGTGGCTGAAAGGCCCAAGAGCCCCGGGCAAATCACTGCTGTAAGTCCAAGAGTTCCAAAGCTGAAGAACATGGAGTCTGACGTTCAAGGGCAGGAAGCATCCAGCATGGAAGAAAGATGAAGTCCGGAAGACTCAGCGAGTCTGCTTTATTCTAGCTGCACTGACAGTTGTTTAGATGGTGCCCATGCACATTGAGGGTGGTCTGCCTCTCGCAGTCCACTGACTCAAATGTTACTCCCCTTTGGCAAGACCCTCATAGACACACCCAGGAACAATACTTGGCATCCTTCAATGCAATCAAGTTGACACTCAATATTCATCATCACAGGCCCGATCACAGCTCTCTCCAAAGCACCAGAGAGACCTGCCATGGTGGTAGGGGGCTCCCAGAGACCGGTGGTCCTTACCACCCTTCTCCTCTGCTTCTCTTTGACTCTCAGCACAAATGCAGAGGCAGTGGTTGGATCATGTTGCAGCTCTTGCCAGCTCTTACACCCGAGTGGGAAGCCTGAGAAATCTTGGTTCTCATCTGTCAGTAAGGAGCATGTTCTCACCTGCTCTGCGGGGCTCAGTATCCCAAAGTCTTGGTTTGTCCTGTGCAATTTTTGGGCAGGCAGGGTGGCTTTGAGCTTTTCTGAGAGATTTCAGCTTCCTGTGGCTCCCAAACCCATGTACGTCCTGCCTGGGCTGGAGCCTGGACACCCACAGACCCACAGAGCTGCACTCTCTCCACGCCTAGCGAAGCATGTCACTCCCATCCCCACGGCTAGGCCTGATCCTCATCAGTGCCCTCTCAGACCTTAGTCCTGGCTCCAGCGTCTCTTCTTGGAGCCAAAGCCATGACCTGCCTCTTGACTCTCCATTCAGCCCAGAGTTTTAACTCTGTACCCCTAACCACTGACTGGCTTTGGGTTTCCAATCTTTAATCTGAGCCTTTGCAACTTTTATTATTATTATATTTTGAGATGGAGTTTCACTCTTTTTGCCCAGGCTGGAGTTCAATGGCACGATCTCGGCTCACTGCAGCCTCCGCCTCCCGGGTTCAAGTGATTCTCCTGCCTCAGCCTCCCATGTAGCTGGGATTACAGGCATGTATCACCATGCCTGGCTAATTTTTATATTTTTAGTAAAGACGGGGTTTCACCACGTTGCCCAGGCTGGTCTCGAACTCCTGACCTCAGGTGATCTGCCAGCCTCGGCTTCCCAAAGTGCTGGGATTATAGGCGTGAGCCACCGCGCTCAGCCAGCAACTTTTGTTACTGTCAATGCCTTAAAACTCATCTGTCAGCCTGCACTCACCAGGTCGGTGCCCCTTGGATATACATACGAGCAGAATTGTATCTGAATTCTTCTCTGTGTCTCAGTTTACTCATCTGAAAAATGAAGAAATAATAGTATCTATCTTATAGGATTGTCATGGGGAATAAATGACTTCATGCATGCAAAGTACTTATTTTGTTGTTGTTGTTGAGAGAAGGTCTCACTTTGTCACCCAGGCTGGAGTGCAGTGGTGCAATCATAGCTCACTTCAGCCTTGAACTCCTGATCTCAAGCCATCCTCCCACCTCAGCCTCCTGAGTACCTAGGACTAGAGGCATGCACCACCACACCTTGCTAGTTTTTTAAAAATTATTTTGTAGAGATGGGGTTTTGCTTTGCTGCCCAGGCTGGTCTGAAATTCCTGGCCTCAAGCGAACCTTCCACCTCAGCCTCCCAAAGTGCTGGGATTACAGTCGTGAGCCACCTTGCCCAGCCTGTAGGGGTACTAAATACAGTATCTGATGTATAGAAAATGCTTGATGGCCAGGCGTGATGGCTCACACCTATAATCCCAGCACTTTGGGAGGCTGAGGCTGGTGGATCACCTGAGGTCAGGAGTTCGAGACCAGTCTGATTAACATGGTGAAACCCTGTCTATACTAAAAATACAAAAATTAGCCAGGCCTAGTGGTGGGCACCTGTAGTCCCAGCTACTCGGGAGGCTGAAGCAGGAGAATTGCTTGAACCCAGGAGGTGGAGGTTGCAGTGAGCCAAGATGGCGCCATTGCACTCTAGCCTGGGCAACAGAGTGAGACTCCATCTAAAAAAAAAAAAAATAAATAAAGAAAGTGCCTGATAATGTTAGATATTATGATTACTACAATGACTGGTGGTATTGCTCTCTCCAGATTCCAGCCCGGCCCTTTCAACTCTCCCGAATCTAAGCCAACAGTCAAGGTGAATTTCCTGTTTGCTCCCAGCAGCTCTCCCTCCTGAGTTCCTTTCCTTCATCCCTGAGTTTGCATCGCTGGTGGGTGCCTGCAGGTCTCCAGGCTGTGCTGACTCAGATTTCAAATGGGGCTGGGGCACAGTGGTTCATGCCTGTAATCCCAGCACTTTGGGAGGCCAAGGTGGGCGGATCATTTGTGGTCAGGAGTTCGAGACCAGCCTGACCAACGTGGTGAAACCCTGTCTCTACTAAAAATATAAAAATTAGCTGGGCATGGTGGTGGGTGCCTGTAATCCCAGCTACATGGGAAGCTGAGACAGGAGAATTGCTTGAACCTGGGAGGCGGAGGTTGCAGTGAGCCGAGATCGTGCCACTGCACTCCAGTCTGGATGACAGAGTGAGACTCTATCTCAAAAAAAAACAAGATTTCAAATAGACAGAGGCCTGGTGTCCCCATGACACCCACTAGCTCCTCCCTACTCTAGAGGAGCTGGGGATGCTTTGGGATCTCTCAGAAGGGCAGCCCTGAGCTCATGTGAGGATGATATACTAGGTAGGATGGTAGAAGTGACATTGCAAATGAGGGAAATTAACTGTTCCAACCAGAGCTGGAATCTAAAGATGGAGATGACAGGAAGTCCTGTGAATGTATGGTCCTGACCACAGGCCTGCCAGAAATCAGCCTCGGCTGGAAAATTGAGCTGTGATTATTACAAAGAGTCAGAATGATGGCTTCAGTCATGATGCTTCGTTTCATAAAGAGCAGCCCAAACAATGTCGACATTAAGTATTTAGAGAGAGAAGGATGGTTTGTAAAGGAGCGTCTTCTTATTCCCTGAAAAGGTACTATGAAGACGTCAGGCGTATGGAAATAACAGATGGGAAAGGCGAGCAGAGATCATTACTCTGAACTGTAAGTGCCATTATTGACAAGCACAACCCACATCGCTGAGCAAATAGATGTGCCTGAGAGTAGGAGGGAGATGCATGAAGAAAAGGAAGCATAAGCCGGATATTTCCCAATATTGGGGGTTGAAGAGAAATTGCATTAGGATGCTAGCATTCTTCAAAGTTAAAAAAATAAAAAGGTTTGAGCTGGAATGTGAGCAAGGAAGATCCCCTCAGCAGTTAATTAATAGGCTAATTTATTTTTCATTTCTATATGACATATTTGTTCTCAGTGTTAGGGGGATCACTCTGAAAATCTGATGAAAATGGTGCCTTCTTTTTCTTTATTATTATTATTGTTATTTTTTGAGACAGAGTCTTGCTCTATTGCCCAGGCTGGAGTGCAGTGGTACGGTCTTGGCTCACTGCAACATCTGCCTCCCAGGTTCAAGCGATTCTCCTTTGTCAGCCTCCCTAGTAGCTGGGATTACAGGTGGGCACAACCACACCCAGCTAATTTTTGTATTTTTAGTAAAGACAACGTTTCACCATGTTGGCCAGGCTGGTCTCGAACTCCTGACCTCAGGTGATCCAATGGCCTTGGCCACCCAAAATGCTGGGATTAAAGGCATGAGTCACCATGCCCAGCCAGTGCCTTCCTTTTCTAAAAATGTCTTTATGAATACATGATCAATTTTTCATTTGCTTGTTTTTATTTTAGATTCAAACACATGCAGGTTTGTTACATGAGTATGCTGCAAATTGTGAGGTTTGGATTTCTATCAAGCCCATCGCCCAAATAGCAAACATAGTACCCAATAGGTAGGTTTTCAGCCCTAGCCACTCTCCTTCTTTCTCTCTTTTTGGATACCACTGCCACCTCCCCAGAGCTACCCCATGTTGACCATTGGATGCATTGGATGCAGGCTGTCTTGGGAAGAGAGTGTGGCTTTGAATAAAGCAGTTCACTTCAGCTGAGGGCAAGTTCTGGAGATGGAGCAGCTGAGGGAATGGGTGCCTCTGTCCAGGAGCTGAAGTTCTGGGTAGCACATGACAGTGTCCACTACACCATGGAGCCCTGCTTTGAAGAAGCACCTGTGCCTCTTGTGCTCTATGGAACATGCTTTGGGAATGCTGCCTATAAGACTGCAGTTTAGAGATAAGCAATCTGTAATTGGAAGCTATGGGTCTAATTGTATTTATCCATCCAGAGCATCTAGTATAGCAAACTGTGATACTACATGAGCCTACCTAGTTTAGGCACTTTGGGCAAGTTTAGGCACAATTTAGGCACAATCTGTAAGGCAAGCTTAGAATATCTGCCTATAGTATCTAGAAATAAATGATGTTGAGTGTCTTACAGTGTAATGCAGACTTAAGCTAGTTAGTGGTGGAACTGAGACTTGGAGAGGTGCCTGGCTCTCAGGTCAGTTTTGTTCCATTGCACCCACAAGCCCTTGGTTCTGGAGACAGAGATGTGAAGAAATTATACTGAGGAATACCTTCACCAAAAGGGCAGCCAACCTTATGATTTGGACATTCTATTTTGAGACCAGTTAAAAGAGAGAAATTTCAATTCATTTCTCATTTGTCATTCACCAGGTCTTGGATGTCCCTGGGCAATGCTAAGCTAACATTCAGCAGTGTCTACAAGATGACACACAACATGTTGAAAGGTAGGCATTAAAGACCTTTGACGGCATTGGAAGAGGGTAATAACAGCCTCCCAAGAGTGATAAGAGCAGGAACAAATGTGAACTGAAGATCAAACATCAGCCAGCTACATAAGACAAGACTGAAATGGGATGCCAGGCAGCCTCCGGGGGAAGAGGCGATAGGCAGGATCAGTGTTCTGAAACAGGAACATGACTGATCTCCAAAATAAACAGATGGACAGATCACAGCCTAATTTAGATACTACCTTAAGGTCACTGCCACTGAGGTTTTGATTTTTCTTCTATAAGTAGTTCACAGCTTTGCCAGAATATAAATAGAGTACATTGAGGCAAAGCTTAAAAGGACCTAAAAGAAGGTATAGCCCAATGTCTTTATTTTCTTTATCAGCACACCAAAGCCCAGAATAGTTTATTGATTTGCCTAAGGTGACACAGCAAATTAGTAACAACACAAGAAGAGAAACCAGGTCTTTATAAAAATTTTTTTAACAAAATTATTCATTTATAGACATTGAACATTTCATGTGCATGGTCCCTGGGTTTAAACCCAATAGACTGTGGAGTTGATTGGGGTACAGTGCTTGATTTGAGGAAGTTCTCAATCAACTAAGCAAAGAGATCCATCAACAAATAATAAGAGGACAGGCTGGGTGCGGTGGCTCACACCTGTAATCCCAGCACTTCGGGAGGCCGAGGCAGGCAGATCATCTGAGGTCAGGAGTTTGAGACCAGCCTGGCCAACATGGTGAAACCATGTCTCTACTAAAAATACAAAATTGGCTGGGTGTGGTGGCACGCACCTGTAATCCCAGCTACCCCAGAGGCTGAGGCAGGAGAATCGCTTGAACCCAGGAGCAGAGGTTGCAGTGAGCTGAGACTGTGCCACTGCACTCCAGCCTGGGCAACAAAGTGAGATTCCAATTCAAATAAATAAATAATAAGAGGACAGACTAGAAAGTATGCCTTGAGAGCATTTTCACAATGCTAAATGATATGATATATACAAAGTGTGGAAAGCCCTGACTAATCCTGAGATGCTTAGAAAATTGGTAGAAGTGGCTGGGCATGGTGGCTCACGCCTGTAATCCCAGCACTTTGGGAGGGCGAGGCGGGCAGATCACGAGGTCGGGAGATCGAGACCATCCTGGCTAACACAGTGAAACCCCATTTCTGCTAAAAATACAAAAATTAGCCAGGCAGGGTGGCACGCGCCTGTAAGCCCAGCTACTCAGGAGGCTGAGGCAGGGGAATCGTTTGAACCCAAGAGGCAGAGGTTGCAGTGAGCTGAGATTGTGCCACTGCACTCCAGCCTTGGCGACAGAGCGAGACTCCATCTCAAAAAAAAAAAAAAAAAAAGAAACAAAGAAAAGAAAATCTGTAGAAATGCTGTGCTTGTATGATTCTGGAAAGAGAGTTAGTGTCTTTAATTTTCAGCCTCAATTCTGTCAATTGTCCAGAATCAGTTCTGAATAGGCAAGAGGGTGTGTTAACTGTTTTAGGTTCAAAGCAGTTAGGGTCTGGATTGCCTCTGTCAGCATTGGGTCCAGTGTTCCACATGCCTGGCCACCCAGTACAGCCAAACAGCTCAGTATAAAGAAATAGATTTGGCCGGATGCAGTGATTCATACTTGTAATCCCAGCACTTTGGGAGTCCAAGGCGGGAGGATCACTTGAGCTCCAGAGTTCGAGACCAGCCTGGGCAGCCTAGTGAAACCCCATCTCTAGAAAAAATACAAAAATTAACTGGGCATGGTGGTGCATGCCGGTAGTCACAGCTACTTGGGAGGCTGAGGTGGGAGGATTGCCTGAGCCTGGGAGGTCAAGTCTGCAATGAGTTGTGATAGTGCCACTGCACTCCAGCCTGGGTGACAGAGTGAGACTGACCCTGTCTCAAAATAAAATAAAATAAAAAATTTAAAAAAATGGATTAGAAGAAGAGAAGGGAGTCTCACAGTACCCTTTGCAGGAAGTACCCCCAGGTCTCTGTCTTTATACCTCTGCTCTCTCTCCCCCTGCATTTCAGAATATGATATGGGCATCTCTTAGAGTATCTGTCTCATGATCCTGCTATCTTTGTCCTGATTTTTTTTTTTTTTTTGGTGGCTTATTTGTCATCATGCATATGTTCCAGTCAAGTCAGCTATAACTTCTGGGATTATGTGACCATGGAGCTCTGGTGTCTACAGCTGTTTGGGCTATGTATAGGTTCTCTGATTCTTCAGAAAGAGAAGTTAAATTCATTTGGCACAATTAGATCAGCTTCCCACCCCTCTTCCCATCAACTGTGGTCAGGGCGGCAGTCAACTACTATAGTTAAAAACCCATAGGCTTTCTCTACCATCAATGGCTGTGAGAGGCATTAGTCCTGGAGTGTCAACGGCTTGAGTAGGTACTCTAAACATGTCTAATGATCGTCAACTCCCAAACATGCCTTCTTCTCTGTCATTCAGATTTGGGGAGATTCAGCCTCAGTTCTTCCATTTCCCTTCCTTCTTTCCTTCTTTCCTTCCTTCCTTCCTTCCTTCCTTCCTTCCTTCCTTCCTTCCTTCCTTCCTTCCTTCCTTTCTTCCTTCCTCCCTCCCTCCCTTCCCTCCGTCCCTCCCTCCCTCCTTCCTTCCTTCTTTCTTTCCTTCTTTCTTACTTCTTTCCTATTTTTTTTTTTAGATGAAGTCTCACTCTGTCACCCAGTCAGTGGAACGATCTCGGTTCGCTGCAACCTCCGCCTCCTGGGTTCAAGCGATTCTCATGCCTCAGTCTCCCAAGTAGCTGGGATTACAGGTGGCTTGCTTGCTTTCTTTCTCTTTCTTTCTTTCTTTCTTTCTTTCTTTCTTTCTTTCTTTCTTTCTTTCTTTCTTTCTTTCTTTTTTCTTTCTTTCTCTCTCTCTCTTCCTTCCTTTCTTTCTTTTTCTTTCTTTCTTTCTTTCTTTCTTTCTTTCTTTCTTTCTTCCTTCCTTCTTTCCTTCCTTCCTTCCTTCCTTCCTTCCTTCCTTCCTTCCTTTCTTTCTTTCTTTCTTTCTTTCTTTCTTTCTTTCTTTCTTTCTTTCTTTCTCTTTCTTTCTCTTTCTTCCTTTCTTTTTCTTTCTTTCTTTCTTCCCTTCCTTCCTTCCTTCCTTCCTTTTCTTTCTTTCTTTTTTCTATTTTTTATTTTTTTTGAGACAGAGTCTTGCTCTGTCACCCAGGCTGGAGTCAGTAGCATGATCTTGGCTCACTGCAATCTCCACTTCCCGGGTGGGTTCAAGCAATTCTCATGCCTCAGCCTCCTGAGTAGTTGGGATTGCAGGTGCCTGGCACCACACCTGGCTAATTTTTGTATTTTTAGTAGAGATGGAGTTTTGCCATATTGGCCAGGCTGGTCTTGAGCTCTTGACCTCAAGTGATCCGCCTGCCTTGGCCTCCCAAAGTGCTGAGATTACAGGCATGAGCCACTGTTCCCGGCAGTTTTTCCATTTTCAACTAAGCTCTCCACCACAGTGGTGTTAGGCTTCATTGATTATCCAGTATAATCCTGCTCATGCTGCCTTAGCAAAATATTACAGACTAGATGGCTTCAATGACAGAAATTCATTTTATCACAGTTATGGAGGCTGAAAGTCCCAGATCAAGGTGCCAGCAGGTTTGGTTTCTAGTGAGGTCTCTCTTGCTGGCTTTTAAACAGCTGCCTTCTGACTGTGGCCTTCCCTCTGTGTGCATGTTCTACTGGTGTCTCCTCTGCTTCTAAGGGCACTATGCCTCTTGGTTAGGGCCACACCCTTGAGACCTCATTTATCTTTAATTACCTCCTGTAAGGTCCTATTTCCAAATACCATCACACTGGGGATTAGGGCTTCCAAACATGAATTCTAGGGGGATGTGGTTCAGTCCATAGCACACAGCAATCCTCTTCTAACTGGGAACCCTCCCAGAGGCAGGAGTTCCTTGGCTGGGATCTTACCTCATTGTCCTAGGCAAGTTGCTGCTAATGGGGTCACAACAACCATGTGACAGCTTTGGTCAATACTAAAATAGGCAAAAAAGAAATTTCATTGGGATAGGCAAAAACATTAATTAGGCAAAAAATGTTAGGATGGTAGCTATCTTTTGGAGGGAGGACCAGAAGAGTAATGAGGCTTCTGAGAAGCTATTTTTTTGATCTGAGTGCTGGTTGCATGGCTGTGTTCAGTTTGTGAAAATTCATCAACCTGTATAATTATGACATGTGTCTTCTGTGTGAGTGTTTGTTCTAGTCACCCAGTAATGGGTAACAAATCACTGCAAAACATGGTGGCTTAAAGCAACATTAACTTTTCTCATGAATCTGCAATTTGGGCAGAGCCTGGCAGGGATAACTTGTGTTCACTACATTCATCATCAGCTGGGGCCGCTGGAAGGCTGGGGGCTAGGATTATGTGAGGCTTTCTCACTTCCATGTCTTCCAATTGATGCTGGTTAAAATTGAATTGAAATGGTGCTAGCTTTGGGTGAAACTTTAGTTGGGGCTTTTGCCTGGAACACCTACATGAGGCCTCCTCATGTGGTCTGGGCTTCCCCACAACATGGCGACTGGTTTTTAAAGATGAGCATGGAGAGTCAGGTGGAAGCCATATTGTCTTTTATGACCTTGTCTCCAAGCTGTGTAGTGTCACTAGCCCTGAATTTTGTTCATCAAGACAGCCACAAACGCCCATCCAATTTCAAAGTGAGGAAAAAATTTACTCTATCTCTGGCTGGGGATTGGCAAAATTCTGAAAGACTACTGGGGACCAGATATATTGCTGTGGCAAATTTTGGAAAAAAAAATACATCATGCTGTAATGTTGTACTTTAATAAAATATTTAAAATTGTAAGTACAATAAAATTGCAGAAAAATATAGTGGATTGTTTGGAAGAAACAAGTGGAGACAAATGACAAACCAGGCCAAAATCAAAAAGTCTAAAATCATATCACATCTCTTTATCCACTCTTGATCTTCTAAAAGCCTCCAACATTGTAAAAATCTTTGACATGTAACCATCTTACATGGAGTAAAATAGTAAACAAAAAGCCCTCAGCAACCCATATTGTGGCAGTAGGCAGGTTATTACATGGGGCTGGTTGAGACTTGTGTATTTTTTTTCCAGTCATTTGGAATCATAGTAGAAAAAGAGAACATTATCTACAAAATAAGAGGCTGTAGTGTCCAGGAAATGGAGCATGAAA
Source organism: Homo sapiens (assembly GCF_000001405.40). Lineage (NCBI taxonomy): Eukaryota > Metazoa > Chordata > Mammalia > Primates > Hominidae > Homo > Homo sapiens. Next base: position 68,031,394 of record NC_000007.14, read on the forward strand.
AGGATTTTGCTCTGATGTAGAGATTAGAAAGAACAGCCCATGTGAATTAGTAAATGGCAGGCAAATACAGTATATTCAAGTGTAACTTCAGTGCAATTTCAAAGGATTTGTTACATGAAGAACTAGAAATTCTCCAAAGCAATATTAAATACTGATTTTTTTTTTTCCAGAATGGAGCGGTGATTCCCTTGGAAGGATGTGAAAAGCTTTCCAATCTCGAGGTGATATCAGAGCTCTTTCCCATTGAAACACTTGGATGCTCTTTCTCCAGCTATCATGCTCTCTTTTTTCCACTCAAGGTGATGCCTAAATGAACGTGTGTCCACCCTTACCCCATGACATCATCCAAAAGCCAATCCATCCATCTGTGCATTCAGGCTTAATACTGATGACGCTCCATCTCCATTTTCAGAAACTTTCTTGGCTCCTTTTTGCTCAATTTTTGGCTTTTTCTGGGCTCCAGGCATGCATCATTGCACCTTCTGACTCTCCATTTTGTTATGCATGATCTGCCCTACTCCACGCCTTGAACTTGGGGGCAGACTTAGTTCTTCCATTTTGTGTCTCTGAGAAATGGATTTCTTTTTCTTTTTCTTTTCTTTTCTTTTTTTTTTTTTTTGAGATGGAGTCTTGCTCTGTCATCAGGCTGGAGTGCAGTGGCACAATCTCTGCTCACTGCAACCTCTGCCACCCAGGTTCAAGTGATTCTCCTGCCTCAGCCTACCAAGTAGCTGCGACTACAGGTGCCCAACGCTACGCCCAGCTAATTTTTGTATTTTTAGTAGAGATGGGGTTTCACCATGTTGGTCAGGATGGTCTCAATCTCTTGACCTCATGATCTGCCCGCCTCGGCCTCCCAAAGTGCTGGGATTACAGCCATGAGCCACCGCACCTGTCCAAGAAATGGATTTCTTTTGCCCCATGATTTTGTATCCTTGGCCGCTTTAAATAATTCTATCGACACAAGGGCTGGTACTTGGATCCCATCCTTAACATTCATCTGAAAGGTCTACAACCCTAACATGAGACAGCAGGACCATCTGGGGTTACAACTTGCTCAGACTGGTTATGAATAGGGTGTGCATTCTGGCTCAAGCAGTGTGGAAGCCACTCAGGATAACCACACTGCTGACATCTTCATAGGCACCTCATCATAACAAAATTTTAAAATTTAAATATAATTTTAATGATTTTCAGAAAAGAAGAGAATGCAGGTTCCCACAGATACTGCAAGCCCCCTCAAGCTTAGGCAGTGGCCCTAACTTAGATCTCTCTTCCTTCTAGATCAACACAGCTGGTAAGTTAGGTCTCAGCTCATGTAACACTTTCACTTCAACATCCCTAGGGCACAGTTTCTGGGTTCTCAGCTAATATTTGTTAAATGAATGAAAAACTGTCTGTGTATCTCTTTTATCATCAAGTGATTCAGACCCCAAAGTTTTATACCCTCAGAAAAAAAGTCAAGCGTTGCCAAAATGGATTTATATTTGCACTGTATTTTTCATTCCAATGGCAGCTCAAAGTACCATTTGGTGCTGTAAGCATGAATGAAAATTGTGCAGGGCTTCTCACGGGCAGAATAATAAGTCACATCAGCTCTCCATCCAGACTGTATCCATCTGGGTCCTTCATCCTCATCTCCCAATAGCATCTACTCTTCTTACTCTGAAAAAGATGACAGCTATATTTGTGGTTCAGTTGAGTGAATTAGAGATAATTTCCCCTTTCTCTACACCAGCTGTTTTCTTAAGATCAAGAGGGTGGTAAATTCTCATTGTGTTCTCTTCTCAGCACAAGAGCACCCAACCTCAGGATTAGTCTCTTCTGTTTAAGAAGAGCAATCATTTGCCACTTGACTTTTCACTTCCTTCTGTCAGAGGGGGTCAGTATTTTTTAAGCAACTGCGTGTCAATTGCTTCCCTGTCAGCATTTCATCATTACTAGGCTGACCTCTCTTTAAAGAGCCTTTCTACTTCAAAAACATAGAGATGTATTTGAGAATGGGGTGAAGAAAGGCCATTGGAGGGATATATAATAAGGCATCATTAATGAATGCCAGTTAAAAAATCTAACACACATTTTTATCTTTGAGTTCTTAGGGAAACTTTGAAAAGTTACATTTGAATAAACAGCCCTTGGAAAGGAGCACAATTTAATTAATTCCTTAGACGTTTATTGTGAGCCTACAAAGGGTAAGACCCTGTCTGTCTTGATCCTGTCTTGCTCAGCAATGGAGGGTTCATAACGGCACCTGCCTGGTTGGAGAGAGGTTTAAGCAGATGACAAGGAGGAAGTGCCTGGTGCAGGATAAGGCCTCAGGAATGGCCCAGGTTGTCCCTGCTTGGAGCTTCAGGTAGATTACAATCTAGCAAAGAGGCAAAACAAAGCAAAACAACAACAAAGATTTTGTCCTAAGGCAAACACATTTTGCCTTAAGACAAAATATTGGAAAATGCCATATGTCTTTTGTCTAAGGTCAAACCATGCCTTATGGGAGGGCAAAGGTAAGGGAGGTTGTACTAATCTGCTCTCACACTGCTAATAAGACATACCCGAGACTGGGTAATTTATAAAGGGAAGAGGCTTAATGGACTCACAGTTCCATGTGGCTGGGGAGGCCTTGCAAACATGGCAGAAGATGAACGAAGAGCAAAGGTACTTCTTACATGGTGGTGGGCAAGAGCACATGTGCAGGGGAACTCCCCTTTATAAAACCATCAGGTCTCATCAGACTTATTCACTGTCATGAGAACAGCACAGGAATGACCCGTCCCCATGATTCAATTATGTCCCACTGGGTCCCTCCCACAACATGTGGGAATTATGGGAGCTACAATTCAAGATGAGATTTGGGTGGGGACACAGACAAACCATATCACAGGTTATCTGTGCATCAGAGATTCTCCTCATGGCCAAGGTTATATTTGCTCTAGGTGTTGAAGAATAGGTAGAATTTCCATATGCGTGGATGTGAGTAGGATATTCTAGACTATAAACAAAAAGTAGGGGTTTCAACCAGTGCCAACTGATACTTTATACTGCCTGGGCATGCCAGGAAAGGTGGAAGTCAATGCATTCCAAGGACTGAGGGGTTCCTGGGTGGTCTTTTATCTTAAGAGGTGAAGGAATGAGACATGGCGAGCCCTAACCATCCAGTTGGAGTCATGATGAGATCACAACTGCATAACTAGAAAGATTGGTCTGCAGGACCTATAAGAGATATTGAGGGGAGAGACTTAGGGTTGGGAAGGTGTAAGGAGGACATTGAGAAAGTTCAGGTCAGGGGTCATTATGTCTTTGACTAGGGCTGTAACCAAGGAACTTGAACGTATGAAATAGTGGCTGTAGAACTTGCATGTAGGAGGTACTTGGGGCTGGCAATTGGCTTGGAGGGATGCCTAGAAGACTTGGCTTGAAATGGGTGTGCAGAGCCAGATCAGGGCTCTAACTCAGATTCAACATCTTGGTTATTTACAGAAGCTGTGTATGTGTATGGCAGGGAGTGCTCATGGAGAGATAATGAGAGGTAGAGTAAATTACCCCCAAGATACACTTTTAGCATTTTCACTAGAAAAGAGGGTGGAGATGAGTTTGAAATCAAAATCGTTATCACCTTCAATGTCTTAATTAGGTTTCAGACTTCTCTTTCTTCCCTTGTAAAATGAGAAGAATCTAATGGATTTTATGCAATGTTACTTTAAACATTATGAATCTATGGATTTCATGCTTGTTTCCCTTGAGAGTCTGTCAATTCTGTGGTTTGATTTGTAAGAGTAGATCTTGCCAATTTTTGTCATTTTCATGGTTGCTACCAGAGGCTTCAGGAAGCCAGAGGATGGTTGTAGCTGTAGTTTTGAGGTGGTTTTGCTTTTCTTTTTTTAATTTTAATTTTAATTTTATTTATTTATTTATTATTATTATTATTTTTGACATGAAGTCTTGCCCTGTCACCCAGGCTGGAGTACAACTGCGTGACCTCAGCTTAATGCAAACTCTGCCTCCCGGGTTCAAGCAGTTCTCCTGCCTCGGCCTCCCAAATAGCTGGGACTACAGGAGCGTACAACCACGCCTGGCTAATTTTTTTATTTTTAGCAGAGATGGGGTTTCACCGTGTTAGCCAGGATGATCTCAATCTGACCTTGTGATCCGCCCACCTCAGCCTACCAAAGTGCTGGGATTACAGGCATGAGCCACCGTACCTGGCCGCTTTGAGGTGGATTTTCTAAGCATAACTTGCTGGGCTGTGCTTCCATAACCTCTATTTACACAGAATTTCTTCTATGTCCCTAAAATTCCTGGTGTCTCTGTGGAATACATAGTCTGTTTTATATTCCAAATTAAATTAGAGTCTGCTGTGGTTTGAATATTTTTCCTTTCCAAAACTCATGTGAAATGGAGACATTTAATTCCAGTGTGGCAGTATTGAGGGGAGGGGACCTTTAAGAGATGATTAAATCATAAGGGCTCTGCTCTCATGAACAGATCAATCAATTCATGGATTAATGGTTTAATGGGTCAATAGATTAATGGGTTATCATGGGAGAGGAACTGATGGCTTTATAAGAAGAGGAGGATGGGAGACCTGAGCTAGGATGTTAGCACACTAAGCCCCCTCTCCACTTGCCCTCTGATGCCTTGGGACTCTGAAGAGAGTCCCCACTGTCAACAAGGCACTCACCAGATGTAGACTCTCAATCTTGGCCTTCTCAGCCTCCATCATTATAAGAACTAAATTTATTTTCATATAACTTACTCAGTTTCAGATATTCTCTTATAGGCAACAGAAAATGGACTACAAGTGGTTGCCACATAGAATGCACATGACCCATTGTGAATAATATTTCATCCATATTTTTCCCCGGCAAATAATGTATAAGACAAGAGAAGTTTGTATTGTATGCTGATAATTTCAAAGTAACCTGTTGCCAGTTCTGGAAGTTAAGGGGCAGGGAGGTGCTCTATAAGATTTTTAAATTTGTAGGATCCTGTCCAAGGCAGATTTTAAGCTTTATGTATGTCTTATGTATGTCTGGAGAGGGCAGGTGAAAGGTATAAACCTACGGATATCCTTCAATGTTTTTCTTATGAAAATACTTAGACATACAGAGAAGTTGAAATAATTATACAGTGAATATCCATATACCCACCATCTGGATTCTACTGTTAACATTTTACTGCATTTTCATTTTCACATCTCTATCCATCTACTTGTTCATCAATCTAGCTTATCTTTTTGTACAATATAAATTGCAGATATTAGAATGCTTCTGCCTAAATATTTTAAGCTTGCTGATTTTAATAACCTAATAATAAGAATTGATAACTTTGTTGAGTGCTTACTGTATTTCAGGCACTGCGCTAGATACTTTACACTTTATTACCTCATTTCCTTCTCACAATAATCCACAAAGCTAATATAATCTCCATTTGTCTCTTATCTCCATTGGACAGATGTGGTTTGAACCCAGGTCTGCATGATTCTCAAGTCATACTTCAACAAACACAATAAAACTCATATCAAATGTTGGACAGCATTACTTGGCATTATTGGGTTGCAAAACTTCAAGCCAGTTACAGGATTAGGTTTGATTCTAGCCTGGAAATAGGCTTATCACCTAAGTCGAGGATGGTTATAGACAAGACCTATGTTTAAAATGAACTGAAGAGGAAAAGTAACAAAAACAGACTAAGACCCAGAGTCCCAGGGAATCTGAGGCCATAATTAGCAAGGACTGATACAGGGTAAATACTAAGAAATTAGACATATATGTTGGAAGTTTAGGTGAGGAACAGAGTCTCTTGGTATCCTTTTTCCTCTCTCCTCCACTCACTTGTAGTTCCAGTAATCTGTGCCTTAAATCTAAATGACATTCATAAGTAGAACAAGTGATGCCACCATTATGATCAATAGGCATGTACCAAGATCAAGCTTCCAGATCAAAAAAGTATAAGGCCTTTGAGACTGATCCTTCAGTAGAGAGATTTCATGTGGTAGAGAAAGTGATAGTTGTCTTCATACTCTTAGGCAACCCCTCACCATCCCCTACATCTTCCTAATTTCCTTGCAGTTAGACAGATTGGCGTAAGAGTGGTTTTGGCAAATGGGCTATGAGTGGGAGTCATGTCATCACTTCCAGGCTAATGTGTTTAAGAGATGGCACAGAACTGTCCAAGAGCCTCTTCCCTTGCCACATATGAGAGGACTTCAAAATCTGGAAAAATGGAAATTAAATTAAATGGAATTAAAAGTGTAAAAATATAAACTTCATTTCTTTACATAAGCTCCATCAAGTTCAAGACACTTTTGTAAGTGTTGAGACCAGTACTTTAGCTCATCTCTGAAGAACCAAGAGTCTTGAAAATTTAACCATGTCAATGTAATCTTTTTTACATTATTATCTGAAGAAAAATGGGTGCCCTTCATAGAATTTTTTAAGATTGGGAAACAAAAAGAAGTCAGAAGGGGCCAAGTCAGGACTGTTACATGAAGCCTAATGATTTTCTATTGAGACTCTTGCAAAATTGGCCGTGTTTGATAAGAGGAGTGAGCAGAAGCATTGTCGTGGTGGAGAGAAACTCACACTTCCACCTCTTCGTAGCCATTGCTTTGATTTTGCTTTGTCTTCAGGATCGTACTGGTAAAGCCGTGTTTCATCTCTTATTACAATTCTTTGAAGAAATATTTCAGGATCTTGATCACACTTATTTGAAATTTCTATTGAAATCACTGCCCTTGTCTGCAGCTTATCTAAGTGCAATCACTTTGACACCCATCCAGTGGAAAGTTTGCTTAACTTTAATTTTTCAGTCAGAATTGTGTAAACTGAACCAGTTGAGATGTTCATGGTATCAGCTATTGTTTCTGCTGTTATGTGTGGCTCCTTTTCAATGAAGGCACAAACAAGATTAATCTTTTTTTTGCAAATCGATGTGGATGATCTGCCATTGCAGGCTTCATTTTCATCATCTCATCTTTTCTTAAAATGATGTATCTATTTGTAGACTGATGATTTCTTTGGGGCATTTTCCCCATAAACTTTTCGTAAAACATCAATGATTTTGCCATTCTTCCACCCAAGCTTCACCATAAACTGTATATTTGCTCCTTCTTCAATTTTAACAGAACTAATGTTGCTCTGATAGAGGCTCTTTTCAGGATGATTTATCTTTAGTGCCTCAAAATAGATCCTGTTCAGATATGTCATAACAAGTCAGTATGAGTTTATTTTGATGCAAAACAAAATAAAATCTGTGCATAATTTTTCCATAATATGTATTTTCTGTGAACCTTTTGAAGACACTTCATATACCATATAACCCTGAGTTGGTGGAGCCACAAAAAGGAATCCCTGAGTCACTGCTTAGTCACTGGGCTGCCTTGGAGAGTTGATGAGACCTCAGCAAACTTTGTGTAAATAAAGAAATGAACGCTTACATTTTAACTACCGGAACTTGGAGGTTTGTTTGTTACTGCAACAAAGGTTAGCTTTATTGACTAATGCACTGTAACAATACAATGGATAATGAATGCCAAGAGGTGGAAGAATAATCAGGAGTAGAGAGGGAAAACTTTGTAATGAGCTAGAGAATTAAAAATATGAGAAGGTTTATACAAATAGGAAGGAGGGAAATTCAATTAGAAGGATAATGGGAAAAGAGGTACAGAGGTTGTAACATAAGTCAGTGTTTGCTGTGGGCTACCAGGCTGCAGCTACAGACGAGTATCATAAACCATTCCATGCAGTTGCTTATCCCTTATTAAAAATCTAGAGAGGGCCAGGTGTGGTGGCTTATACCTCTCATCCCAGCAATTTGGGAGGCCAAGACGGGAAGACTGCAGTAGCTCAGGAGTTTGAGACCAGCCTGGGAAACAGCAAGGCCCCATCTCTTCAAAAATAAAAATTAAAAAAAAAAACTAGCCAGTCGTGGTGGCATCACTGCACTCCAGCCTGGGTGATAGAGTGAGACTCTGTCTCGAAAAAAAAAAAAAGAAAATGTAGACAGTAATACCATGATCTTTCTAGGTGCTGATTTTCTTCATTCCCAGACATCTACTTTTGAAACTCCTACTTTAAATCCAGTCTGTCTTGTTCTAACATAAGGTCTTCTTGTTCTTAGAATAAAAAATACAGTTGCTCACGATCACCCATAAAATATTGCTTCATTAACTTGAAGACTGTAATTAACTACGTATCAGCCTGTGGCTCCAGGCAAATATCCATAATTCCTTTAGTCTTTCCTTACAGTCTGCTTCTAACCTGTTAATCATTTCCCATGTCCTCTTACTATCATCAGCAGAAGGAAAAGAAAAACAAAAAGCCCCTTAAATAAAAGCTAATCACACATGACATTCTGTTAAACACTTTGCAGATGCTTCCATATTAAACAATATCAGATTTACACACAAGCACACACAAGCACAGGGACGTGTGTGTGTGGGTGTGAACAGACTCTATTTTTAAAGATAGATTAGCAGTCTATATAAGCAAGAAAAAGAGATTATTTATTTCAAAAAAGGTTTAATGTGATTATTTTGTCTTTTCCTTTTTTTTCTTATAGAGACAGGATCCCAGTCCTTCACCCAGACTAGAGTACAGTGCTGTGATCATAGCTCACAGCAGCCTTGAACTCCTGGGCTCAAGCAATTCTCCTGCCTGAGCTTCCCAAGTAGCTGGGACTGTAGTTGTGCACTATTTCACCAGGCTAATTATTATTTTTTTGTGGAGATGGGATTTTCCTATGTTGCCCAGGCTGGTCTTGAACTCCTGGTCCCAAGCAAACCTCCTGGCTCAGCCTCTCAAAGTGCTGGGGTTGCAGGCACGAACACCTAAAACTGCACCCAGCCAATATGTGATTATTTCAAAAAGCAAACCCTCCTAGGTACCTTTAAAAATGAGATTTAAGGCCAGGAGTGGTGGCTTATGTCTGTAATCCCAGCACTTTGGGAGGCTGAGGCGGGTAGATCACTTAAGATTAGGAGTTCGAGACCAGTCTGGCCAACATGGTGAAACTTTGTCTCTACTAAAAATACAAAACTTAGCTGGGTGTGGCGGCACATGCCTGTAATCCCAGCTACTCGGGAGTCTGAGGCAGAAGAATCACTTGAACTTAGGAGGTGGAGGTTGCAGTGAGCTGAGATCACGCCACTGCACTTCAGCCTGGCTGACAGTGTGAGACTCTGTCTCTCTCTCTCTCTCTCTGTCTCTCTCTCTGTCTCTCTCTCTCTCACACACACACACACACACACACACACACACACACACACAAGAGATTTAGTTTATCCTCCTTTAAAAATGCTTATTGTTGCTTACTTTGCCAAGGTGTTGACTGCAAATACAACTCTGTTTGAAGAAGGAGTTCCCTGATCTCTGAAACTAATTTTATGGAATATAATTATAGCAAAACAAAAAATTGAAGATATAGGAGAAGAAAAGGGATGCCTAGACTTTAATCTATTAAGGGTGATGAGATTTATCTGGAAGAGGAGAAATCAAAGCTGCTATTAGGAAAAGAGAGGTGAGGTGGTTGCCAGGAGAAGGGAGTTTATTTCTCTCAAATAGAGGAAGATGAATGAATGAAAAGTGGAGGCAGTTGAAGGGCAAGAAAGGTTCTCTATATAAGCATATGATCGTTACTATATACTACCTGGTATGGTGTATTTGTCAGGACAAGCTGGCCAATGTGGCAGTAACAAGCTCCTGGCTTGCAGGAGTCTTGACCTTGCCTAGGGACTAGATCCAAGGGCCTTTAGCACCCTAGTATAATGTATTTAAGAATCACCTGGTTAAGTTTTTTTTTTTTTACCACCCCATGAATTCTGATCCTTTGGTTTAGGGGTGGGCCCATGGATTCAGTTGAACAAAACTCCAGGTGACTGACTTTTTTGCTGGTGCCCCAAGGAACAGAAGGATAAGCAGAAGTTGGAAATAACAATGGGGCTGGGCTTTATGGCTGCAGTACTTTTTCTGAGCAAGAAAGAAGTGTCTCTGTATCACTGGGGACAATGACACCTGCCAGGATAGTGGTGGCTCCAGCAATGAATGAAGTCTTGGGAAGCAAACAGGGGTAGAATGCTCTGGAAATGGCATCCACATGAATCAGTGACCCCCTCCACTTTACGTAGACTGTAAACTCCAAGAGGGTAGAAGGTGACATGGCCTGGGTCACTGTTACATCCTAATGCCTACCACAGTGCCAGCGCATGGTAAGTGTGCAATAAACATCGCTGAATTGAAGTGGAAAATCATCCAGGGACCTGGGAACTCGGGACAAATGTGAAAAGAGGGAGGAAACGTCAGAGGAAGGAATTCACTGGGGAGGAATGTTCCAACCATTCTGTGAGTAGAACGAGCTGTGGAATTAACTGCTTTGCTTTCGTTTTATGCCATCTCTACTAGTAAGCCTGCAATGGCCAAGAGAAACACCCTTTTCCCAAAAGCCAGAAGGAACAGATTATGTGTTGACTTTAAAAGAAAAGTTAGAAAAGTGAGTTTTGCCAAATTGCTTGAATTGGCCAAGTTCCCTTAGCTTCCCCAGGTCCTAATCAACAATGGGTCCCCTGGGAACCTCCTCTCCCAGCAATCGATGACTTGACTCTAGATTTGGTCTTTCCAATGCTCATTTTTAATCAATGAATTTGGCCCCCCATACCCCAAACAACTGTTTTAAGGCAGTGGATAATTCTGTCATCACAAAGTGGCCAGTATATAGTTCCATTAAAGATTGGAACCAAAGATACCCTGAAATATGACTGTTTAACCAAAATTTCCACTTGTCATCTGGTGAATTCCTCTATGTACGTGCAAAAGTTAAGCATTACGATGGTGAATATTGAGTGTCAACTTGATTGGATTGAAGGATGCAAAGTATTATTCCTAGGTGTGTCTGTGAGGGTGTTGCCAAAAGAGAATAACATTTGAGTTTGGCCGGATGCAGTGGCTCACACCTGTAATCCCAGCACTTTGGGAGGCTGAGGTGGGTGGATCATGAGGTCAGGAGATCGGGACCATCCTGGCTAACATGGTGAAACTCCATCTCTACTAAAAAAAAATACAAAAAATTAGCTGGGTGTGGTGGCACACGCATGTAGTCACAGCTACTCAGGAGGATGAGGCAGGAGAATCGCTTGAACCCAGGAGGTGAGGCAGAGGTTGCAGTGAACTGAGATCACGCCACTGCACTCCAGCCTGGGCAACAGAGCAAGACTGTCTCAAAAAAAAAAAAAAAATTTGAGTCAGTAGACTAGGAAAGGCAGACCCACCCTCAATCTGGATGGGCACCATCTAGTCAGCTGTGAGTGGCCAGAATACAAAGCAGGCAGAAGAATATGGAAAGAGTAGACTGGCTTAGCCTCCCAACCTACATCTTTCTTCTGTGCTGGATGCTTCCTGCCCTCGAACATCAGACTCCAAGTTCTTCAGCCTCGGGACTCAGATTGGCTTCCTTGATCCTCAGCTTGCAGACACACTATTGTGGGACTTTGTGATCCTGTGAGTCAATACTCCTTAATAAACTACCCTTTATATATACATCTATCCTACCAGCTCTGTCCCTCTAGGGAACCCTCACTAATACAAGCATATAGCACTAAACTTCTATGGCCATCTTTGTAGAGATGATCTTTGTCTTTGAAGCAGAGGTCATCCATTCTGCTGAATATGCAATGCACAGAAGTTAGCAAGGTTGAATGGAAAAGACAAGGCCATCCACTCTTAAACCACACATTAATCCAGCCTTAGGCTCACACGATTACTCATTCCTCTCATTTGGGCTTATTAAGTAATTACTACGTAAATTATTAGGATAATGTAATATGCATGACTTTAAGGAATGACAAATTGTAGCTAACTTTTTAAATTTGTTGCCATAGTTACATTTCTAGAAATTCTAAATTGTTCTTCTTCCCGTGTATAAATTACTGCCACCCTGCTATTTGTTTAGCTTTGATTGGTGGGATGGTAAATGCATGCCAGTAAAAGGACTGCAAGTCTAGTGTGGAAAGCTTTGCTCTGATTTCTCCTTCTATGTCAAGTGTGATGTCCATCTGGGTCAAGGGTCTGAGTGACCTCAATCAGAAGGTGAGAAAGGTCTTGAAAGATAAATCAGAATTAGGCAGCCCGTCTTCATCTAGCGGTACCTTAATGCTACCTTCTTTCCTTTGGGCCACTGTGATGGTTAATACTGAAGGTCAACTTCATTGGATTGAAGGATGCAAAGTGTTGTTCCTGGATGTGTCTGTGAGGGTGCTGCCCAGGGAGATTAACATTTGAGTCAGTGGACTGGGACAGGCAGACTCACCCTCAATCTGAGTGGGCGCCATCTAATAAGCTGCCAGCACGGCTAAAATAAAGCAGGCAGCAGGAGAACGTGGAATGACTTGACTTGTTGAGTCATCCAGCCTTTATCTTTCTCCTGTGCTGGATGCTTCCTGCCCTTGAACATCAGACTCCAAGTTGTTTAGCTTTTGGACTCTTGGACTTACACCACTGGTTTGCCAGGGGCTCACGGGCCTTTGGCCACAGACTGAAGGCTGTACTGTGGGCTTCCCTACTTTCGAGGTTTCAGGAGTTAGACTGATCCACCAATGACTTCCTTGCTCCTCAACTTTCAGACAGCCTGTTGTGGGACTTTACCTTGTGATTGTGTGAGCCAATTCTTAATAAACTCCCTTTATAGATACATGTATCCTATTAGTTCTGTCCCTCTAGAGAACCCTGACTCATACAGCCACCGAGTTGGTATTTAACCAGAAGCAAGAGGCTATTGTGGAAACCCAGCATCATTTGCTCCCACAAAAACTAAAGAAAGATAATCTCTGCACCGTTGGATTAGGTGTCAAGTAAAGGTGTGAATATCTCTTTTTGCTTTCTATAAAATATTAAAGGACGTATTAGTGACATCTGTGCCAAAAGGTAGATTTGCCAGAATACAAGGGAAGGTATGAGGTTGGAGTTTTCTAACTATCTGCCTGAGGATACAAGACTCATTTTTATCACTACATATTTTTTCTATCCTATCTTTTGAAGGATGAGCAAAAATATATTGGACGTTATGGGGAAAGTACAAACAAAACAAAAGCAAGAATGAGAAATCTCATTTGAAAAAGCAGAACTCAAGGTAAAAGGCGTTAGAAACAGTCAAGTTCAAGGCAAATACATTAAATAATATAAAGCGGCACTCCCCAGCCATTTTGGTACCAGGAACTGGTTTTGTGGAAGATGATTTTTCCACGGACTGGTGGGAAAATGGTTTTGGGATGATTCAAGTACATTACAGATATTGTGCACTTTATTTCCATTATTATTATATTGTAATATCTAATGAAATAATTATACAACTCACCATAATGTAGAGTCAGTGGGGCCGGGCACGGTGGCTCACGCCCGTAATCCCGGCACTTTGAGAGGCTGAGGGGGGCCGATCACGAGGTCAGGAGATCGAGACCATCCTGGCTAACACGGTGAAACCCCGTCTCTACTAAAATTACAAAAAATTAGCCTGGCGTGGTGGCGGGCGCCTGTAGTCCCACCTATTCTGGAGGCTGAGGCAGAGAATCACCTGAGCTGGGGAGGCGGAGGTTGCAGTGAGCCGAGATCGCACCGTTGCACTCCAGCTTGGGCGACAGAGCGAGACTCCGTCTCAAAAAGAAAAAAAGAAAAAGAAAAAAAAAGAATCAGTGGGACACCTGAGCTTGTTTTCCTGCAGGTAGACGGTACCATCTGAGGGTGATGGGAGACAGTGAAAGGTCATCAGGCGTTAGATTCTCGTAAGGAGTGTGCAACCTAGATCCCTTGTATGCACAGTTCACAACAGGGTTGGCGCTCCTATGAGAATCTAATGCCCTCACTGATCTGACAGGGGACAGAGCTAAGGCAGTCATGTGAGCGATGTGGAGAGGCTATAACACAAATGAAGCTTCGCTCACTTACCAACTGCTCACCTCCTATTGTGTGGCCCAGTTCCTAACAGACCACGGACCAGGTACCAGGGATTGGGAACCCCGGATATAAAGGCACATGTCATTTTCATAATAAGTATAATATTGAATAGCATCAAATATATACAATCACAGCTATTAGAAATAGAAAAGAGGCCAGGTGAGGTGGCTCACGCCTGTAATCCCAGCACTTTAGGAGGCTGAGGCGGGCAGATCACCTGAGGTGGGGAGTTCCGGACCAGCCTGACCAACATGGAGAAACCTCGTCTCTGTGGAAAATACAAAATTAGCCAGGAGTGGTGGCAGGCACCTGTAATCCCAGCTACTGGGCAGGCTGAGGCATGGGAATCGCTTGAACCCGGGAGTCGGAGTTTGCGGTGAGCTGAGATCACGCCATCGCATTGCACTCCAGCCTGGGCAACAAGAGTGAAATTTCATCTCAAAAAAAAAAAACAACAACAAAAAACAAACAAACAAAAAAGAAACAGAAAAAAAATTACCAGAAAAACATTGTGAAAGAAGATGCAACTCCTTAAGCATTTCTGTGGTTTAAGATTAAATACAGTATTTGAATACTAAAATAATTAAGATTGGAATCATTGATATCTATGTCTATCTATCCACTTCTGTCACATCTCTATGTATCTGTAATGTAAACCTTCCCAATCTACAGAGAATTAATTTCTGATTAAGCGTTCATGAAAGAGTTGGCTGTATACCAGGCCTTGAGGAAAACGTAATAAATTTCAAAAAGCAGAAATTGTAGGGTTCAGATTTTCTGATCACAAAGCAAATAATAATAATGATTATAAATGCTTAAAATACCCACTTGCTTAGAAATTAAAACAAAAACTATAATAAGTTTTTGAGTCCAAGAGGAAATCAGAGCCATAATTATAGGCCATTTAAAAAAATAATGACAATGAAACAGTGTCTATCAACTCTTACGGAATGCTGTTAAAGTAGAAGCGAGAGATAAGTGTACACTTGTGATCACTTAAATTTTTAAACAAGAGAGAAGGTAAATAAACAAACCGCACATTCAACCCAAGAAATCAGAAACTCCCATCCCAGCACTTACAAGAAGGAAGTAAATAAACAAACTGCTTATTCAACTCAAGAAATCAGAAACTCTAATCCCAGCACTTTGGGAGGTTGAGGCAGGAGGATCACTTGAGCCCAGGAGTTTGAGACTAGCCTGAGCAACACAGTGGGACTCTGTCACTACACAAAATTTTTTTAAAAATTAGCCTGTTTTGGTAGTGTGCTCCTATAGTCCCAGCTATTTGGGAAGCTGAGGTGGGAGGATGGCTTGAGCCCTGGAGGTCCAGGCTACAGTGAGCTATGATCGCACCACTGCCCTAAAGCCTGGGTGACAGAGCAAGACCCTGTCTCATAAAACAAAAACAAAAAAAAACCTCCTTTTCTCAGAAACAGTGCCTGGAGAAGGGGAGGAGGAAAGGGTTGGAGGGAAGGGATGGACTTTGCCTGCTTCTTCTGTAATTAGCTAGATCTGTCTGCAAAGATGGGCACAGAAGGAGGGGTGCAGAATTGCAGGCTATTTCTATAAAATCTCCAGTTCTTTATGTTTGCCCAACCAAACCCTGGCTTTCCCCTTACTTCTTTATTCAACTGGAACTTTATACCTTTTTGCCTCCCTTCCTGCACCCATTCACATATGACACGGTAACCTAAGGTATGATTATTTGGAGGGGTTTCAAGTCTAACTGCCCCATGTTTATAGAACAACCTATAATTACAATTAATAGCAGATACCAATTCATGGCACAATTAATTCAAGCACAGAGGGACATCTGGGCAATGAGGTTTTTTTAAGATGACAAATGGATTCAAGTGAACTAATGCGTGTGAAGTGTAGTGCTTAGCTGGTACATTTCAAGTGCTCAATACACATCAACTATTAGATCATTTACTTCATTACATATATTTGTGCACATAGAAAAATTATAAAGCTATTAGAACTAATAATGGAGCTCAGTTAAGTGTCTGAATAAAAGGCAAATGAACTAAAATAAATATATTTACTATGTTCTATCAATATGCTCAAAGATGTAGTGAGAAAATTCCACCTAGGAAAGTTTTTTAAAAATGAAGCAAAACAAAATAGAGAAAAGTGAAAATGAGTAATGTACATAATAATATTTATGATATGCATGACCTATATGAAGGGAAATATAAAACCTTATGGAGAAAAATACTGATGAATAAATGGAGAGATTCTTTGGTTAGAAGACTTCCTGTCTTAAAACTGTAGATTATTCACAACTAAAGGTATATTTTAACATAATCCAATAAAAATATTAATGGAAGTTTTTGGGGAAATCTTTGGATCATGTTCATCTGGAAAAAATTAAGAGATAAGATTATTCAATATCATTGGCAATTAGGAAAATACAAATTAAAACTACAATGTCATTTTTTACTTTTTGGAGAGTCACTCACTTTACTTTTTAGGGTCTCACTCTGTGATATGGTTTGGCTGTGTTCCTACCCAGATCTCATCTTGAATTGTAACTCCCATAATACCCATGCATTCTGGGCAGAACCTGGTAGGGGGTGATTGACTCATGGGGGTGGGTCTTTTCCATGCTGTTCTCATGGTAGTGACTAAGTCTCACAAGATCTGATGGTTTTAAAAGATGGGAGTTTCTCTGCACACGTTCTCTTGTCTTGTCTGCCACCATGTGAGATGTGCCTTTCACCTTCTGCCATGACTGTGAGGCCTCCCCAGCCACATGGAACTGTAAGTCCAATAAACCTCTTTCTTTGGTAAATTGCCCACTCTCAGGTATGCCTTTATCAGCAGCATGAAAATGGACTAATACCCTCTGTCATCCAGGCTGGAGTGTAGTGGAGCGATCATTCCTTTATGCAGCCTTGACTTCCTGGGCTCAAGCAATCCTCCGACATCAACCTCCCTGGTAGCTGGGACTACCAGCACCTGCCACCAGGCCTAGCTAATTTTTAAAAAAATATAATGTAGAGACAGAGTCTCACTCTGTTGCCCAGGCTGGTCTCAAAATCCTGGACTCAGCCATCCACCCGCTTCAGCCACCCAAAGTGCTGAGATTACAGGTGTGAGCAAAAATCACAATGTTATGGCACAACTATGAGAACAGCTAAAATAAAAAATAATCATGGCAAATGCTGACAGGAGGCAAAGAAACTGTATCTCTCATACATTGTTGGTGGTGGCAAAAAATGGTACAGCCACTGTGAAAAGCTGTTTGGCAGGGTTTTGTCTGTTTGTTTGTTTGATTTTTGATGGAGTCTCACTCTGTTGCCAGGCTAGAGTGCAGTGGCATGATCTCGGCTCACTGTAACCTCCACCTGCCGGGTTCAAGTGATTCTCCTGCCTCAGCCTCCTGAGTGGCTGGGACTACAGGCTCCCATCACCACACACCCAGCTAATTTTTGTATTTTTAGTAGAGACGGGATTTTGCCATCTTGGTCAGGTTGGCCTCAAACTCCTGACCTCAGGTGATCCACTCATCTCGGCCTCCCAAAGTGCTGGGATTACAGGCAGGTTTTTAATAAAACTAGACATACATTCACCATACTATCCAGAAATTGCACTGTTGGGCATTTATCCCAGATAAATAGAAACAATATTCACACAAAAACTTGAACACCAATGTTCGTAGCAGCTTTGTTTGTAACAGCCCCAAAGTGGAAACAGTGTCCTTCCATAAATGAGTGGTTAAACAAACTGATACAATGGAATACTGTTAAGTTATAAAAAGGAATCAGCTGCGGATACACACAAAAACCTGGATGCATCTCAAGGGCATTATGCTTAGGAAAAAAAAAAAAGTCAGTCTTAAATGGTTATATAGTCCATGATTTAATTTATAGAATTTTTTTAAATGTCAAAACTATAGAAAAGATTAGTGGTTGCCAGGGGACTCTGGTGGAGATGGTACAAATATAAATGGTAAGACAGGGGAGAGAGTTCCTTTGTGGGATGGGGCAGGTCTGTGTCTTTTTTTTTTTTTTTTGAGACAGAGTCACCTTCTGTCTCCCAGGCTAGCGTGCAGTGGCATGATCTTGGCTCACTGCAACCTCCACCTCCCAGGTTCAAGCCATTCTCCTGCCTCAGCCTCGTGAGTAGCTGGGATTACAGGCACCCACCATCACACATGGGTAATTTTTGTATTTTTTAATAGAGGTGGGGTTTCGCCATGTTGGCCAGGTTGGTCTCAAACTCCTGACCTCAGGTGATCCACCCGCCTCAGTCTCCCAAAGTGCTGGGATTACAGGAGGGAGCCACCGTGCCTGGCCAGCTCTGTGTCTTGAGTGTGGTTATGTCTCATGAATCTGTGCATGGGATAAAACTGCATAAAACATCACACACACAAGCACACACGAGTGAATGCACGTAAAAATGGTGAAACAGAATCATGTTGGTTGTCTACTTAGCAGTATTATAACAATGCCAATTTTCTGGCTTAATATTGTCCTATGTTATATAAAATGTCACTGTTGGGAGACGATGGATAAAAGTTACGATATGTATAACTTCCTGTGTATCTATTATACAACTATTATAAAGTAAAAAGTTTTGGGCCAGGTGCGGTGGCTCTTGCCTGTAATCCCAGTGCTTTGGGAAACCAAGATGGGAGGATTGTTTGATTCCAAGAGTTTGAGGTTACAGTGAGCTATGATAGCATAGCACCACTGCACTCCAGCCTGGGCGACAGAGCAAGACTCTGTCTGTGCCCCCCCCGCCCACCCCCCCAAAAAATTAAGTGGGCATGATGGTGCACACCCATAGTCCCAGTTACTTGGGAGGCTGAAGTGGGAGGACTGCTTGACCCCAGGTGTGTGAAGTTTCAGTCTGCAGTGAGCTATGATGGCACCACTGCACTCCAACCTGGGTGAGAGAGCAAGACCCTCTCTCTAAGGAAAAAAGAAAAAAAAGAAAAGAAAAAAGTTTTAAAATAAATAAAAAGGTAAGAATTAGGTTGGGCCCAAAACTCCTGGCTGTAATCTCAGCACTTTGGGAGGTTGAGGCAGGAGGATCTCTTGAGCCCAGGAGTCTGAGACTAGCCTGGGTAACACAGTGAGACCTCATCTCTACAAAAACTAAACAAAAAAATAGCTGAGTGTCGTGGCATGCCCCTGTAGTCCTAGCTACTTGGGAGGCAGAGGTGGAAGGATCACTTCAGCCAAGGAGGTAGAGGCCGAAGTGAGCTATGATCATGCCACTGCACTCCAGCCTGAGAGATAGAGCAAGACTATCTTAAAAAAAAAAAAAAAAAAAAAAAGAGTGGTAAGAATTACAAAGAATTATGAGATTCAAAAAAAATATGAAGTTTAAAATAAGAAGATTGGTGTGATCTGATGCACCCTGGCACAGACAGAGCATATCATAAAGCCACATGATGAAAATGTATTATGGAGTAATGAATCAACACACAGATCGGGGAGACAGAGCAGACAGAATCCTGAATCAGGCGACGGCACGAATGATGAAGAAACAACTGCAATCGATGGTGAAGGGAGGTCATGACCCAACAACTGGTGATAGAAATTTGGGAAACTCTTTCTTTTTTTTTTTTTTTTTTGAGACGAGTTTCATTCTTGTTTACCAAACTGGAGTGCAATGGCGCAATCCTGGCTTACCGCAACCTCCATCTCCCAGGTTCAAGCGATTCTCCTGCCTCAGCCTTCCAAGTAGTTGGGATTACAGGCACCCGCCACCACGCCTGGCTAATGTTGTATTTTTAGTAGAGACAGGGCTTCTCCATGTTGGCCAGGCTGGTCTCCAACTCCCAAGCTCAGGTGATCTGCCTGCCCCGGCCTCCCAAAGTACTGGGATTACAGGTGTGAGCCACTGTGCCCAGCCAGGAAACTCTTTCTATATATAAGATAATGATGAAAGAAAAAGAAATTTGGGAAACTCCTTTGGAGCAAAATTTTGTTAAGTTTTTACCTTATAATACACTCCCCAATAAATCCCAGATGTATTAAAGTGTCGAAGATAAAAGTAAGTTCACAATAAATTTGAATAAGTTAAATGATTGCTATAAAAAGAAAAAAACTTACTATTCTAATCATATAAATCTATAGGTCAAACATTCAGACCATAGCCATCTGTATACAAAACAGTATATATATGTTTTTTTTTTTAATGGGGTTTCACTCTCATCACCCAGGCTGGAGTGCAGTGGTGCAGTCTCGGCTCACTACAACCTCCGCTTCCCAGGTTCAAGCAATTCTCCTGCCTCAGCCTCCTGAGTAGCTAGGATTACAGGCACCTGCCACCACACTGGCTAATTTTTGTATTTTTAGTAGAGATGGGGTTTCATCACGTTGGCCAGGCTGATCTCGAACTCCTGACCTCAGGTGATCCACCCGCCTCGGCCTCCCAAAGTGCTGGGATTACAGGTGTGAGCTACCGCGCCTAGCCAAAACAGTATTCTATGAATATCTCAAACTTATATCTGTGCAAAACATCATAAAAAACAACATAAATATTAAGGGGAAAGGGCTATTATCATTTCTTTATTTAAAATGATATTTAAATCTATAAGGAACAGAACATCTCAACGGAGAAATGTAAAAAGAACATAAATAGACAAATAACAAATGAGAAACAATTAAAATCGTTCAACCTAATAAGGAAACAAAGACATAAAAAATTAATGAAACACAAAAGTTGATTTTTCCTGATCAAATGTATGAAGAAATAAAACACAGACAATAGTATCAGGCAGTTTATAGTGAGAGTGTAGTTCTCCAAACAGCTGTTGAGAACATAAATTAATACCAATTCTGAAAAGCTTTCTGGCAATATGTATGATGCTCTTTTAAATTGTTTATGCCCTTTGCAGAGTGATTTAATGCTGAGGAATCTGTCTCAAGAAAATAATCAGAGAGGTGGACAAAGACGTATGAACAAGACTATTCATATTTCTCTATTATTAATAAGCTAGTAGAGAAAATTAGAGAGAAACTAAATGTTCAACAGTAGAAGAATGGTTGGCTAAATTGAACATGTTCAAACAATCGATTATCACCCAGCCCCTAAAAATCAGATTTTCTTGTTGAGTGTGTTTTTTCTTTTTCTTTTTTTTTTTGAGACAGAAGTTCACTCTTGTTGTTCAGGCTGGAATGCAGTGGCATGATCTCAGCTCACTGCAACCTCCACCTACCAGGTTCAAGCAATTCTTCTGCCTCTGCCTCCCAAGTAGCTGAGATTACAGGCACCTGCTACCACGTCCGACCAATTTTTTGTATTTTTAGTAGAGATGGGGTTTCATCATGTTGGCCAGGCTGATCTCGAACTCCTGACCTCAGGTGATCCACCTGCGTTGGCCTCCCAAAGTGCTGGGATTACAGGTGTGAGCCACTGTGCCCATCCAAAAATCAGGATTTTAATGACCATGGAGTGACCTGGGAAAATGTTCCTGGTGAACAATACAGTCATCACTAGGTATCTGTAGGGGATGGATTCCAGGATCCCTTGAGGACACCAAAATCCATGGATGTTCAAGTCCTTTACATAAAGTGACATAGTATTTGCATATAACGTACATACGTCCTCCTGTATACTTTAAATCAGTGGCCCCCAACATTTTTGGCACCAGGGACCCATTTCACAAAAGACAATTTTTCCATTGATGGGTGGGGGGCATGGGTTCGGGGCGACACCGTTCCACCTCAGATCATCAGGTATTAATTCTCATGAGGAGTGCGCAACCTAGATTCCACGCATGCGCAGTTCACAGTAGGGTTTGCGCTCCTATGATAATCCGGTGCCAATGCTGATCTAACAGGAGGCAGAGCTCAGAGGGTAATGCTCTCTCACTTGCTGGTCACTTCTTGCTGTCTGGCCCTGTTCCTAACAGGCCATGGACTAGTACCAGTCGGCAACATGAAGGTTGATGACTCCTGCTTTTTTTTTTGCTCGTCCCCCAGGCTGGAGTGCAGTGGTGCAATCTTGGCTCACTGCAACCTCCGCCTCTCGGGTTCAAATGATTCTCCTGCCTCAGCCTGCTGAGTAGCTGGGATTACAGGCACACACCACCACAACTGGCTAATTTTTATATTTTTAGTAGAGATGTGTTTCATGATGTTGACCAGTCTGGTCTTGAACTCCTGACCTCAAGTGATCTACCCACCTTGGCCTCCTAAAGTGCTAAGATTACAGGAGTGAGCAGTGACGCCCGGCCTGGTGATCACTGCTTCAAATCACCTCTAAATTACTTAAAATACTTCATATAATGTAAGTGCCATGTAAGTAGTTATTATACTGAATGTTTAAATGTATGTCATATTTCATGGTAGTGTTGTTACTCTTTATTTTTTGGAATACTTTCCATTCAAAGTTACAGAAAGCTGATTATATATGCATGATGGAAACAATATAAAATGGCAAATGAAGATACATGCAAAGCCATGTGCTAGCACATGCATACATATGTGCTGCTATGGCCTGAATGTCTGTGTCTCCTTAAATTCATATGATGAAATAGCATTCCCAATGCAATAGTATTAAGAGGTGGGGTCTGTGGGAGATGATTAGATCACGAGGGCTCCACTATTAAGAATGGGGTTAGTGCCCTTATAAAAGAAGCCCAAAGGATTTTTTGTTCATTCCTTCTGCTATGTAAGAATCCAGGGAGAGGCCAGGCATGATGGCTTATGCCTGTAATACCAGCATTTTGGGAGGCCGGGGTGGGCGTATCACCTGAGGTCAGGAGTTCGAGACCAGCCTGGTCAACATGGGGAAACCCCATCTCTACTAAAAATACAAAAATTAGCCAGATGTGGTGGCGCACACCTGTAATCCTAGCTACTTGGGGGTCTGAGGCAGGAGAATCGCTTGAACCTGGGAGGCGGAGGTTGCAGTGAGCCGAGATCAAGCCATTGCACTCCAGGCTGGGTGACAGAGCAAGACTCTGTCTCAAAAAAAAAAAAAAAAAAAAAAAAAAAAAAGAATCCAGATAGAAGGTGCCATCTATGAAGCAGAGAGCAGGCCCTTACTAGACACTGAACTTGCCAGTGTCTTGATCTAGGACTTCTCAGCTTCCACAGCTGTAAGCAATACGTTTCTATTGTTTGAAAATGAGCCAGTCTAAGGTATTTTAGCAGCACAGATGGCTTAAGACACATACACTCATATGTACAGACACACATACAACTACATGCATAAAGCTTTATAAAAAGACATCAGACTATTTAGAGTGAGGCTATTCCTCTGTGGCAGTGGCTATTAATTTCTTCTTTGCCCTTTTAAGTATTTTACTAATATTATCCAACAAGAATAATTACCTTCCCAATAAGAAAGAGAAGCAAGCACTCAAGTGCATGAAGAGTGAGCAAGGAAAATGGCAAGATGGATGTGTCAGATCTAGAACAAAATTAATTAAAAATAGATTCAAACTACATTTATGGATCATTTCATGAATACCAGGTCCTGGGCTAGGGGGGTGTGATTTCTTTTCTTTTCGTTTCTTTCCTTTTTTTTCCGAGACGGAGTCTTGCTCTGTCGCCCAGTCTGGAGTGCAGTGGCGTGATCTCAGCTCACTGCAGGCTCTGCCTCCTGGGTTCACGCCATTCTCCTGCCTCAGCCTCCCTAGTAGCTGGGACTACAAGCACTTGCCACCACACCCGGCTAATTTATTGTATTTTTAGTAGAGACAGGGTTTCACCATGTTAGCCAGGATGGTCTCGATCTCCTGACCTCATGATCCTCCTGCCTCGGACTCCCAAAGTGCTGGGATTACAGGTGTGAGCCACCACACCTGGCCTAGGGTCTGTTTTCTAACATACCCATTTCATATGCTGACCTGCCAGGAAGGTTTTCTCCCCATATTATGTATAATAATGACAGGTTCAGAGAGGTTGAGTCAGTGGCTCAGAGACTCCCAGCAGGCAGGCAACAGAGCAGGAACCAGACCCTTTCATGCTAATTTTGGTGACTTTTCCATGACTACTGCACCATGTTCTATTCAGGTATTTGTTCAGACAGACTTGGTCAGGTTATAGCTGGTACGACTCAACCCAGTGGACAGGAGTGAAATTATTAGCTCAATTAAAAAGAAAAGATGGTTTGATGAAAACTTTACTACCAGACATAAACAAAGTGTTTAGAGCCTAGTCTCACAGACACACAGGAACTTGGAAACATCGATTTCACTGATGATTTGTAAAGCAGGCATCAATTTAAACTTTTACTCTCCTGCCAGTTCAACTGTAAAAATGCAGCCGAAGCTCAGCTGTGGCCAGAGACACGGTAGCGTGATGGAATCCTGTACACCTGCAAAAGCCAGTTTTCCTGCCACTTTGGGTATTGGGGAATATTGGAGCAGATGGAAAAAAATAAAGGAGGAAATGGAGAAGGCATTTATCATTTCTTCTTGTGCCTCAACCATTCCACCTATCATAATCCTCTTGTCACTCCCCCTCTCTCTCTTTTTTTATTTTTATTTTTATTTTTATTTTTTTTTTTGAGACAGAGCCTCACTCTGTCACCCAGGCTAGAGTGCAGTGGGGCCATCTTGGCTTACAGCAACCTCCACCTCCCAGGTTCCAGCAATTCTCCCACCTCAGCCTCCCAAGTCGCGGGGGCTGCAGGCACGCACCATCATGCCCAGCTAATTTTTTTGTATTTTCAGTAAAGACGGGTTTTCACCATGTTGGCCCAGGCTGGACTTTGTCTCTCTTTTTTATCTCCACCCTGAACCACAGTGCCTTCCATCTGCATTTTCTCTATGTTCAACTCTGTCCTGAACTTGTATCACTGTGTCCCCCCAAAAGGGAGACATAAGCCCTCATAAGGGCTTTGCTAATGGAATAAACAAAAGCCTGGTCCCGGCACAGTGGTTCATGCCTGTAATCCCAGCACTTTCGAAGGCTAAGGCGGGCGAATCACCTGAGGTCAGGAGTTCGAAACCAGCCTGGCCAACATGGCAAAACCCTGTCTCTACTAAAAATACAAAAATTAGCTGGGCGCAGTGGTGGGCTCCTGTAATTCCAGCTACTCAGGAGGCTGAGGCAGGAGAATCACTTGAACCAGGGAGGTGGAGATTGCAGTGAGCTGAGATCACACCAGTGCACTCCAGCCTGGGTGACAGAGCGAGACTCCGTCTCAAAAAAACAAAACAAAACAAAAACAAACAAACAAACAAACAAAAAAACAAACAAAAAAACTGGCAAGGCATCAACAGGAAATTCCTTTCCTTCCTTTCCATAAGGGTAACTCTAACTCCTGGAGAAAATGACACAGTAGAACACATTGGTATCTGGGATCAAAAGATTTGGTGTAGTGGTTTGGAAACCAGGTCTGCAAATTCTATGCCATACTTCTTATCAAGAGGAGGGGTTTCTCTCTCATCTCCTCATGCTGAACTTGAGCAGGCATTTGTGATCACAGGAATTAATAGAATGTGGCAGAGTGATGCTGATTCATCAACATCAGGCTGAATGGGAGAAGGGCCAACTACCTTCTGTGCTGTTTTCTAGGGATATTTGCTCTAAGCCCTGAGCTGCTGTGGAAGAGGTTGGGCTGGAGAGACCAACTCTTTGAGTCTTCCCCGAGTTCAGGTAACAGACATGCTAGTAAGCCAGCCTTCAGGTAACCCACCTTGGCCACAGTATGACCACAACGTCAGGAGAGACCTAGGTGAGAATCTAGCCGAACCCATCAACCCCAGGAGATCATGATAAAATGATTGTCATTGTTTCATGCCACTCAGGTTTGGGGTTATTTGTTACACAGCAAGAGATAACTGAAACATCTGGATTCTGCCACCTGCAAACACTGGATGATAGATAACTGAGTCATGTTGCTTCTTTGCCAACTCCCCTTCTTCATTTGTAAAATGAAGATGATATTATCTCCTGTTAAATATGAGTTGCATATGAGATGACATGTGAAAAGTGGTTGGTAAATGGTTGCAACCTCTTCTAATGCTGACATTAGAAGGCATCTATCAGAGGCAGCAACTACTCTTTAGAAAACATATCCCTAATGATATGTTTCATTAGGAATTCAGGGAATAAGAGTTGGCTGGGTCATGGAGCATGTTTAAGAGGCTCCTACTGAGTTCATATCCAATTGGCACATGGCAGAGCCACCCCACCAGCTCAGTGCTAAAAGAATGTCCATTTCTCTTCTTAGAAAATATATATTCTCTGTAATTTCTGGGCCAGGCACAGTGGTTCACACCTGTAATCCCAGCAAACTTTGGGAGGCCAAGGTGGGCGGATCACCTGAGATCGGGAGTTTGAGACCACCCTGACCAACATGGAGAAACCCCATCTCTACTAAAAATACAAAATTAACCGGGCGTAGTGGTGCATGCCTGTAATCCCAGCTACTAAGGAGGCTGAGGCAGGAGAGTCACTGGGAGGTTGTGGTGAGCCGAGATCACGCCATTGCACTCCAGCCTGGGCAACAAGAGCGAAACTCTGTCTCAACAAAAAGAAAAAAAATACATATTCTCTGTAATTTCTAACAGAGTCCAGAGAAATGTGTCTGAAAATGTCTTGTTTCTTGATATAGCTAGTCTTCATTGTCCTTTTACTCATTAAGTGTCTTTCTTTTTCTTGATCTATTTATTCATTCAGGAGACTCACGTTGAATGCACTGTGCTTATTTTTTCATCTTGGATTGCTGTTTGCTCAGGAATAATCGAGGTGTGCTGGAGAGAGCTATGGCAGGTGGCCACATTTTTCAAGTGTGTTGTCTGCAGCACAAACTTTGATAGAGCCTCTTTATCTCACCTTTCCTGTCCTCTCCCTTAGGGATGAGCAGAGAACTCAAGTAGGAGAGCAGGCTCAGAGGGAAGCTGGGATATGCAGGGCTTTTGCTGGTGATTTAATGCTAATTTATCTCTTTTCAGTTACAAAGAGAGTATTGCTTTTCTCACCCTTCCTAGGGTAGAACCCCTTGCCTTGTAGCTGTCTTCCCTGAGTCTGGAGAGGGTGGTAAGGACTGGATCCTGGTGTGGTGATGCCAGCTCTTAAAAGTGTGGACCCTGGCCCACCCCAGTCCCTGTCTTTAGAACGGTGATGTGAGAGAAATGTAAATTCACTACGCTTAAGGTAAAAAAGAAGCAGAGACTTCTTTTTTTTTTTTTGACATCCTTCCTGAATGTGGTATAAATTTCAAGTGTCTGGCAGATACTCTTTGCAAAACAAGGCTAGCAGTTGTAGCTGCCTATCAACCTCCCTGTCGAGGACGTTTTTTCTCTCTAATTTTTATTCCTTAGGTTCAGGATCACCAGATTTCAGAAAGGCATTGGCCACCTTCTGTATCTTCCTTATTTTTCCCTCTCTCTCTCCTGCCCCTCTTTCTAGCCCCTTTTTCTTTGTACACCAAGTTCATCTACTTCTAACAAGGATTAGACTCTTGTAGAGTTCTAGAGAGGACAGAATGTGAGCTTCCAGAGGAGCTGATGTGTTTTCTCCCATGGCAAAAGATAGCTATAATTGTCTCTCCAGGTCAAAATAAAATTTCACCCAGAATTTTTATTTTTTGTTTGTTTTTTTATTTTTGTTTTTTGTTTTTTTTTGTTTGTTTTATGTTCTTGTTTTATGTTTTTATGTATTTTTATTTTTGTTTTATGTTTGTCAAAATAACAGTAACATCATTATTAATCATAGTTTCTAGTGAGTGAAAATCAACTAAGTTCTTGCCCTGAAAAAAAAAAGTGACTATTTTGTCGTGAATTCCTTTCATTGTGTCCCTCCCTGTCTCTCCTTCTACCTTGCCTGCCTGCCCCACAATCCCACAATCTCATGAGGCACATAAATATACATGGACACAAACCGAAATTTTTTCTTTTTCTTTTTCTTTTTCTTTTTCTTTTTTTTTTTTTTGAGACGGAGTCTGGCTCTTTTGCCCAGGCTGAAGTGCAGTGGCATGATCTCGGTTCACTGCAACCTCCGCCTCCCGGGTTCAAGCAATTCTCCTGCCTCAGCCTCCCAAGTAGCTGGGATTACAGGCATGGACCACCACGCCTGGCTAACTTTTGTATGTTTAGTAGAGACGGGGTCTCACCAGGTTGACCAGGCTAGTCTCGAACTCCTGACTTCAGGTGATCCACCCGTCTCGGCCTCCCAAAGTACTGGGATTACAGGGGTGAGCCACCGCACCCGGCAAACTGAAATATTTTGAACAAAACCCATTGAAAGGCCTTCTAGAACAATCAAGCTTGTTCTTCTTTGCTTAGTTTTAGGATGGTGCCAGACATGGTGTAGTTGTTCAATAAATATGTTGAAAGTCTTGGTACAGAAACTATGTATATCTTCATCAATATTGTATTCCTGGGATCTAGCACAGTGCCTGCCACATACTATTTGAATAACTAAATGGATCTTCAATCTTCCACTTCTGCAACAGCCTGTACCACCCTGTAACATCCCTGGTATAGCATGAAGCCTTCTGGAGAGGCAGTATAGCATGGTGGTTGGGAGACAGATTTGGAAGGCAAGTACACTGAGTATAAAACCCCATTCTATTACTTACTGACTGTGTGATCTTGGGTAAGTTACTTAACCTCTCTGTGACTTATAAGTAAAAAGTAGAAAATAATGTGTACATCATAGGGTGTTGTGAATATTAAAAGGGCTCAAACATATAAACCATGAAAAAGAGGCAATGCTGGCCCACGGTAAGTGATATGGTTTGAATATTTGTCCCCTCCAAATTTCATGTTCAAATATGACCTTCAATGTTAAACGTGGGGTCTGGCAGGAGATGTTTGGGTCATGGAGATGGATCCCTCATGAGTGGCTTGGTGCTCTTTCTGCAGTAATGAGTGAGTTCCCACTCTATTAGTTCATGTGAGAGCTGGTTATTTAAGTGCATGGCACCCCTCCCATTGTTCTCTCCAGTGCCCTCTCTTGCCATGTGACACATTGGCTGCCCTTCACCTTCCACCAGGAGTGGAAGCTTTCTGAGGTTCTTACCAGAGGCAGATGCTGGAGCCATGCTTCTAGTATAGCCTGCAAAACCATGAGCCAAATAAACCTCTTTTCTGTAAATTACTCAGCCTCTAGTAATCTTTTGTAGCAACACGAACTGGACAAATGCAGTAAGTAAAGATTCCACACACAAAACACATTCCACTCAGTGGCTGCACAGCTATCCCTACCCTTGGCTTCTCCTTCTGGCTTGGCCAAAATTGACCCCTTCTTCCTCACTCCTGGATCCTAGCTCTTTCTCCAGAAAAAGAGAGAGGAAGTCTTAACTGCTCTTTCATGAAAAATCCCTTCAGATATCTAAAGAAACCTAACATAACTCAGTGTTATAGGTGGAATGATGTCTCTTCCTGATACATTGAAGTCCTACCATCCAGGACCTCAGAATATGACCTTATTTGGAAATGGAGATGTAGATGTAATTAGTTAAGATGAGGTCTTACTTGGAGTATGGAGGGCACCCAATTCACTGTGACTGGTGTCCTCATAGAAGAGGAAAGAAAAAGTGAAGAGAGACACAAAGGGGTCACCCTGCGAGGACGGAGGCAGAGAGTGGAGGGATCCATCTAAAAACCAAAGAAGACCTGGGCTCCCAGAGCTAAAAGAGATAAGGAACAATCTCTCTGGAAGCTTTGGAGGGATGGGAGCTTAGAGATGAAGTGGCGTCATTGTCTGGGATAAATACCCGGGGTTCGTCGTCTCACGCCAAGGGAATCAAAGACGCAGACACAGGAAGTGGGTTTAGGAGCGGAGGTTTAACAGGCAAAAGAAAGAGGAAAAAAAACAGCTTTCTCTTTTGCGAGAAGGAGGGGTGCCCAAATGGGACTTTTGGCCCACAGTAGGGTGCACTGGATTTTATAGACAGGCTTGAGGAGGCAGTGTCTGATTTACATAGGGCCCAAAGATTGGTTGGACCAGGTGTGACGTTTACATAATGCACGAGGAAGCTGGCCACCCTGCCCTAATCTTATTATACAAATGGGGTCTTTTCCTGGCCGGTACCATGTTGCCTGCTCCTTACTGTACATGTGGCTGGCAAAGAGAAGGGAAGATGGAGTGGCCATGTTGAACGTGCCTAGTCCCAGGTAGCCTTTTCCTATTGGCACAGCTGCCCGCATTCACCCCTGCAAGCTTCCCGCTTGCTTGTGTATGTCTGCAGCTCGACTTCACAGGCTACACTTTGTTAGAAAAGAAAATTATTTGGTGGCTCCTTTTCATTAAAAGGAAAATCTTACCAAGGACTTCCTTACCCTTACTATCTGCCTAAATAAGTTCTTTTTAACTCCTATATCACCGACCCCTTAATTTTGGGTCTCTGGACTCCAGAACCGTGAGAGGATAAACTAATGTTGCTTTAAGCCACCCAGTTTGCAGTGCGTTGATACGGTACCCACGTAAGACTATTCAGTCTGCTTGACCATTTCTCAGATTTCTCACCCCAGGTCTTTTAACTATTTTTAACTGAAAACATTTTTTAAGGAGCTTGGCACGCTGTCCCATGCCTGTAATCCCAGCACTTTGTGAGGTCAAGGTGGGAGGATCACTTGAGACCAGGAGTTTGAGACCAGCCTGGATCACACAGCAAGACCCTGTCTGTACAAAAAAATAAAATAAAATGAAACAAAAAATGTAAGGACAACAGTCAGGACCTCAAATGTTTTTCATGTGGCTTAATTTCTAGAACATCTCTTCATTCCAATCATTATTTTCTGAAATTAATCAGCATCTCTCTGTGATGTGTCTCCCAGCCCAGACTCGGGGGCATAAAGGGCGAGCAGAAAGATGGGGAAAGAAAAGAACTTTCATTTGAGGAATGTGAGGACCCTTCAAATGATTAGGCCCAGAGAGGCATTAAAATGAGACAGCAGCCCAGGTGCAGTGGCTCACACCTGTACTCCCAGCACTTTGGGAGGCTGAGGCGGGCGGATCACAAGGTCAGGAGTTTGAGACCAGCCTGGCCAACATGGTGAAACCCCATCTCTACTAAAAATACAAAAATGAGCTGGGTGTGGTGGCACATGCCTATCATCCCAGCTACTCGGGAGGCTGAGGCAGGAGAATTGCTTGAACCCAGAAGGCAAAGGTTGCAGTTGCACTCCAGCCTGGGCGACAGAGTCAGACTCCATCACAAAAAAGAAAAAAGAAAGAAAGAAAGAGAGACAGCAATCATGCCCTACTTCCTTCTTTGAGCTATGTATTCACCTCTTGAAACTGCTTGCTGTTGCCACAAGTAGCTATATCATGTCCTTTGCAGCAACATGGATACAGCTGAAGGCCATTATCCTAAGAAAATTAATGCAGAAACAGAAAACCAAATATCACATATTCTCACTTATAAGTGGGAGCTAAACATCGCGTACACAAGGACATAAAGATGGGACCAGTAGACACTGGTGACTACTAGAGTGGGGGCAAGAGGAAGAGGGGCAAGGATTAAAAAACTACCTATTGGGTACTATCCTCACTGCATGGGTGACGAAATCAATCATACCCCAAACCTCAGCATCACATGATATACTCATGTAACAAACCTGCATATGTGCCCCCTGAGTCTAAAATAAAAGCTGAAATTATTTTTTAAAGTAGCTGCAAATTAACATAGTAAATATTGCACCGGGCCAGGCATGGTGGCTCACATCTGTAATCCCAGCATTTTGGGAGGCCAAGGTGAGCAGATCACTTGAGGTTAGGAGATCGAGACCATCCTGCCTAACATGGTGAAACCCCGTCTCTACTAAAAAGAAATACAAAATAATTAGCTGGGTGTGGTGGCGGGTGCCTGTAGTCCCAGCTACTCGGGAGGCTGAGGCAGGAGAATGGCTTGTACCCAGGAGGTGGAGGTTGCAGTGGGCCGAGATCGCAGCACTGCACACCAGCCTGGCGACAGAGCGAGACTCCACCTCAAAAAAAAAAAAAAAAAAGAAAAAAAAAGAAAGAAAAGAAAAGAAAATGTTAAATTATATATGTGGCTCACCCTTGATTTCTACTGGACAGCCTGTGCTACTCCCAGCTACGGGAGAATCTGCGGCATCCTAACATTGGGCGGATGGTATTTCAGGAGGTGAAGGATCTTCAGCTTACAGCAGGGGGCACTGTGAAAAGCAGAAAAGCCAGGATGGATGTTAGGTTTTCCAACTTACTGGGCTGCATGCCTGTGTGTGTGAGTGCAGGCGTGCATATGTGTGCATGAATGTGTGTGCAAGTGAATGAATGTGTGTGATAGAACTTTCTTTCATTTTTGCTCTAGTCTTGCAGAAAACTCCCGGGCTGATTTTAGGGAGAAACTAGAACATTCTCTGCTTATTCATCAGGCCCCTACAAAAGCTCTACTTTAATGCCAAGGTAGCCCATCCTGCAAACCATCCACTACAGAGAGCATCAGGTCACCCCTTTAACAAGTGGTCCATGGCAACAAATACTTTGTCATAGTGTATCCCAATGGGATTATCCCATTGGGTGGGATTTGAAGTGATCATCTCTACCACTTCAAATTTGTTTCACCTGGCCTCAACTCAGTCTATCCTGGGATAGGTCAGCCTGTTCCATACTAGTGTTCACTCCGTT
The DNA here is from genome assembly GCF_000001405.40 of Homo sapiens. NCBI lineage: Eukaryota > Metazoa > Chordata > Mammalia > Primates > Hominidae > Homo > Homo sapiens. The sequence goes on from NC_000007.14 coordinate 68,063,852, forward strand.
TCAACCTAAGTCATGCTATTTTTCATATTTTTACACTTACTGAGATCCTGAAGCCCCTGAGCTGGACCTGTCGGGTTTTCCTTCAAGCATAAGACCTAGTTCTTGTCCAGGATCCTGCTTCTGATTTTTAAACTCATTTCCACCTACTTCAACTGTACCAACCCCTACTCCTGCCAGTGGAGGGGTTCCTGGCCTGCTTTAGGCCACACCTCAATGGATGCTGATATGTCCACAGGGGACCCTGGACAGCTAATGTACCTTAATGTGAACCTAGGCCTATCCAAGACCTGAGCAAATTCTTAGCCCTGAAAGACAAGACTCCCACCTGTGCTTGGGGTGGCAGGCCCAAGACTTTGCAGTTGACCCTCTTTATCTCAAATCTGTGTGATACAAGGGTCTCATCACTGTGCACGTCACCCCCTTCCGATCCCTGTCCTAAAACCCTGGCTGGCTTCAGATCAACTGGCTAATTACTCATGCTGTAATGATCAACCTGTCTAATTTATCACTTCTTTGAACATTTAATTAGCCAGCAGTGCAAGACAATTAGGTTCTGAATTAGGATAAATTAAATTGCTAGCTTAGCAGCTCTGAAGACATGGAAACTATAACCAATTACGTCTACAAAAAGATTTGACAGAACCATCAAAGAGCAAGAGCCTGACATGGGCCAACAGCCAGATGTGCCAAATATTCTGGAGAATCTCATGGAGCCAGTCGTTTTAGCTCAGAAAATAGAGAACAAAATCTGGAAGAGAAAAAAAACCTCTGCATGGAGCAGAGCTTCTGGTCTTCTTCAATTAAAAAAAAATTTTTTTTTAGAGACAGGGTCTTGCTTTGTCACCCAGGCTAAAGTGCAGTGGTGCAATTATAGCTCACTGCAGCCTCGAACGCCTGGACTCAAGTGATCCTCCTGCCTCAGCCTCCTGAGTAACTGGGACTATAGGTGCACCATGCCCAGATAATTAAAAAATTTTTTCATAGATACAGTTGTATCTTGTATGTTGTCCAGGCTGGTCTTGAACTCCTGGCCTCAGGTGATCCTCCGGCCTCAGCCTCCCAAAGCGCTGGGATTACAGGCACGAAGCACTGAACCCAACCGGAGCTTCAGGTCTTTATCCCTGGTTGTAGGGTGCTTGTGGGGTCTGTGACAATTCACCATACTATTAATTTTAAAAGGTCAACTAGAACTAGAAATGTGCATATTAGCATTCCCAATGGTCATAGCTGAGATTATTGTTTTGCCAGTCCAAAAAATATGAAAGGTAGCCTGACATAAGTATATATAGTGTAAGTCTATGCCGGGAAGAAGGCCATTTCTCATCTAGCTATTTAAGCCCAGTTAACTCTTGGATATTCATACCACAATGTTGTCTAAAGAATAATAAATTCTTATGGATAAAGTAATATAGCAGAAGACATCAGACCATGTTGATTTAGCTTTAGGATGGGCTGTGATTTTATTATTATTAACTTGGATTTTTACCTTTTGAAAAATGATTTTTCATGGCTGTATTTGAAAGTTATTTGTGCTCCCCAGAAAGACACTGAGCTAGACAGCAACTGGGATGGGTGGTTCAACTTTGGCTTTGACTGTGAAGTTATGTTTCTCTCTACCCAATGATTGATTGACGTACTGTTGGTTTCCCTTCCAGACAGGGTAGTGAGGGCCCAAGAGAAGAGGAAAGAAGAAGGTAGGAGAGTGAGTTGGAGCCTTCTGTGCTTTATCCCCTCTCTCCTGGGATTTTCCAAGAATGAAGTGGGATCTGAGAGGCTCGGGGAATAAATTGCCTCATAAACCAGGCTTTCAGCTTCCTGTGATTCTGCGCGTCTTCCTTGCTTGCAATTTAATGCCTTTAGTAAAGCCTTGTTCAGATGTTTCAGATTTGGTTCAGCTGCACTATGAGTTATTAACAGAGAGTTTGTGTTTGCGCTTGCATTCAAGGAGGTCCTCCCATCCCCCATTTTCCATGCTTGGTGTGATCAGTGGTAATATTCAAGACATTCACAAGCAAAACAAGAATTTCAACATAAAAAAGAGTTGCCAAGGCTGGCACAGTGGCTTATGCCTGCAGTCCCAGCACTTTGAGAGACTGAGGAGGAAGGATTGCTTGAGCCCAGGAGTTTGAGAACAGCCTGGGCAACATAACAAGACCCCATCTATACGAAAAATAAAAGAAATAATTAGCTGGGTTTATTGGCACTTACTTGTAGTTCCAGCTACTCTGAAGGCTGGGGCAGGAGGATTGCTTGAGCCCAGGAATTGGAGGCTGCAGTAAGTCATGATTGTGCCACTGTACTCCAGCCTGGGCAGGAGAGCAAGATCCTGTCTCTTAAAAAAAAAATTATGATGCTCCCTGGCCTGACTTGCAGCCTTCCTTTTTAACAACCTTTTTTTTTTTTTTAATCATATGGAACTCATGTCTAGAACCTAGCTATGACTGTCCACTGCAGACCCAACAACCACACCAGGATAGTGTGATCAGTGGAATGAAGGCAACATGGATGTGCAATGTGTATGGACACACAATTAAAGGCAGCTTCCACAGCTGTGAGCCAAGTAACAGACTCCGCAAAGGCACTGTCACTCTTCCGAATAGCTAAGAAGAGGACCGATTCATGAGACAACAGTGGAAGATGTTTTCATTATGATCAAAGGACAAGTTTGATCACTTCAGGGAGAGAAGTAGGTGGCCTGCTGTGACTGTTTGGAGGGAACTGAGAAGTACAAAGGCAGGAAGCTACCCAGTTAGGAAAAATCTCTGTACACTCATAGTCAGGAAGCCTATTAAGCAGAAGGCAGCTCCCAAGAGTCAGAGATGAGTGGCTCAGTTGGCTGTCCCCAAAGGGTGGCTCTCTGCACATTTCCAACTTTTAAGGTCCTGTTTATTTGGCATGGTTTACATCAAGAAAATCAGCAAGACTCATTCATATTTCAGCATGCCTATTTCTAGAGTAAGGAATATATTTTCAGTCCTCCTTTCCTCACTAAATATGTTGGAAGACAAATCCCATCCCAGACATTAACTCAACTGCAGCAAAAAAAAAAAAAAAAAAAAAAACTTCCTGAATTCTTATTGTACTCTGTTTTAATTTTTTTTTTTTTTTTTTTTTTTACTTTTTAGAGACTGAGTCTTGCTCTGTTGCCCAGGATGGAGTACAGTCGTGCAATCATAGCTCACTGTAAGCCTTGAAATCCTGGGCTCAAGTGATCTTTCTTCCTTAGCCTTTGAAGTAACTGGGAGTAGGGGCACCCACCATCACACTCGGTTAATTAAAAAAAAAATTTGTAGAGACAGAGTCTCACTGTATATCCCAAGTAGGTCTCAAACTCCCGGCCTCAAGCGATCCTCCCACCTTGGCCTCCCAAAGTGCTGGGATTACAGGCATGAGTCACTGTGCCTGGCCAGAATTCTTTTTTTTTTTTTTTTTTTTTTTTTTTTTTTTTTTTTTTTTTTTGAGATGGAGTTTTGCTCTTGTTGCCCAGGCTGGAGTGCAATGGCGCGATCTCGGCTCACTGCAATCTCCACCTCCCAGGTTCAAGCAATTCTCCTGCCTCAGCCTCCCGAGTAGCTGGGATTACAGGCATGCATCACCACGCCCGGCTAATTTTGTATTTTTAGTAGAGACAGGGTTTCTCCATGTTGAGGCTGGTCTCTAACTCCTGACCTCAGGTGATCCTCCCACCTAGGCCTCCCAAAGTGCTGGGATTACAGGCATGAGCCACTGTGCCTGGCCAGAATTCTTATTGTAAAACAGGATCATGGTCACTTGAAATGTCTGAGAAATGAAGAGCAAAAAGCAGACTTATCTTTAGGAAATTCTGCAAAGAACACAGGTTCATACTCAAGCTCTAAAGCAAATGACATAAACCCACCACATCATCTTAGAAAATGTTTGCAAGTATGCATTTCACTGACATATTTAGAACAAATTAGTCTCTTCTGCATTGTGTATCCAAATTGCATCATATTGTTGCTTCATTAAAAATGTTCCAATTAGGGAAAGAAGGAAGTTACTGTAGGATAGCTCTCTGTACATATTAGTATGATGCTTTCAAATTAGAGACCAAGTTGCGGGTTCCTGTTACCATGAGAACCACCGCATTTCTCCAGCTGTTACAATTATTAACTCAAAGAACATGCATCTTCTTAAACTCTGCCTGTTATTTATCTACTGTTCTATGGGCTTGAGTGTGCCTAGAGTGAACTCTATTAATCACCAGTTGAAGAAAGTACAAAGACTGCAGGAGAGAGAGCAGTCGTGCCTTCCTTTCTGTCGGGAGAAGCAAACAATAGCAATTCATTTTCCCATTTTGTTCCATGTCTCTTGGAGAGTAGAGAAGAGGAAGGACTGAGAGTCTGGAGGATCCCAACATGGCATGCAGAGATAAGCAACACCAGTTGTTGGTGACATGCAGACCCTGTCTGCCCTGCAAGCTCAGGAAATACAGACTGGTGACCAGAAGTCTCTTTCCTCCTACTAGATGATTTGGCACTGGTCCCCAACTCCTTATCTAAACACAAAGACTAGGAGTAACAAACTACAATACGTATATCGCCTTGATACTGTAAAAGTCGTTACACTCATTAAGCTACTATGAAAGAGTTATGCTTCGAGAATCATTCACTCTTTTAATCTACTGTGAAGTATTTGGTATCTCCATTGCACAGACAAAGAGACTGAGGCTTAAAGAAATTCTGTAACTTGCTCAAGAAGTCAAGCCAGCAGGTGGAGAAACAGGATCTCAAAGTGGGATATATTGTTTTAAAATCTTATTATCTGGCTGGGTGCAGTGGCTCACACTTGTAATCCCAGCACTTTAGGAGGCCAGGGTGAGTGGATCGCTTGAGCTCAGGAGTTCGAGACCAGCCTGGGCAACATGGCAAAACTCCGTCTCTACTAAAAGATACAAAAAATTAGCTGGGCATGGTGGCATGCACCTGTGGTTCCAGCTGCTCAGGAGGCTGAGATGGGAGGATCACCTGAGCCTGGGAAGTTGAGGCTGCAGTGAGTCTTGATGGCACCATTGTACTCCAGCATGGGCAATAGGAGTAAGACCCAGTTTCAAAATAAATAAATAAATAAACAAACAAAAAAGCAAACAAATAGTCTCATTCTCCCCACATTAAAAAAAAACCCTGCATACGGATTTTTATAGCAGCTTTATTATAATTGCAAAACATGGAAGTATCCAAGATGTCCTTCAGTGAGTAAATGAATAAAGAGATGGTGCTATCTCCAGACACTGGAATGTTATTCAATGCTCACATGAAATGAGCTCTCAAGCTATGAAAAGACATGGAGGAAACTTAAACGCACATTGCTAACTGAAAAAAGACAATCTGAAGTGGTACACACTGTATTTCAACAAAGTGGCCTTCTGGAAAAGACAAAACCATGGAGACAGTAAAAAGATCAGTGGTTACCAGGAGTTGGGGTGAGGGGGAGAGAAGGATGAATAGGTAGGACACAGAGGATGTTTAAGGCAGTGAAAACGGTCGTGTGAGACTGTAATGGTGGATACATGTCATTACACATTAGTCCAAGCCCATAGAATAAGCAACAACAAGAGTGAACCCTCATTAAACTGTGGACTTCGATTGATAATGATGTGTTAGTGTATGCTCATTGGCTATAACTGATGTACCACTCTGGTGCAGGAGGTTGACAAAGGGGGGTGCTGTGTGTCGGGGGGGCCAGGGGGACATACAGGAAATCTCTGTGCCCTCTATTCAGTTTTACTATGAACTTAAAACTGCTCCAAAAAATTATAAAGGCTTTGAAAACAATTCCCATGTTCTCTCTGTCTCTCTTTTTTTTGTGTGGACAGAGTCTCGCTCTGTCACCAGGATGGAGTGCAGTGGTGCGATCGGCTTACTGCAACCTCTGCCTCCCAGGTTCAAGCGATTCTCCCGCCTCAGCCTCCCGAGTAGCTGGGACTTCAGACACTCACCACCACACTCAGCTAATTTTTGTTTTTTTAGTAGAGACGGGGTTTCACCATGTTGGCCAGGATGGACTCGATCTCTTGACCTTGTGATCTGTCCGCCTCGGCCTCTCAAAGTGCTGGGAGTACAGGTGTGAGCCAAACCATGCTCTCTTTTTGTTACCACTTTGCAGAGAAACAAAGACAACTGCATTTAACAAGGTGGACACTGTGGTAAGACACAGTGATGGGAAAAAATGGAGCCGGAGAAATAAGTGTCAGAAATCAGTCGGGTTCTGCAGGAACCAGGATGCAGGCGCACAGGAACACAGCACCTCCTTGTCAAAGGCCCTAGCTTGGCTGACACCCCTTGCTCTCCATTTGGCTCTGGTCATTCATTTCTCAAGTCTTGCAACACATAACGTGCACTTCTCATAGTAGACTCATTTTCCTAAGTAATTGTTTATCTGTTTGTTTTAGAATTATCATTTTTGTTTATTTATTAAATAAGCATTTGAGTGTCTTCTATGTCCCACATGCTGTTCTGGGTGTTGGGACTACAACAGTGAACAATATTGATACAATTTTTCTGCATTTTTGGACAGGGTTTGGTGGCTCACGCCTGTAATCCCAGCATTTTGGGAGGTTGAGGCGGGCGGATGACCTGAGGTCAGGAGTTCGAGACCAGCCTGACCAGTATGGTGAAACCCCGTCTCTACTAAAAATACAAAAATTAGCTGGGTGTGTTGGCGCATGCCCGTAGTCCCAACAACTCAGGAGGCTGAGGCAAGAGAATTGCTTGAACCCGGGAGGCGGAGGTTGTAGTGAGCCAAGATAGCACCACTGCACTCCAGCCTGGGTGACAGAATGAGACTCCATCTCAAAAAAAAAAAAAATAAATAAATAAAATCTGCAATTTTGAAGCGTACATTCTTTAGGAAGACAGATGGTAAGCCATAAATATAGTAGCTAAGTAAGCCATAAATTAGGTTGGAGATTGATAATTGGTATAGAAAAAAGAGAAAAGAGAGCAGGTTGAGGGGAGCATGTTATTGCCTGAGAGTTGAGAGATTCAGTGGAGGAGAATTCGCCCAAGATCACAGCACCAGAAAGTAGTGGAGCAGAAATAAAACTCAGATCTGCTGGAATCCAGAGTCCTGATTGGATCCTCCTTCTAGGCTGGTTGAAAGCTCGGCTCCACTTTGCCTATTAGGATTCCCCCATTTTTCTAAGGGAGAGGGTTCCTCACTGCCAGAAAGTTGCTGTCAGTCTGGGTTTCATATTTTTAACTCCTATCCCATCTCTCCAATATAACATGCCAGAGAGCTAGGGCCAGTCTGATGCTGGAGTGCGGGCAGCACAGGTAACTCCGTGAATTCTGGCAACTTGTACCAAAGGCACGGGGCCATTGTGTCTGTTCTCTCTAAGGGTGATGCAATCCAGCCTCTTATCTCAGAATTCAAGCTTCTTTTGATGCATCTGAGGCATGAAAGTGAGGTTGTAACTTTGCGGGGAAATGGTGTTCAATCATCAATAATTCTAAGTAATTTCTTTCTTTTTTTTTTTGAGATGGAGTCTTACTCTGTCACCCAGGCTGGAGTGCAGTGGCGCGATCTCGGCTCACTGCAATCTCTACCTCCCTGGTTCAAGCAATTCTCCTGCCTCAGCCTCCTGAGCAGCTGGGATTACGGGTGCAAGCCACCATGCTAAACTAATTTTTGTATTTTTAGTAGAGACGGGGTTTTACCATGTTGGTCAGGCTGGTCTCGAACTCATGACCTCATGATCTGCCCACCTCGGCCTCCCAAAATGCTGAGGTTATAGGTGTGAGCCACCATGCCTGGCCAGTGATTTTTAAATTAAACTCTAACAGACGTATAGACAACTGCACGTATTGTGTATGTAGAGCATGATGGGGTCTTACCAAGTGAACACACCATGCTCCCAGATCAAAATAGAATCTTATCATCCTAGAGCCTCCTGTGATATTTTTCTCAGTCACTGCCACTGCCCTGATTGCTAATACACCATTTATCAGTTTTGCCTGCTTTTGAGCTTTGAATAAATGGAATCCTACATGGTGTCCTCTTTTCGGTTTTCTTGGTGTTTAGCATTATGCTTGTCAGATCCATCCATCTGTGTGTAACTGTAGTTTATCCATTGTCTTCACTGCATACTATTCCCATGGATGCATAAACCCTAATGCACTTTTTTCTACTACTGTTGGCATCCATTTGGGTAGTTTCTAGTTAACTGTTATGAATCATGCCAATGCTTGCATTCTTCTATTTTTTTGGTTGTGTTTTTTTTTTTTTTTTTTGGAGACAGGGTCTTGTTCTGTCAGCCAGACTGGAGTGGAGTGGGACCATCATAGCTCACTGCAGCCTTGATCTCCTGGACTCAAGGGATCCTTCCCCCTCCAGCCTCTTGAAGAGCTGGGACCACAGGCACTTGCCACCATGCCTGGCAAATTAAATTTTTTTTTTTTTTTTTTTTTTAGATGGAGTCTTGCTATGATACCCAGGTTGGACTCAAACTCCTGGGCTCAAGTGATCCTCCCACCACAGCTTCCCAAAGCACTGGGATTACAGGCAGGAACCGCCATGTCCAGCCTCTTCTGTATGTTTTTATGTTTATATTTCTTTTTAGTATAAATCTCAGAGTGGAATTGCTGGATCATGAAAGAGCTTATGTTCAGCGTTAGTAGATTTGTAGTAAAGTACTTTTGGGTTTTGCTCTATAGTTGTGTAACTGAGTATGCATTTGTAAGTGTTTTTCTAGGTATTTTTTGTAAATTAGTCTGTGCTTTTGTGTGTCACATGATATTAAAGGGAGGTTGTTTGTGCCTCAGTTTCAGCTGAAGCCCCAAAAAGCAGAGAACAAAACTATTAGTGGCTAGTGCTTTACATTCTAAGGTGAGTTTGTAGATTATTTGGAAGTGGTCTAGAATTTCAAAGATGGCAGAAAATGGGTTTTGTGCTCTTAGCCCAACATCCTCATGGGAGGCCTCACAAGTTCACAAGTACAAGTGGGAGCGTCCAAGACAGGGTTGGTGGCTTCACCATTTTCCCATCCCAAGGCTTCTAACATCACCATGCATCATAGCACATCTACCTGGACAAGACTTCAGCCTCCTAGTTCCGTGGGGAGTGGGTGGGGTGTTTAGGGAGAGGAGCTTCAGGGAGGTCAAGATAGCTCCTTATGGGTCTCTTGGAGTGCAGTTTCTCAAATGTCTGAGAGTAAAGATGGGAGGCCACTTGGGCTGCTGTTGCACCTGCTCTGAGAGCAAGGCAAAAGTGTAGGTTTCTGATGTGGTTTGGCCCTGTGTCCCCACCCAAATCTCATCTCGAATTGTAATCTGCATGTGTCAGAGGAGGGGCTTGGTGGGAGGTGATTGAATTATGGGGGAAGACATCCCCCTTGCTGTTCCCATGATAGAGTTCTCATGAGATAAGTGTGTAGCTCTCTCCCCTTCTCTCTTTCTCGCTCTCCTGTTCCACCATGGTAAAGACGTGCTTGCTTCCCCTTCACCTTCTGCCATGATTGTAAATTTCCTAAGGTCTCCTAGTCTTGCTTCTGTACAGTCTGCAGAAGTGTGAGTAAATTAAACCTCTTTTTTTCATAAATTACCCAGTCTCAGGTAGTTCTTTATAGCACTGTGAGAATGGACGAATAGTTTCCCTGGAGCATGTGTGGGCTCTGTGAGGCTGTTACCAGTGGAGGGTGTCCAGGTTCTTGGCATCTTGAACAAAGAATTGGACAAAACACACTAACAAAGCAAGGAAATAATGAAGCAACAGAAGCAGAGATTTATTGAAAACGAAAGTACACTCCACAGGGTGGGAATGGGTCCTTGCATAAGGGCTGAAGAGCCTGGTTGCAGAATTTTCTGGGGTTTAAATACCCTCTAGAGGTTTCCCATTGATTACTTGGTGGAAATGAAGTAGTGGCTCCCAATCAGTCTGGTTTCAAAAAGCAACTAATCAGAGGCTGAAGGGAAGTTACAAACGTTGCACCCTATGCCAGCATGTGATTGGAAAGCAACCAATCAGAGGCTAAAGTGAAGTTAAAAAGTTACACTTCTATGCAAATGAAGACTTGCCCTGCAATCAGTCCGGTTGGTTGCTTTCCTCAATCAGAGGCTGAAGTGAAGTTACAAAGTTACGCTCCTATGCAAATTAGTTGCTTTCTGCAACCAATCAGAGATACTTTCAATGTTCCATCTGCCATGCAGAAAAGGTGGGCGGGGGGGTCGGGGGTGCAAAGGTAGTAGCCTCCAGTACTTTTTTACTTAGGTTTGGAAAGTTGGGGTTTTCCTTTCGATTTAGTTTTAGTAAGTCAATGTGAATCGGCCTTAAGTTCCCTGCCTGCAGACCCTATTCTCCTGCCTCAAGACACAGAACCTCCTAAGAGAGAGAGAGGCCATTTCAGCAGAAAGAAGCTGGAGAAGACAGGAGTTGTAAACAGCCTAAAGAAGGGAGGTCCTGCCCAGTTAAGGGAGCAGGAGTTTGGTGGGTCACAAGAAGAAGCTTAGAAGCATTTAAAAAATGATCCATGAGCAAGACGTAGCTGTACATTTCTGCTATGGGCAGAGGATACGGCAAGTAACACAGGAGCACTGACCAGTCCTGCCCCTTCTCTGTCCTGGTGTCTGGCACCTTTTCCCAAGCAGGAGGAGCTAAAGGCAGCCTACAAATGAAAGGAGGATAGCATTGCTTGGCAGGGACAGAGAATTATTCATCCACTGCCACCCCGTCCTAGCTTCTCCCATCTTTCCATCCTGAAGCAAGTACAGCTGGCAGCAAAAAGAGTTTAACTTTATATGCAGTTTGGAGTTTAATTTGACATTCTTCTGGCCTTTTTTTTTTTTTTTTTTTGACAGTCTATCGCCCAGGCTGGAGTGCAGTGGCGCAATCTCGGCTCACTGCAAGCTCCGCCTCCCGGGTGCACGCCATTCTCCTGCCTCACCCTCCTGAGTAGCTGGGACTACAGGCGCCCGCCGCTACGCCTGGCTAATTTTTTGTATTTTTAGTAGAGACGGGGTTTCACCATGTTAGCCAGGATGGTCTCGATCTCCTGACCTCGTGATCCGCCCGCCTCGGCCTCCCAGAGTGCTGGGATTACAGGCGTGAGCCACCGCGCCCAGCCTCTTCTGGCATCTTAACTATAAGAATGAAATTACTCTCAGGACTAAAATTCAGCCACTGGATTTTTAGTTTCTAAGGGTGACCTGAGCCATTTGGGAAACCCTAGCTCTACAAGCTGGGAAATGGAACACCACGACTGACTGGGCTGTTCTTGGGGATGGGGTTGGGGGTGTCCAGGCACAAGTGGCTGGATGCACGGTAATGTTAGAGGCCTTGGGATGGGAAAATGGTCATTGTGTAGTCGCTAGGGATGCAGACAGGCCTCACCCGCAAGGCTGGGCGGAGTGGCTGCATCACCCTGAGGTTCTCATTCTTCGCTTAGAAGGAGGTATCTACCCACACCATCCAGAGCATGGACACCATCACTGGTGGGGTCCTTGGTGCCCCAGGCCCCGCAGTTAGAAGTCTGACCATTTTTTAACAGGTTCTCGCTCTATCACCCAGGCTGCAGTGCAGTGGTGTGATAACAGCTCACCGCAGCCTTGAAATCCTGGGTTCAAGTAATTCTCCCACCTCAGCCTCCCAAGCAGTTGGGACTACATGCCTGGCTAACTTTTGTATATATATTTTTTGAGGTGGAGTTTCACTCTTGTTGCCCAGGATGGAGTGCAATGGCATGATCTCGGCTCACCACAACCTCCACCTCCTGGGTCCAAGCGATTCTCATGCCTCAGCCTCCTGAGTAGCCAGGATTACAGGCGCCCACCACCACGCCCAGCTAACTTTGTGTTTTTAGTAGAGACAGGGTTTCTCCATTTTGGTCAGGCTGGTCTCGAACTCCTGACCTCAGGTGATCCGCTCACCTCAGCCTCCGAAAGTGCTGGGATTACAGGCGTGAGCCACTGTGCCCAGCCAGTATCAGTATATATATATTTTTAACATAGAGATGGGATTTCAGTATGTTGCCCAGGCTGGTCTTAAAGCCTTGAACTCAAACAATCCTCCCACTTTGACCTCCAACTGCCAAAGTGCTGGGATTACAGGCATGAGCCACCATACCTGGCCTAATCCGAGTATTCTAGGACTCAGGAGAGAAAGTGAAAATGACCCAGGAGGTTCAGTTACACGCACCCAGGTGCTGACTCTACAGCAGGCAGACAAACTCAGCAAGCCCATTGCAGTTGTTACTTTTATGCACTAATTTGCTGGGCCACAGAATATCTGATTACACATTATTGTGGATGTGTCTCTGAGGGCGTTTCTGGAAGTGGTTAGCATTTGAATTCATGGACTGAGTAAAGCAGATGACCCCCACTCCCTAATGTGGGTGGGCATCATCCAATCCATTGAGGGCCAGAACAGAACAAAAGGCAGCAGAGGAAGAAGACAGTCACCTCTTGTTTCTGCCTCACCTCTTAAGTTGGAACGTCTCATCTCATCTTCTCCGGTTCTCAGACTGGCATTCACACCATCAACTCCCCCGGTTCTCAGAGGCCTCTGAACTCTTACTGAATGATGACATGGTCTTCTCTGGGTCTCCAACTTGAAGAGAGCAAATCGTAGGTCTTCTCAGCTTGTGTGAGCCAATTCTACTACATATATATATATATACACACACATATATATATACACATATATATACACATATACACATATATATATACACATATATACACACACACACACAGATGCTTCTCAATGTATGATAGAGTTATGTCCCAACAAACCCACCATAAGGTGAAAGTATGGTATGTCAAAAATGCATTTAATACACCTAACCTACTGAATCATAGCTTAGCCTGGCCTCCCTTAAATGTACTCAGAACACTCACATTTGCTTACAATTGGGCAAAATTACCTAATACAAAGTCTATTTCATAATAAAATGTTGAATGTTTCTTGTCATTTATTGAATACTTTACTGAACATGAAAATCAGAATGCTCGTATGGGTATTCAAAGTGTGGTTTCTATGGAATGCATATTGCTTTTGCATCATTGCAAAGTTGAAAAATTGTATGTTGAGCTACCATAAGTAAGGGATGCTGTGTGTGTGTGTCTGAGTGTGTGTTTGTGTGTGCATCCTATTTGTTCTGTTTCTCTGGAGAGCCCTGAGTAATATATCCACCATGCCTGAGTTCCTTGCAGAGGAGTTTCTTGAGTTGATTGTACCCAAGATAAACTTTCAAGTTTGATCCCTGAACTTGAGAAAAATGAGCTAGAATAGTAATTCCCAAGCTGTGGGTCACAGACCACTGGAGTGCAAGGGTAGGACTGTGCTCAGGGTTAGAGCAAAATGTCTAAATAGCTCTATTCGTCTTGAGATGAAGCATTGACAGTAAACCAACCTAGCAAAATATCGTATTGTGGATGGTGTATTAGTCCATTCTCACAGTGCTATAGAGACTGGGTAATTTATAAAAAAAGAGGTTTAATTGGCTCACAGTTTTTCAGGCTGTACAGAAAGTATGGCTGGGAGGCCTCAGGAAACTTACAATCATGGTGGAAGGCAAAGGGGAAACTGGCACGCCCTATCTGTCTGGAGCAGGAGGAAGAGAGAGCAAAGGGGGAGGTATCAAACACTTTCAAACAACCAGATCTTGTGAGAAATCTATCACAAGGGCCAGGCACAGTGGCTCACGCCTATAAACCCAGCACTTTGGGAGGCCGAGGTGGGTGGATCATGAGGTCAGGAGATCAAGACCATCCTGGCTAACAGGGTGAAACCCCAACTCCACTAAAAGATACAAAAAATTATCTGGGCCTGGTGGCGGGTGCCTGTAGTCCCAGCTACTCGGGAGGCAGTAGAATGGCGTGAACCTGGGAGGCGGAGCTTGCAGTGAGCGGAGATTGTGCCACTGCACTCCAGCCTAGGTGACAGAGCGAGACTCCGTCTCAAAAAAGATAAAAAATAAAAATAAAAATATTTTAAAAAATCTATCACAAGGACAGCAAGGGGGAAACCCACTCCCATGATTCAATCACCTCCAACCAGGCCCCACCTCCAACACTGGGAATTACAATTCAACATGAGATTTGGGTGGGGACACAGAGCCAAACTGTATCAGATGGTATCCAAGAAATGTGTAATAAGACCACATTCTTCAAATGCATTAATTTTTTATAACATTATGCCATTATGCAATTCGCAATCACAAACATTATCATGTGCAACTCCAACACTTTCACTTTCTTATTTTGTTTTGTTTCTTTAAAGAGATGTCCTTAAACCAGATGAAAGGAAAAAGACATGCAGGATCACGATACTCTTGGTTAACACTAAAATGCCATTTAGCCAGCATGCAGGCTGCCAGATAAAACTACGAGGTACTAATAGGATGAATTGACAATTGTCATTTCATCAAACGTAGTGACAACATTATCTGCAGATCTTAGAAGAATCAGCTCAGAAAACTCCCTGGTTGGTACTGATCCTCTCAGATAGATTGAAATCTTTCCAGGCTAGTCCTCAGAGCTCATCAATCAAGGGCAGTTGTCATGGTGAAGAGTTGAATAGATGGCTTCCGTTTAATTGTCCTCAGCCCTCTAGATATTGAATGCACTTGGGAACAGCGGGCTGCGCTGGCCCCAGTCTCCCCAGCTAAAATAGTCATTCCTTTCTTACTCCATCTTCACCTGGAGGCATTTATTCATTTGTTTATTTAATAAATACATACCAAATGCCTATTATGTGACAGGCACAGGATTCCTGCCAAAGATATCATTGTGAAAAGGTCAGGTGCAGACTTTGCCTCTACTCACTTCTGTGTGGCAGAAGACAGACCCACAGGCAATCAGTGGGGTGGTGAGTCTGTGCTGTGCATGCTCAGAGAAGGGTGCTGGAGCCCAGAAGTTACCATCGGGTGTCAACCAAGTGGCTGGGAGCTGGGAGTTGGGTCCTACATGGTCAATAGCTCAGATAAGGATCTCAGCTAAGTGAGGAAGTTCATGTCCAATTCCCTCCAAAGCACTGAAGCTAAAAGCTATCTTCTCTGAGTCTTCTAAGCAAACAAAGGGAGTAGAAGCCCATCTGCCAAGGAGAAGAAGCTGGTGATGAGGAATCGAGTGGTAAAACGAGGAAAACAGAAGAGTGTTGGCGAGGAAGGAAGAAGGGTCCTGGGACTGTCCAGTGGGCAGTACCGTGGTTTCTGCAGCCCCCATTCATTTGATATCAAGGTTGTAATCAAAGCACAAGCTTGTCCTTGAGAAGCAGAGTTAGGGAGAAGACCACGCAAACAGTGATGTGTCTATCCATCTACCTATTTGTGTATTTGTCCATTTAGCAAATGATTTCTGAGTTTCCATGTGCCTGTCTTGTGGAGGAGACACACGTTAAACCAAGAGTTACACAAATGCTTATTTAGTCCTAAGTATGCATCATGCTCTACAAAGTCCATGATCAGAGTGTCACGGGAAGCTTTCCTGGGGCAGCGACACTCAGCTGAGACCTGGAAAGTGAGGAGGAAGGAACTAATGAGAAGAGGCAGATTGTGGAAAAGTTTCCCAGGCAAAGTGGGGAGCCTGGCTGAGGACTTCACAGAGAGCTGTATGTACAATGGGCAAAAGAAGATGCCCATCACATCATGGAGGGCCACTGGGACTTTACACTAAGTACACCTGGATGATTTTGAATGCGTGGAAAGCTGTGGATGGGTCTTCATTTTTAAGTGATCACTCTGGCTGCTGTAGCAAGAAGGTGGTGGAAGAAGGCAAGACTGGAGGGGTGGAAGGTGATTAGGAAATAAATATGGCAGCCCAGGGAAGAGCCATTCACTGGTGGCTTAGCCCTGGGAGGGGGTGGGGGTAGTGCCAGTGGAAGTACAGAGTGAACGTCATTTTCATCCAGGGTCAGAGGTTGCAGTTCTTCCACCTCCATGGGCATGTGACAATAGGTACTTTCACTGCACATAACAATGTGTGTTTAGCAGATGAGAGACAGCCAGCTCCACCTGCAGTAGACACACTTGTTCATACTCTTTTTTCTTCTTTTCTTTTCTTTTTTTTTTTTTTTTTTGAGACAGAGTCTTGTTCTGTCGCCCAGGCTGGAGTGCAATGGTGCTATCTTGGCTCACTGCAACCTCCACATCCCAGGTTCAAGCAATTCTCCCTGCCTCAGCCTCCTGAGCAGCTGGGATTACAGGTGCCTGCCACCATACCCAGCTAATTTTTATATTTTTAGTAGAGACGGGGTTACACCATGTTGGCCAGGCTGGTCTCGAACTCCTGACCTCAGCTGATCCACCCCCTCGGCCTCCCAAAGTGTTGGGATTACAGGTGTGAGTCACTGTGCCTGGCCCACTTGCTCATATTCAAACCACACAGAAGGCTACATGTCCCGTCAGGGAGCAGAGGGTTTCACGTTGTAGGCAGGGAGACTCTCTCAGTAGAGGACTTACCTGGAAAGTACCTTAAAACCAGGATGAGACTCCCTGGTAGCACCCAGAAGGAAACAGAACTGTCATTGGCTGGACACTTAGAGAACCAGTCCAGCGGTGGAGGTTGGGGAAGTTTCTGCAGCTACTGGGCTTTGCATCTGATTAATGTCTGCTTTCTAGATTGATAAGAAAGAGAAGGCCAGGCACCGTGGCTCATGCATATAATCCCAGCAGTCTGGAAGGCTGAGGTGGAAGGATCACTCATGCCTAGGGGTTTGAGACCAGCCTGGGAAACATGGCCAAACTCCATCTTTAAAAAAAAATACGAAAATTAGCCAGGCATGGTGGTGCATGCCTGTGGCCCCAGCTACTTGGGAGGCTGAGGTGGGAGGATCATTTCAGCCCGGGAGGTCAAGGCTGCAGTGAACTGTGACCACCCCACTGCACTCCAGCCTGGGTGACAGTGAGACCCTGTCTCAAAAGAAAAGAAAGAAAGGAAAAACAAAACAATGCAAAACAAGCTAAAAGGAAAGCTTTTGTCATTCCTGTCTCTGGAGGGTTGAGGATGTTCTGGCCTGTGATTAAACGGAAGTAGCTTCAGCTGTGAGAACAGGAGAACGTGGGAGGAGAGAGAAGAGACTAGCTGTTTTTGGTTTATCCTATGTCAGTTTTATTTTTCCCTCCATATTTTCAAAAGAAGGGACTTTAGAAAGCAAATATAAGTCTCTCCAATTTTATGTTTAAAGTGTCATTTCCCAACTGAACTGGCATTTGGATACAAGGGTAATAACTGCTGATGAGCATTTCTCTGACCTTATTAGCCAGAACTGGACTCCTCTTCCTTTCCCTCCCAGGCTTGGTCCTGGGGCTTCCAAGAGTGTAGTCTATTTGCATTGCTATAAAGAATACTGAGGCTGGGTACTTTATAAAGAAAATAGGTTTCTTTGGCTCACAGCTCTGCAAGCTGCACAAGAAACATGGCGCCAACATCTGCTGCTGGTGAGGGCTTCAGGAAGCTTCCACTCATGGTAGAAGGTAAAGGGGAGCTAGCAAGATTATATGGCAAGAGATGGAGCAAGAGAGGAAGAGGTACCACCCTCTTTCTTTCTTTCTTTTTTTTTTTTTTTGAGGCAGAGTCTCGCTCTGTCACCCAGGCTGGAGTGCAGTGGTGTGATCTCGGCTCACTGCAACCTCTGCCTCCCAGGTTCAAGCAATTCTCCTGCCTCAGCCTCCCTAGTAGCTGAGACTACAGGTGCGTGCCACCATGCCTGGCTAATTTTTGTATTTTTAGTAGAGATGGGGTTTCACCACGTGGGCCAGGCTGGTCTTGAACCCCTGATCTTGTGATCCACTTGCCTCGGCCTCCCAAAGTTCTGGGATTACAGGCGTGGGCCACTGTACCTGGTCACCACACTCTTTTTAACAACCAGATCTGATGATGGGAACTAAGAGTGAGAGCTCACTCAATCTCATGAGAATGGCACCAAACCATTTATGAGAGATCCACCCCCATGACCTAAATACCTCCCACCAGGCCCCACCTCCAACACTGGGGATTAAATTTCAACAGGAGATTTGGAGGAGACAGATATTCAAACTATATCAGAAGGGAAGTCTCATGTCTGTGAAGAGAGAAGGTGGTGGGGGAGGAAGGCAAGTGTGGAGGGGTGGATAGTGGGCTCATGGTGCTTGCATACTTAGGACTAAATAAGCATTTGTGTAACTCTTTCTTTCTTGGGCATGTCCAATCTCTACATGTTTCCCCCTGTGTCATAGATTTCATGTTTGTTCCTCCCCACTGCCAAATTCGTATATTGAAACTCTAATCCCCAATGGGCTGGGATGTGAGGAGCGCCACTGCCCGGCTGCCCATCGTCTGGGATGTGAGGAGCGCCTCTGCCCAGCCGCCCTTCATCTGGGAGGTGAGGAGCACCTCTGCCCGGCTGCCCCATCTGGGAGGTGAGGAGCGCCTCTGCCCAGCCACCCCGTCTGGGAACTGAGGAGTGCCTCTGCCTGGCCGCCCCGTCTGGGAACTGAGGAGCGCCTCTGCCCGGCCGCCCCGTCTAGGAAGTGAGCGCCTCTGCCCAGCCGCCCTTCATCTGGGAGGTGAGGAGCACCTCTGCCCGGCCACCCCATCTGGGATGTGAGGAGCGCCTCTGCCCAGCCACCCTTCATCTGGGAGGTGAGGAGCACCTCTGCCCGGCCGCCCCATCTGGGAGGTGAGGAGTGCCTCTGCCCGGCCACCCCGTCTGGGAACTGAGGAGTGCCTCTGCCTGGCCGCCCCGTCTGGGAACTGAGGAGCGCCTCTGCCCGGCCGCCCCGTCTAGGAAGTGAGCGCCTCTGCCCAGCCGCCCTTCATCTGGGAAGTGAGGAGCGCCTCTGCCCAGCCGCCCCGTCTGGGAAGTGAGGAGCGCCTCTGCCCGGCTGCCCATAGTCTGGGATGTGAGGAGCGCCTCTGCCCCGCCACCCATCGTCTGGGATGTGAGGAGCGCAGCTGCCTGGCCGCTCCGTCTGGGATGTGAGGAGCGCCTATGCCCGGCCGCCCCATCCAGGAAGTGGGGAGCGACTCTGCCCAGCCGCCCCATCTAGGAAGTGAGCGCCTCTGCCCGGCTGCCCCATCTGGGATGTAAGGAGCGCCTCTGCCGGGCTGACCCGTCTGGGAACTGAGGAGGCGCCTCTGCCTGGCCACCCATCGTCTGGGATGTGAGGAGCGCCTCTGCCCCGCCACCCATCATCTAGGATGTGAGGAGCGCAGCTGCCTGGCCGCTCCGTCTGGGATGTGAGGAGCGCCTCTGCCCTGCCACCCATCATCTGGGATGTGAGGAGCGCCTATGCCCGGCAGCCCCGTCCGGGAAGTGGGGAGCACCTCCGCCCGGCCGCCCCGTCTAGGAAGTGAGCGCCTCTGCCCGGCCACCCCATCTGGGATGTGAGGAGCGCCTCTGCCCGGCCGCCACCCCATCTGGGATGTGAGGAGCACCTCTGCCTGGCCGCCCCATCTGGGATGTGAGGAGCGCCTCTGCCCCGCCACCCATCGTCTGGGATGTGAGGAGTGCAGCTGCCCGGCTGCTCCATCTGGGATGTGAGGAGCGCCTCTGCCCGGCCGCCCCGTCTAGGAAGTGAGTGCCTCTGCCCGGCTGCCCCATCTGGGATGTGAGGAGCGCCTCTGCCCGGCCGCCACCCCGTCTGGGAGGTGAGGAGTGCCTCTGCCCGGCCGTTCCGTCTGGGATGTGAGGAGCGCCTCTGCCCGGCAGCTGCCCCATCTGGGAAGTGAGGAGCACCTCTGCCCGGCCGCCCCATCTGGGAGGTGAGGAGTGCCTCTGCCCGGCCACCCCATCTGGGAGGTGAGGAGCGCCTCTGCCCGGCTGCCCATCGTCTGGGAGGTGAGGAGCGACTCTGCCTGGCTGCCCATCTTCTGGGATGTGAGGAGCACCTCTGCCTGGCTGCTGTGCAATCTTCCAAGTGTGAAGTGACAGCCTTTCTGCAGGTGTACCCAACAGCTCAGAAGAGACAGTGACCATTGAGAACGGGCCGTGATGATGATGGCGGTTTTGTTGAAAAGAAAAGGGGGAAATGTGGGGAAAAGAAAGAGAGATCAGATTGTTACTGTGTCTGTGTAGAAAGAAGTAGACATAGGAGACTCCATTTTGCTCTGTACTAAGAAAAATTCTTCTGCCTTCGGATGCTGTTAATCTATAACCTTACCCCCAACCCCGTGCTCTCTGAAACATGTGCTGTGTCCACTCAGGGTTAAATGGATTAAGGGCGGTGCAAGATGTGCTTTGTTAAACAGATGCTTGAAGGCAGCATGCTCGTTAAGAGTCATCACCACTCCCTAATCTCAAGTACCCAGGGACACAAACACTGCAGAAGGCCGCAGGGTCCTCTGCCTAGGAAAACCAGAGACCTTTGTTCACGTGTTTATCTGCTGACCTTCTCTCCACTATTATCCTATGACCCTGCCACATCCCCCTCTCCGATAAACACCCAAGAATGATCAATAAATACTAAAAAATAAAAAAATATTTTTCCTATGCATACAGATAAGTAGTAAAATTTAATTTATAAATTTGGCACAGTAAGATTTCCAGGTGATGTAGTAATACAAAATAAATAAATTAATTAAATGAAAAAAATCCCCAATGGGATGGTATTTGAAGATGGTGCCTTTGAGAGGTGATTAGGTCATCACCATCAACAGGGGCTCATTCTGTTGCCCAGGCTGGAGTGCAGTGGCCTGATCATGAGTCACTGTAGCCTCCAACTCCTGGGCTCAAGCCATCCTCCTGCCTTGGCCTGCACAGTAGCTGGGACTACCCACACCTGCTACCATATCCAGCTAACTGAAAAAAAAAAAATTGAGAACAAGCCTCTTGGATCTCTCATGTTTTTGTGTTTTCCTCCTTGCTTGCTCTTGCTCAAAGCTTGCATCCTGCCAAGGCATTTTTTTCTCCTTCTGGAGCCATATGCAGGCTGCTTATACAGAGGCATCAGTGACCAGTGTCACAATGTTGTTGACACTGGCCCTGACACCACTGTCCCAGCATATCACTGCTGATGTCCCCAGCCCCAAGCCCACTCCCCTCGATACTGCTGGTGCTACCATTGGCACCAACACAATGTCTCTAGTCTGCCATGGTGGCAGCCTATGTATTTCTACCAGCATATTTTTTTGAGACTGAGTCTTGCTCTGTTGCCCAGGCTGGAGTGCAATGGTGCAATCTTGACTCCCTACAACCTCCACCTCCTGATCTACCAACAATCTTCATGGCTGTAGAGATTATAGAAAATGGGCCCTGTTTCTTCATTTTTTTTAATTAAAATTTTTTTTTGAGACAGGGGCTTGTTCTGTGTCCCAGGCTAGAGTTCAATGGCCTGAGCATGAATCACTGCAGCCTTCAACTCCTGGGTTCAAGCCATCCTCCTGCCTTGGCCTCCTAAGTAGCTGGGACTACAGACACATGCTACCGTATCTAGCTAACTAAAAGTATATATTTTTTTAGAGACAGGGTCTCGCTCTGTTGCTCAGGCTGCTGTTGAACTCCTGGGTTCAAGTGATCCTCCCTCCTTGGCCTCCTAAAGTGTTGGGATTACAGGCATGAGCCACCGCACCTGGCCTGTTGCTTGCTTTGTTTTATCATCTCTTCATCCTGGTTCCCAATTACAGGCACTGAGGTGCAGAGTGAGGAGCAAACGCTGTGCTGTCCTTGGAGCTACTCTATCCATAAACAATGGTCATTCTTGGGCCGATCTTGGGCATCTCCAAACTCTACATGTTTCCCCTCTGCCATGACTGTATGTTTGTCCCTCCCTACTGCTAAAATTATATATTGAAACTCTAGTCCCCAATGGGTATTTGAAGATGGTATTTGAAGATGGGGCCTTTGAGAGGTGATTACATCATGAGGGTGGACCCTTTATGATGGGAATAAAGCTCTTCTAAGACAAGATAGGAGAGAGCTTGTTTTTCCTCTCTCTCTCCATGTGAGCAAGTCAGAAAGACGCCTCTCACCAGAATCTGACAATGCTAGCACGCTGATCTTGGACTTTCAGCCTCCAGAACTGTGAGAAATAACTATTTATTGTTTAAGCCACCCAGTCTATGGCATCCTTGTTACAGCAGCCCCAGCTGATGAGGACAGCCTGTATCAGTTCAAATCTCTAGACAAACAGAAGAAAAGAAAGAGTTAGACATGGCCAGGTGTGGTGGCTCACCCCTGTAATCCCAGCACTTTGGGAGGCTGAGGTGGGAGCATCACTTGAGCCCACAAGTTCATGACCAGCCTGGGCAACATAGAGATCCCATATCTACAAAAAATTAAAAACTTAGCTGGGTGTGTTGACGTGCACCTGTAGTCTCAGTTACTCAGGAGGCTGAGGTGGAAGGATCTCTCGAGCACAGGAGTTGAAGGCTGCAAGTGAGCTATGACTGCATCACTGCATTCTAGCCTGGGCAACAGAGGCAGATCTTCTCCAAAATAATAAATAAATAAAAAGAGTTGGACATGAACAGGATTCGTTGAGGGGAAAAGCCTCCGAAGAATAAAGAGAAGAAGGAGCAGGAGCTGGTGAGGAGCACCTCTGGATTGCTGTGCAGGTCTGACACCTGTGAGTGGAGACGGAAAAGGAGAAGAGCCTGGATGGAAAAAGCCCTGGGCCACAGCACAGCTCTGGAAGAGTCTTGGCTAGGTCTCTGCAGAGTCCCTGAACTAATTATCTTTTATTGTGGTACAAATCACCCTGAAATGCAATGGCTTAAAACAACAAACTTTTCTTATGTTACAGTTTCTGTGGATCAGGAATTCAGAAGACGCTGAGCTGGGTGGCTCTAGTTCCTGTCCTCTCATGAGGTTGCAATGAAGATGTTGGCTGCAGTCATTTGAAGACTTGATTTGGGTGGGAGGAGGTACTTTCAAGGTGGCTCACTCATGTGGCTGGCAAATTGGTACTGGCTATTGACAGGAGGCTTCATTTCCTTGCCATAGAGACATCCCCAAAGAGCTGCCTGAGTGTCCTCAAGGCATGGTAGATAGCTTCCACCAGAGTGAGTGATCCAAGAGCATGCAAGACAGAAGCTATGGTGTTTATTATCATGTAGCTTCTAAAGACTGACAGCATAAGTTCTGTAGATCCTACTGAATTCTACAGAGTTGCATGGGTTTGCCTATCATGGGACCCATGGTTGCATGGGTCAACCTATCATGGGAGTGGCCTACATGGGGTGTGAATACCACGAGGCAAGGATCATTAGGGTTATCTTGGGGGCTGACTGCCACACTCCACAAGCAAAAATGGACTGCTGGAGGAGCCCCACCGTGAACAGAAGTAGCTTGGCTTGGTTGTCTTGCTCTGCTTAGCCACTGTGAAGAAAACATGGCCTCCACGTAAGTCTTGCATTAGATTGATGGAGGATCTGAAGGGACAGCCTCTGGCCATCAACTATTGTGAGCAGAACCCTTCACAATAGGTTCTATTGAAGGAAGATCTAAGCTGCTCAGCTCCCTGGCTTCTACATGCCCCCATTCCTTTATGTAAATAAACCCTGAGAATATCCAGTCCACAAGCCCCCAACTTTCCAAGCTTCCCTAAGTCCTAGAATAAGCACATCTTCAGGTTGAGCTGAGAACATTGTCATATTAAGACAAGGAAACTGAAGCACAGAGAGAGATGATATACCCAAGGTCCCCCCGAAGATGACAGAAGCAGGAATAACATGAAGGTTTTAAAATTCCAAGCCTGATACTCTTTTGTTTTATGCCATGAAGTCCCCATAAATCCAGCCTTCTGTGCAAAGGACCGGCTTGCTAGGACACTCCAGACTGCTAAATACGCCATTATCTATGATGTACATTCCTATTTTTACTGTTGTGGCTGCTACGGCAACAGATTTGATTTCCTAATTATGTTTTTCTTTGGCTAATGTAAAAATTAATTTCCATTCCCTGAACAGCCATCAACTACTGGTAAGAGGAGATCACTCAGGAGATTGAGCGGTAAACCCATTGGATACCAGTGTTATCTAAAAGTGAGGGCAAGAAGCTGCCATCTGTTACCTGCTCATTCTGTGCCATACTCCGTGCAAGGTAACTTCTTTCTCCCAAGGATGTGAAGCGAATTTCAATGTTTTAATTTAATTTAATTTAATTTAATTTAATTTTTGAGATGGAGTCTGGCTTTGTTGCCCAGGCTGGAGTGCTCTTGGCTCACTGCAACCTCCGCCTCCCGGGTTCAAGCGATTCTCCTGTTTCAGCCTCTTGAGTAGCTGGGTTACAGATGCCCACCACCACGCCTAGTTAATTTTTGTATTTTTAGTAGAGATGGGGTTTCACCGTGCTGGCCAGACTGGTCTCGAACTCCTGACCTCAGGTGATCCGCCTGCCTCAGCCTCCCAATCCATGTTCCCATTTTAGAGTTTAGAATATGGAGATGACAGAGGTGAAGCAACTTGCTCAGAATTATATGTGATGTAAGTGGCAGGACAGAATGTAAGCACATCTGCCTGACTCCAAGTTTCATCATTTTTTTCCTATATGAGATTGTTTCCAAGTCTAACACAGTAGCCCTCTGTATCCTGGGAGGATTTGTCCCAGAAACCCCTGCAGATACTAATATCTGCAGATGCACAAGTCTCTTTTATAAAATGACTTGGTTGGCCCGGTGTGGTGGCTCACGACTGTAATCCTAGCATTTTGGGAGGCTGGGGTGGGCAGATTACTTGAGGTTACAAGTTCAAGACCAGCCTGGCCAACATGCCGAAACTCCATCTCTACTAAAAATACAAAAATTAGCCTGGCGTGGTGGTGGATGCCTGTAATCCCAGCTATATGGGAGGCTGAGTCAGGAGAATCACTTGAACCCATGAGGTGGAGTTTGCAGTGAGCCGAGATCACATCACTGCACTCCAGCCTGGAGGACAGAGTAAGACTCTGCTCTCAATATACATAAATAAATGAATGAATAAATAATTAAATAATAAAATGGCTTAATACAGTCAGTCCTGCTGTATCTATAGGTTTTGATCCCCAGTTGGTTCAATCCTTAGATACAAGAGGCACGGATACAGAGGGCCGACTGTTGAAACTAAGAAAGCAAGCCACCTGCTTGGTCAGAGGGGACTTTATTCAGTAGTTTATGTTGGAGTTACTGATGTTCAGAGTCTACTTCTCAGCCTTGGTTCTGCTGCCTAACAGTTGTGGGTCACAAAGAAGTAGGTGAGTCTCAGGGGAGCTGATTCACATTAATTAAACTCACAAGAGACTGATGTATATGCCTAAATGACAGTCTATTCTCTTGCAAGAGAGTGAGCAAAATGTTCATGTTTATCCTCCAGATGAGCCTCTTCCCATAAGCCTGATAAGTTGAATGACTAAGCAGAACGCTGCTTAGCAAATGTAAAATCAGAACCAAAGTCTCTGGGAGGCAGCTTTGAAGAATCTTACAGCTCACAGATGACCCTTTCTTGAAGTCCTCTCTTATGTGATAGGGAAATTTCAATGTCTCTTTACACACACACACACACACACACTCATGTCAATGTCTCATTGCTTTGTTTCACCGGACTTTTTTTGATACCTTCCCAATATAGAAATGTTTTTTCTTCAAATATTTTATTACCATTGATTAGGCAACAACTTTATTTGCTATGCAACTGTGTCCAGAATTGGTGGGTTCTTGGTCTCACTGACTTCAAGAATGAAGCCGTGAACTCTGGCGGTGAGTGTTACAGCTATTAAGGTGGCATGTCTGGAGTCTGTCCCTTCTGATTTTCAGATGTGTTCGGAGTTTCTTCCTTCTGGTGGGTTCGTGGTCTCGCTGGCTCAGGAGTGAAGCTGCAGAGTTTCGCGGTGAGTGTTACAGCTCTCAAGGTAGCGCGTCTGGAGTTGTTCGTTCCTCCCGCTAGGCTCGTGGTCTTGCTGGGCTCAGGAGTGAAGCTGCATATCTTCACGGTGAGTGTTACAGCTCAGAAAAGCAGCGTGGACCCAAAGAGTGAGCAGTAGCAAGATTTATTGCAAAGAGTGAAAGAGCAAAGCTTCCACAGTGTTGAAGGGGACCCCAGCGGGTTGCCAATGCTGGCTCGGGCAGCCTGCTTTTATTCTCTTATCTGGCCCCACCCACATCATCTGATTGGTAGAGCCCAGTGGCCTGTTTTGTCAGGGCGCTGATTGGTGCGTTTACAATCCCTGAGCTAGATACAAAGGTTCTCCACAGTCCCCATCAGATTAGTTACATACAGAGTTTCCACACACAGGTTCTCCAAGGCCCCACCAGAGTAGCTAGATACAGAGTATGGACTGGTGCACTCGCAAACCTTGAGCTAAACACAGGGTGCTGATTGGTGTATTTACAAACCTTGAGCTAGATACAGAGTGCCGATTGGTGTATTTACAATCCCTGAGCTAGACATAAAGACTCTCCACGTCCTCACCAGAGCAGCTAGATACAGAGTGTCGATTGGTGCACTCACAAACCTTGAGCTAAACACAGGGTGCTGATTGGTGTATTTACAAACCTTGAGCTAGATACAGAGTGCCGATTGGTGTATTTACAATCCCTGAGCTAGATATAAAGACTCTCCACGTCCCCACCAGACTCAGGAGCCCAGCTGGCTTCACCTAGTGGATCCCACAACGGGGCTGCAGGTGGAGCTGCCTGCCAGTCCTGCACCGTTCGCTCGCATACCTCAGCCCTTGGGTGGTCGATGGGACTGGGCGCCGTGGAGCAGGGGGTGGTGCTCGTCGGGGAGGCTCGGGCAGCACAGGAGCCCATGGAGTGGGTGGGAGGCTCAGACATGGCTGGCTGCAGGTCCCGAGCCCTGCCCCGTGGGAAGGCAGCTAAGGCCCGGCGAGAAATCAAGCACAGCGCTGGTGGGCCAGCACTGTTGGGGGACTCAGTACACCCTCCGCAGCCACTGGCCCGGGTGCTAAGTCCCCCATTGCCTGGGGCCAGCAGGGCTGGCCGGCTGCTCCGAGTGCGGGGCCGGCCAAGCCCACGCCCACCCAGAACTCCAGCTAGCCCGCAAGCGCCGCAGGCAGCCCCGGTTCCCGCTCACGCCTCTCCCTCCACACCTCCCTGCAAGCTGAGGGAGTGGGCTCCAGCCTTGGCCAGCCCAGAAAAGGGCTCCCACAGTGCAGTGGGGGGGCTGAAGGGCTCCTGAAATACCACCAAAGTGGGAGCCCAGGCAGGGGAGGTGCCGAGAGCAAGTGAGGGGTCTGAGGACTGCCAGCATGCTGTCACCTCTCACAACCATATTAATTTCAGGATGCGTTCTTACTATTTTGGCTTGGAAACTCTCTGTCTTCTAATATTGCATCTACAAGATGCATCAATCTAGTTCCTACAAGGCCTCACTCTTTTCCAGAGTCATGAACATTTCCTGAACCCCCACACCTCCCAGATAATGGGATGCAATCTGTTTTAAATCACAGCTGATTGAACCAGGCATGGGTCCCTAACTTATCCAATCTTTTTTTTCATTGTTGAGACAGAGTCTTGCTCTGTCGCCCAGGCTGGAGTGCAATGGCACGATCTTCGCCTCCCGGGTTCAAGCTATTCTCCTGCCTCAGCCTCCTGAGTAGCTGGGATTACAGGTACGTGCCACCATGCCTGGCTAATTTTTGTGTTTTTAGTAGATACAGGGTTTCACCATGTTGGTCAGGCTGGTCTCCAACTCCTGACTTTGTGGTCTGCCCGACTCGGCATTCCAAAGTGCTGGGATTACAGGCATGAGCCACCGTGCCCGGCCAATTTATCCAATCTTTGCATGATGGGTAGGCAAAGAAGAGGTAGACCAGATTCTTTCTCTAAAGAATTAGACATGAGAAATAGAGGGAGAACCATTGTTAGTAGGGAAAACTGAATGACGGGAGGTCAGGAGGTAAAAGGATGTGCCCTATGTGAGTCTCCTAGAATTGCCACAACAACGTACCACAGATGGAGTAGCTTAAACTACAGGAACTTATTGTCTCACTGGTCTG
The DNA here is from genome assembly GCF_000001405.40 of Homo sapiens. NCBI lineage: Eukaryota > Metazoa > Chordata > Mammalia > Primates > Hominidae > Homo > Homo sapiens. Next base: position 68,091,713 of record NC_000007.14, read on the forward strand.
GAGCTAGAAGTCTGAAATCAAGGTGTTAGCAGGGTTGGTTCCTTTTGAGGGCTGAATCTGATCCATGCTTCTCTCCTGGCTTCTGGCAGCCTCAGGTGTCCCCTAGCTTATAGATGCCTTCACCTTGTGTCTTCACAGCACTCCCCCTCTATGTGTGTCTGTTTCTGTGTTCAAATTTCCCCCTTTTCTAACGACACCAGACATATTTGTCCATCTACCCTAATGACCTCATTTTAACTTGATTGAGTCTGTCATGACTCTATTTCCAAAGAAAGTCACACTCTGGATTGGGCATGGTGGCCCACACCTGTCATTCCAGCACATTGGGAGGTTGAAGCAAGAGGCTTACTTGAGCCCAGAAGTTTGAGACCAGCCTGGGCAACAGAGCAAGACCCCATCTCTATAAAAATTAAAAAAAATTATCCGGGCATGACTGCATGCGCCTGTAGTTCCAGCTACTCAGGAGGCTGAGGTGGGAGGATCCCTTGAGCTGAGGAATTTGAGGGTGCAGTGAACTGTGATCACACCACTGCACACCAACCCAGGAAACACTGCAAGACCCTGACTTTAAAAACAAGCAAAAGAAAAGAAATACAAATAAGGTCATGTTCTGTGGTACTGGGGGTTAGGAATTCTACATATATTTTTGGGAGAAGGCAATGCAGTTTATAACATCTCCTCCCCGTTGGACCAAACTCATAAAGTTCAGGAAGGGGCCAAGGAAAGTCACTGTGGGGCCATGGGCTTCAGTGAGGAGCCCCACCATGTCCTCAGCATTGGGCCTACCTTTTGGCCGACTTCCCCACCCAAGGCAGCCTCAGGATTACGGCCATGAGAACAGCTGTGAGAGAGGCCCTAGCAAGGCCATCAATGAGGGGATAATTAGGTATAATAGAAAGAGGAGGTGCCCCACAGTGAGCCACTACAACACTCTTATAATAACCTCCTTTCTTTCTTTTTTGAATTTAATTTTACTTTAAGTTTCTGGGATATATGTACAGAACATGTAGATTTGTTATATAGGCATACATGTGCCATGGTGGTTTGCTGCACCTGTCAACCTGTCATCTAGGTTTTAAGCCCCACATGCATTATTTGTCCTAATGCTCTCCCTCCCCTCAACAGGCCCCAGTGTGTGATGTTCCCCTCCCTGTGTCCATGTGTTTTCATTGTTCAGCTCCCACTTATGAGTGAGAACATGCGGTGTTTGGTTTTCTGTTCCTGTGTTAGTTTGCTGCGAATGATGGTTTCCAACTTCATCCATGTCCCTCCAAAGGAGAGGAACTCATTCTTTTTTATAGCTGCATAGTATTCCATGGTGTATATGTACCATATTTTCTTTATCCAGTCTATCATTGATGGGCACTTGGGTTGGTTCAAAGTCTTTGCTATTGTAAATAGTGCTGCAATAAACTTAGTGTGCATGAGTCTTTATAGTAGAATGATTTATAATCCTTTGGGTATATACCCAATAATGGGATTGCTGGGTCAAATGGTATTTCTGATTCTAGATCCTTGAGGAATCACCACACTGCCTAACCTCCTTTCTTTCTTAAGGTGACTAGTGATGATGTGTCCTGTACAATTAAGAAATCCAAGTATGACAGCGACCTACCTCCCAGACCTGGGATTACTGTAGCAACACTACTAGTGATCAAATACATTGTCCAAGCAGGTAGTCTAGTAATAGAAATTCCAAGCAACCAGTTAGATTTCTCTTCCAATCTACCCGCTGCCATGAGTTAATTGCATGACCCTGAGCTCCAATCCCTTCATTTGTCAAACGACGGGCTCTTCCCAGCTATAAAATTCTGTGATTTTATCATAATTGATCAATTAAGCCCAAATAGTCCCTCCAACAGACAGCCTCAAAGATGCACTTTAGAAAACTCATTGAGTGGGTAAATCGTGTGCCCTTAAGTGAGAGTTTATTATCTAACTCTCTGGGAAGCAGACCAGAATTTTCCTCCCAAATGTGAGATTTACTTTAAGCTTAAGTTATTTTTAAAAGGTAGACAAAACCCATGATATCATCCCTCTATTAATTTGTAGATGTGAAAAGAGACTCCTACCAGTTCTGAGCCTTAGATAAATACACAAGAATAATAATAACCTTCGAAGGAAGGTATTGAACGTTAGACAGTTACCAAAGGCAAACGTTATTTGTTCCATGGGAACTCCTCGACTGGGTCTTTTGATTCTGTGTGTAAGCTGCTAGAGCAGGCAATTACTGTTCTTTTTCTATTCTGGGCCTTAAAATACCTTAGAATTCTTTCTATTGTGGTCCAACGGTTAGGAGGAAGCCTCCAGCCCCAGTGTGGGAAAGATTCCATGTAACAGTTCTTAAATGAAAACCCCAGGCATGTGGCAGGTGGGCAGAGGCTAGGAGAAGAAGGCTCTTCATTCATTCAGTCTGCCCACCATCACCATGTTCCCACTGAGCCATGGCGCCTGGGGTCCATAGACCTCCCCTTGGGGCTCTCAGAGTCAATAGGAGGGACACACAGTTAAGCAAATTATTTCAATGCAGTATAATGGTTTCTGTAAAATACACATTCAATAACAAGGGAATGATTGAGTACATTATAGTCGATCTATAGAATGGAGGATTATGCATCAATTAAACGCCGTGTTTTGGAAGAATATTTAATATGGCTTGCTTTTTTTTCACTGACTTTGCTGTTAAGTCAAAGGCAAAGAAAAAGGCAGGCTACAAAGTTCTATACAGTATGGCTGGGTGCAGTGGCTCAAGCCTATAATCCCAGCACTTTGGGAGGCCGAGGCAAGTGGATCATCTGAGGTCAGGAGTTTGAGATCAGCCTGGCCAAAATGGTGAAACCCCATCTCTACTTAAAATACAAAAATTTAGCCGAGTATGGTGGTGTTTGCCTATAATCCCAGCTACTTGGGAGGCTGAGGCAGGAGAATCCAGGAAGTGGAGGGTGCTGTGAACCAAGATTGAACCAATGCACTCCAACCTGGGCAATAGGGTGAGACTCCATCTCAAAAAAAAAAAAAAAAATGCTATGCAGTATGAATCCTACGATATGTAAAATATATTATGTATGCATATATACATATGCATATACACACATAGAACATATACTTCTCTATTGTTTACATATGTGTATAAATACGTGTGTATATATATAATATATATATATATATAGCGAGAAAGAACCACATAAAAGGATAAACATTATATCCTACCATATAAAGAATAAACATTTATCCACATAAAAGGATGAACATAGTAGCAAGTAGTTATTGAACTCTTAATACATTCCTTAATATACTCGGGATACTCTCCTACTCTCTTTATATTCTATATGCCATTTAAGTGCTAAATTTATTTTACACAAAATTATATATGCAAAAGTGTAGCTCTAACATGTGTACAATGTAAACAACAAAAATAAATAGGGCCAGGCATAGTGGCTCACATCTGTAATCCCAGCACTTTGGGAGGCCAAAGCAGGAGGATAACTTGAGGTCAGGAGTTCAAGACTGGCTTGGGCAACATAGGGAGATACCGTCTTTACCAAAAAAAAAAAAAAGTTAGCAGGGCAGGCGCCATGGCTCAGGCCTGTAATCCCAGCACTTTGGGAGGCTGAGGCGGGGGGACCACCTGAGGTCAGGAGTTCAAGACCAGCCTAGCCAACATGGCGAAACCCCATCTCTACTAAAAATACAAAAATTAGCCAGGTGTGGTGGCGCATGCTTGTAATCTCAGCTACTTAGGAGGCTGAGGCCGGAGAATGGCTTGAAGTTGGGAGGCAGAGGTTGCAGTGAGCCAAGATTGCACCACTGTACCACAGCCTGGGTGATGAGAGTGAAAAAAAAAATTAGCCAGGCATGGTGACAAACTAACATGGGAACAGAAAACCAAACACCGCATGTTCTCACTTATAAGTGGGAGTTGAACTATGAGAACACATGGACACAGGGAGGGGAACATCACACACCGGGGCCTGTCCGGTGGTGGGGAGCAAGGGGAGGGAGAGCATTAGGACAAATACCTAATGCATCCACTTTTATTATTTAAATATATTCATTTTTATAGTGTTGCTCATAATCCCAGTATCTACAGTCTTTGTAGATCTGATTCTATACTTTGTTGTTTCTGTTGGCTCTTGCTCCTAGTGACTTGTTTTCTCCAGAGATGTGTTTGTTTATTCCAGGGTCCAAGGAAATATACCTGTGTGAGTTTGCTTTAACCTAACATTTTTGGTTGAAGTTTTCCAGGACACGTATGTGGTATGAATTCTGGCCCAACTCCTCATTATATATTTGTCATTAGGGATTCTCAGAGACTATTTTCTTTGTTCAGTCACACAACTCAGACCTAAGAAAAAGATGGACAATTTTTCCCACACTTATCTCTATAGAACAGGATTTTCATTTAATGTATTCACCGAGGGTTTCATCCCTCTAGGGCCCTATCTCTATGAGAAGGCTTCTGACCTGTCATTCAGTCATGTTGGTATTCCATACTTTGTTTACATTTTTGTGTGTATGTTTCACTAACACCCTTGACAGACAAACATTCATCCTCAGGGAAAAAGTCAGTTTCAAAAACTGTGTATTGTTCTTGTATCTTTCTTTCTTTCTTTCTTTTCTTTCTTTCTTTTCTCTTTCTTTCTTTCTTGCTTGCTTTCTTGCTTTCTTTTCTTTCTTTCTTTCTTTCTTCTTTCTTTCTTTTTATTTATTTTTTGTTTTTGAGATGGAGTCTTGCTCTGTCGCCCAGGCTGGAGTGCAGTAGCATGATCTTGGCTCACTGCAACCTCCACCTCCCAGGTTCAAGCAATTCTCCTGCCTCAGCCTCCCGAGTAGTTGGGAATACAGGTGCCTGCCACCATGCCTGGCTAATTTTTGTATCTTTAGTAGAGACAGGGTTTCACCATGTTTGCCAGACTGGTCTCAAACTCCAGACCTCGTGATCCACCCACCTCGGCCTCCCAAAGTGCTGGGTTTACAAGGGTGAGCTACTGTACTTGGCCATCATTCTTTATTATTGTTTTTCATTTTCAACTTGTATTTAAGCTCAGCATACTTAAAATATGCTTTAAATATGTTGTTCAGCATTTTTAGGTGTTCTGTATTAGGAGATGTGTGTGTGTGTGTGTGTGTGTGTGTGTACTTGGTCTGATATATAGCTTTAAGTAAAAGTTTGCCCACAGTTTTTTTCTAAATTTACTATAAAATAATGCTAATAAGCACAGCAAATATCAGCAGTGGTTTAATTTTGAAAGTACTAATGAGTTATTTTTTCTTTATTTTCATTTATATTTTCAGAAATTTAAAGAGGATCGTTTGTTATTTTTATGAAAGAAACATTATGGCAAGGAATTACATGGTGTAAAGGCAGCAAAACAGGAAGTTAACAATAAAGGAATGAGATGAGAGAATTCTTCAAAAAGGAGGGAACTGTTGAGCTGATTGTAAAATTCTTACCTGAATTCTGTTAAATATACAATTAAATTTCTAATAAATTATACCTCAAAGAAGTATACATTAAATTTTTTGTTAAAGGTAATTTGAAGTGTACTTCCATTACTTGTACTGAATATAACCTTGACTAAATCTGACTTCATAGAATTTTTGCAAAATTTATTTGAGATAATAATTGAAAAATGCTAGCTTAGATGAAATACAGAGTTTTGAAATTTTTAGTAGCATTATATTATAGCAATAAGACTTAAGTAATGAAATGAAAAAGCTGCTGGTTATTAAGTTGCTGATTGTATCAGAGTCAAATGGCGTACACTTTTGTTTGAAATTCAGGTGCAGACTTGCAATATAAGAGAGTACACTTTCCTATATTCCAGTAAACAGTATCCTAATCGCCATCAATAGCATTTGTCAGGCACATGATTCGGGTGTCAGCATTGTGCTAAGAGAGGCAAAGGTTATATAAGGAAGTATTTACCCTTGAATTTCAAATAATTGTTATGGGGATATGAAAATATAGACAATCCCACTATGGGCTCAGAATTTATTTTTTCCCCATATTTATTTCCTTCCCCACAACACTTTCTCAGCCTATCCAGTATGCCTTGACGTTACTCCGATTATCCTGATGCATACACCACATGAAATATTATCTCATCTGTAGGCTCATTTATCTCACTAACAGCAGTTATACTAATTTTTTTTTTTTTTGAGATGGAGTCTAGCTGGAGGTCAGTGGCGAGATCTCAGCTCACTGCAAGCTCCACCTCCTGAGTTCACACCATTCTCCCGCCTCAGCCTCCCCAGTAGCTGAGACTACAGGTGCATGCCACCGTGCCCGGCTAATTTTGTTTTTGTATTTTTAGTAGAGACGGGGCTTCAACGTGTTAGCCAGGATGGTCTCGATCTCCTGACCTCGTGATCCGCCCGCCTCGGCCTCCCAAAGTGACTAATACTTTTTATAATCTGAGAAGCCTTTGCTTCAAAACGAAAAGTTCTAACAATTGAACAAACATCTACTAATTTAGAGTGACTTTACGGCTGTCCACCTCCTTACCACACATTCAAAGAGCCAACCTACATGAAAACCTAAACGAAAAAGGAAAGAATGGAACCTCCAGAAACTGGTTTCAAGCCAATCCCATAACCTCTATGACCTTCTCAGTAAGATATTAGTAAAATCATTACACATACAAAATAGAAACAATTAAGTAAAAAACAGAGTTGGCCGGGCACGGTGACTCACGCCTGTAATCCCAGCACTTTGGGAGGCTGAGGCGGGTGGATCACGAGGTCAGGAGATCGAGACCATCCTGGCTAACACCGTGAAACCCCGTCTCTACTAAAAAATACAAAAAATTAGCCAGGCGTGGTGGTGGGCACCTGTAGTTCCAGCTACTCGGGAGGCTGAGGCAGGAGAATGGCGTGAACCTGGGAGGCGGAGCTTGCAGTGAGCCAAGATCCCGCCACTGCACTCCAGCCTGGGCGACAGAGCGAGACTCCGTCTCAAAAAAACAAAACAAAACAAAACAGAGTTGAGCTATATAATCTTTAAATATCTTGTAACTCAAAGTCTATGACTCCAGCCCAAGAAGCTCTGGATATAAGAACGTTCACCTTTATGTCAGGTGACATTCTTTGTTGCCATGGTAGTAGAGGTATAAGAGCCTGTTTTATAAGTTTCTATATAATTCCCAGTGATGTGTCATATGAAAAGTAGGTGCTGATACAAAAAATAAAAATAAACAACAACAAACCTCAAATCGTTGAGAGAAGAAATACAGAGTTATTACATTTAGCTGATAATTCATGTCATATTTAATTTTTACTGCAGCTTTTTCTTCTCGATGGATCCAAATTAGGTTAAGGAGTTAAATGGATATTTTCTGAGAATCCACTATCCCAGCCTGCTGCGTGATTATTTTTTCATTGTATTCATCACCTTCTGATACGCTGTGTATGTTTCCTTGTTTATTCTCTCTCTCCCCTGTTAGAATCCTAGCTCTATATGGCAGAGATTGTTGCCTGGTGTTTTCAACATTGTACCCTCCTTCCCTAGATCTGTGCCTGACACACATCAAGCACTTAATGATTATTTGTTGAAGGAATGAATTATTCTGCTATTTAAGAATAAGAGAGGGGACAGGCACGGCGACTCATGCCTCTAATCCCAGCACTTTGGGAGGCCGAGGCAGGTGGATAACCTGCGGTCAGGAGTTCGAGACCAGCCTGGCCAACATGGCTAAACCCAGTCTCTACTAAAAGTACAAAAATTACCTGGACGTGGCGGTGGGTGCCTATAATCCCAGCTACTCATGAAACTGAGGCAGGAAAATCACTTGAATCCTGGAGGCGGAGGTTGCGGTGAGCTGAGATCGCACCACTGCACTCTAGCCTGGGCAACAGAGTGAGACTCCATCTCAAACAAACAAACAAACAAAAGAATGAAAGAGAAAGCAGTCTCAGGGCTAATATGGCTAATATGGCTAGGAAGCAGACATCAAAGAGTTTAAAGTATCCTGTAGCAGTAATTCTCAAACTTCATCATCTGTAAGGCTTGTTAAACCACAGGTTGCAGAGTTTTAGTCTCAGCATTCCTGATCTAGAGGGGAGTGAGCAGGGCATAAAAATTTACATTCTAGGGCCAGGCACGGTGGCTTATGCCTATAATCCCAGCACTGTGGGAGGCTGAGGCAGGAGGATTACTTGAGGTCAGGAGTTTGAGACCAGCCTAGCCAACATGGCGAAACCCCGTCTCTACTTAAAATATGAAAAATAATAATAATAATAATTAGCTGGGTGTGGTAGCACGTGCCTGTAATCCCAGCTACTCAGGAGGCTGAGGCACGAGAATTACTTGAACCTGAGAGGCGGAGGTTGCAATGAGCCAAGATCGCACCACTGCACTCAAACCTGGGTAACAGAGCAAGACTCTGTCTTAAAAAAAAAAAAATGGAATTTCCATTTTAACAGGTTCCCCAGTGATGCTGATGTTGATATTCCTGGTTCTGGGGCTGCACTTTGAGAACCTCTGCTCTTTTTTGTTTGTTTGTTTTGTTTTGTTTTTTAAAGGATGCCCTTTTGTATAAATGCGTCTCTACCCTCACCCCTATAATCCCAGCACCACATCCAGAGTGAGCTTATCTAGAACTAATTACCTATTGCAATTTGAAAACAAAGATCACTACTATCAGTTCAATTAAATTAATCACATATTATTATTATTGCATGAAGGAGAGAGTAAGGAAGAGAAAAGAGTCCAGGACATAATTTTGGAGATGGGGTAATAGAGCCCATGGAAGTCAAGAGACTTGTTCAAGGTCCACAGCTCACGGCCAATAGAGAGTCTGCCAAATTTTCACTATATAAAATTGGCACGAAATGTGCCAAATCTACATTTAGAATGTTCATTTCTGATTGCCATAGAGAAGATAGAACTAAATTCCAAGGAGAAATGATACTTAAGAGATCTAAACGCTAAAGGAACGTGTCTCTTTTTAAATTTTTATTTTTCTGAAAGCAAGATATACTACTGCGCAATGGAGGAAAAAAAATTAGAAATGATAAAAGTATTTATGATAATGGGAGAGAAACCCATTAAGAATTTTATTAGATAAGAATGACAAAATTAACTTTCCCTGTTTTCATTTTAGAATCACTGAACATTTGTGTTTCCATAATAAAAATAGCAATGAAAAGAAAATTGGACACAGAGCATTACCCTTTTCCCTCTGCGGGATGGAGAAGGATGATTTCATATCCCTGGAAAGATGAGGAAGGCCTGCCACGGGTTTAATTAAAGCAGAAAAAGAGCAAGGCTTAAGGTAGCATCCTGCACCTGAGTTCTCCATGTTGCATAGTAGTTATACATACGCTTGGGTTCTGCATTTGGACTATGTGATTTTTGAAAATTGCCTCTGCCACTTACAATACTTTGGACCAGGTACTTAATATTTCCATCCTTCAGACAATCCATTTTTTTTTTGAGAGAGGGTCTTGCTCTGTTGCCCAGGTTGAAGTGTCGTGGTGCAATTATATCTCACTGCAGCCTCAAACTCTCAGGCTCAAGTGATCCTCCCACTTCAGCTTCCCAAGTAGCTGGGACTACAGTTGCACACCACCATACCCAGCTAAGTAAAAAAAAAATTATTTTGTAGGGACAGGGTCTTACTATATTGCCCAGGCTGGTCTGAAACTCCTGGGATCAAGTGATTCTCCAGCCTTGGCCTCCCAAATTCCTGGGATTACAAGTGTGAGCCACCACGCTCTGCCAATATAATCCATTCTTTAGAAGATGGTGAGGAATTATTCAATGTTAGCTGAGTTTATCTGTCCTTGGCATAAAATGGCAAGAATTCAACCACATCGTGGGAAAGTGATCCACCCATTTGAAAAGATTCTGTTCAATAATGTATCTATTTAGTCTCTCACTATAAATTCTGTGCTGGGCACTCTGCGTTGATCTCATTTTGTGACATGAAATAGACATGACTCAGCCACCTGCCGCAGTCTTTGTAGCTGTTGCCATGGGGAGGGGACCCTGCCGATTGGGCAGAAACTATAGTTTTGAAAGAATGCTGGAAGTAATGTGTTTAATGAAAAAACAAATGAAAACAAATGAACAGCAAGTTTAAGAAGAGAAATACAAAGAAGGAAAAGATGGCCTGTGAAAGAAAAGAAAATTAAAAATAACCTTTTTCCTTTTACCTTTTTTTTTTTTTTTTTTTGAGACTGAGTCTTGCTCTGTCACCCAGGCTAGAGTGCAGTGGCACAATCGCTGCTCGCTGCAACCTCCGCCTCCCTGGTTCAAGTGATTCTTCTGCCTCAGTTTCCTGAGTAGCTGGGATTACAGGTGCCCACCACCATGCCCGGCTAATTTTTGTATTTTTAGTAGAGACGGGGTTTCACCATATTGGCCAGGCTGGTCTCGAATTCCGGACCTCATGATTCGCCCCTTGGCTTCACAAAGTGCTGGGATTACAGGCGTGAGCCACCAGGCTTAGCCGAAAATAACCTCTTGTTTTACACTTGATCTTAGCCAAAAGGCCAAGAAGTGATATAACCTCTTTTTTTAAAAGTAAAACTAAGAATATTTCAATAATTTAATTTGCACAGAGTTGGTCCTAGGTGAGCCTAAGAGGAAACTGGGTGCATGGGGCCTCTTCCTCTTCCCCTTTCCTCTAAACTTATTATAGTTGATATGCAGGGGCAGTTGTTAGTTACTGGTTCACTTGTTTGGCTAAAGACAAAGAGACGTGTTCTGAGCGTGTCTTCCTGGAGGGATACTGTTGGAAGTGCAGGATTGGAGACCCTAAGTGTGTTGGCTCCTTAGTCTGGCCCCAGAGAAAAAGTGGATGCAAAAGAGGGATGGAAGTTATGGTAAAAATCTAGATAACCAATAGATATGACACTTTATGAGATTTAAGAGACAAACAGCAATATTAGGTTGGTGCAAAAGTAATTTTGGGTGGGGTGCGGTGGCTCACACCTGTAATCCCAGCACTTTGGGAGGCTGAAGCGGGTGGATCTCCTGAGGTCAGGACTTAGAGACCAGCCTGGCCAATATGGTGAAACCCCACCTCTACTAATAATACAAAACTTAGCCGGGTATGGTGGTGGATGCCTGTAATCCCAGCTACTCGGGAGGCTGAGGCAGGAGAATCTCTTGCACCCGGGAAGGGGAGGTTGCAGTGAGCCAAGATGGCGCCATTGCATTCCAGCCTGGGTGACAGAGCGAGACTCCATCTCAAAAACAACAACATAAAAAGTAAAGTAATTGCGGTTTTAGCAAAAACCGAAATTACTTTTGCACCAACTCATACTTTGGGTGCCAGGTTTCACAATACGACGTGCCTCTGGGGGAGAGATGTTCCTCTTCTACTCTGCCACAGGCCATGGAGAACACCGGCACCTGGGCTGAAGAGGTGCCTGCACCCCGCCGAGGAGCAGGAGGAACTCTTGCACATAGCAGGGCACTTTATGTTTACATTTATTATTTTAGAAAAGTATTCATTGGTAACATGTTTACTCCAATTCAGGACTGCTTTTGTGTCCATTTTTAGTTTATTCTTCTGTAGTTGTTCCCACAAAGGAGTACAGCATTTTTTTTTTTTCTGAAATGAAAAAAAAAGTGTGGCTCCACATTTTCTATATCAGCAATTCAAGAACATGAATTAAACAACAGTTGAACTCTTGCAACCTTGGAGGAGAGTACAAGAGAAGAAAGAAAGTAAAAGAGAGAGAGAGAAAGAAAGAAGGAAGAAAGAGAGAAAGAAAGAAAGAAAAAGGAAGGAAGGAAGGGAAAGAAGAGAAAGAAAGAAGGAAGGAAAGAGGGAAGGAAGGAAGGCGGGAGGGAGGAAGGAGGGAAAGGAGGAAGAAGGAAAGAAGGAGAAAGACATAAAGAGAAAGAAAAAAGGAAGAAAGAAAGAAAAAGAAAGGAAGGAAGGAAGAGAGAGACAGAGAGGGAAAGAAAGAAAAGGAAGGAAGGGAGAGAGAAAGAAAGAGAGAGAAAGAAAGAAAGACAACTAATATTAAGGATGAGTTATTTGCCTCCAGAATCTTTCAGAATGAACTTCCAGCTTTTAGACAATGGAGGGGTGGCCTGCCCCTCCACACCTGTGGGTATTTCTAGTCGGGTGGGACAAGAGACTGAGAAAAGAAATAAGACACAGAGACAAAGTAGAGAGAAACAACAGTGGGCCCAGGGGACAGGCACTCAACACACCAAGGACCTGCACCAGCACCAGTCTCTGAGTTTCCTCAGTTTTTATTGATTATTATTTTCATTATTTTAGCAAAAAGGAATGTAGTAGGAGAGCAGGGTGATAATAAGGAGAAGGTCAGCAAAAAACGTGAGCAAAAGAATCTGTGTCATAATGAAGTTCAAGGGAAGATACTATGCCTGGACGTGCACGTAGGCCAGATTTATGTTTCTCTCCACCCAGACATCTCAGTGGAGTAAAGAATAACAAAGCAGCGTTGCTGCAAACATGTCTTGGCTCCCACCACAGGGTGGTTTTTCTCCTATCTCAGAATTGAACAAATGTACAATCGGGTTTTATACCAAGACATTCAGTTCCCAGGGGCAGGCAGGAGACAGTGGCCTTCCTCTATCTCAGCTGCAAGAGGCCTTCCTCTTTTACTAATCCACCTCAGTACAGACCCTTTACGGGTGTCAGGCTGGGGGATGGTCAGGTCTTTCTCATCCCACGAGGCCATATTTCAGGGTATCATATGGGGACAAACCTTGGACAATACCCCGCTTTCAAGGGCAGAGGTCCCTGTGGCTTTCCACAGTGCATTGTGCCCCTGGTTTATTGAGACTAGAGAATGGCGATGACTTTTACCAAGTATACTGCTTGTAAACGTTTTGTTAACAAGGCACTCCTGCACAGCCCTAGGTCCCTTAAACCTTGATTTTATACAACGCATGTTTTTGTGAGCTCCAGGTTGGGTCAAAGTGGCTGGGGCAAAGCTACAAATTAACAACATCTCAGCAAAGCAATTGTTTAAAGTACAGGTCTTTTTCAAAATGGAGTCTCTTATGTCTTTCCTTTCTACATAGACATAGTAACAGTCTGATCTCTCTTTCTTTTCCCTACAGACAACCATTCTGTTTCATTTGGGACAGTTTCTTAAGACTTCTTTTCAAAAATTTCTAATTGGACTATAGTAATAACTAGAATCTTGAGCACTTAACTATGAACGAGACACTATTCTGAGTCCCTTCATCTATTTAATCCTATGAGTGGCATGTTGTTTTTAATTCCATTTTATAGGTGAGAAAAGTGGGATTAGAATGACCAAATAATTTGTCCAGTGTCTCAAGCTACAGAGAATAGAACCCGGATTTGAATGAGAATGTTGGGTACACAGCGCCTTATTTTAAACTTCTAGGAATGTAATATCACTCTTCCCTGCTCAAACACATTCAGTTGCTTCCCATACTTATGCTTTCTTCTATCTAAAATCCTTAGCTGAGTATTATTATTACTATAATTATTATTTGAAACGGCATCTTACTTTGTCGCCCAGGCTGGAGTGCAGTGGTGCGATCTCCACTCATTGCAGCCTCCACCTCCTGGATTCAAGCAATTCTGCTGCCTCAGTCTCCTGAGTAGCTGGGATTACAGGTGCTCGCTACCACACCTGGCTAATTTTTGTATTTTTAGTAGAGACGGGGTTTTACCATGTTGGCCAGCCTGGTCTCGAACTCCTGACCTCAAGTGATCCACCCGCCTTGCCCTCCCAACGTGCTGAGATTACAGGCGTGAGCCACCACACCCAGCCCTTTAACTGATTATCTAAATCAGAGTTTCTAACCTGTCTTCTGTCTAACTCAGCACAGCCTGCCCAGCTCCCTCTCCCAAGAAGAATCTAGAAAATCTATGGTGGGGAAACGTCAGGATGGGGAAAAAAGCCATAAGAAATTGCTGGAAAGCAGAGGGCTGTTTTCAGCCGAGATCAACTGTGTGTGTGAGAAGGGGAAGGATTGAGAGCTGCTCTTGAGGCCGGTGCAGAGTGTCCTGAAACTAAGAATTGAAGTTCTGGTCTTGCTTCTCTCTTCTCTTCAATCTGGGCAGCAGGTGTCCTCCAGGAGAACGTCAGGCAGGATTGAGCGAGGAAAGCCTCAGGACACCATGGATGCAGGCTTGACAAATGCAAGGAGGACCCCACCACCAACATGGGCCATAGAGGAATCCCCACTGGGCAGCAATGGCCAGGTCAAAGCACCCCTGCTGTGCTCAGCTTTTTGTCTGGAGATTGCACTAGAAGAGTTTGGCTCAACTTAAATTATTCATGAATTAGAATTTTATTGTAATAATTTATTTTTTATCTTTCCATCTATCAATTTATGTCAGTACATATTCAGATACTTACTTTATTCTATAGATTAGAATACATCATTAGTATTATTGATATTATTATTTTTTTGCTCAAATTGCCCCAGATTTGCTCATTAGGAGCTTCTTCAAGTTGTCTTCTGTGCTTTTTTTTACCCCATGGTGATGGGGAGAAATTTTTGTATTTTTTAGTAGAGACAGGGTTTCACCATGTTGGCCAGCCTGGTCTCGAACTCCTGACCTCAAGTGATCCACCTGCCTCAGCCTCCCAAAGTGCTGAGATTACAGACGTGAGCCACTGTGCGCGGCCTTAATCAGCAATTTTTATTTTATTTATTTTACATTTTTTTTTTTTAAGAGACAGGGTCTCATTCTGTTGCCCAGGCTTGAGTGCAGTGGCACAATCATAGGCTCATGCAATCTCCAACTCCCGGGCTCAAGTGATCCTCCCATCTCACTCTCCGGAGTAGCTGGGGCTACAGATGCGTGCCACCATGCTTGGCTAGTTTTTAAAATTTTCAAAGAGAGAGAGTCTCCCTATGTTTCCCAGGCTGCTCCTCAACTCCTGGCTTCAAGCAATCCTCCTGCCTCGGCCTCCTGAAGTGCTGGGATTACAGGCATGAGCCACTGCGCCCAGTCTTCTGTGTTTCGTTGATGTGCCGTCACATTCTATATTTTCTTGAACATCTCCTTATTTTCTGGCATCATAAAATGTTCCAAGCTCATATTATTACTTTTCTTGCCCCAGTCTTGGAATCAACCATTTTCCCAAGAAGCTCTGTTTTTTGTTTTGTTTTGTTTTTTGACAATGGTACAAAGAAAACAAGATCTGAATGCTAGGTATAGAAAAAACATTTTGAAACATGTGGAAAAATAGAGAAAAAAAAAATCAGATGAGGGCAGTGTGTCCTCTAAGTTTAGCACAGTGTACTCACTAGACACCCAGCAAGTGTTTGATGTTAGTGTGGCTAGACTGGTAACCAAATATAGTCAATGACAAAAATGCTTCATCTCGACAGTATGGGCAGGGTGACCCACTAGCTCTGCTTACCAGGTACTGAGGAGTTTCTTGGGACATGGGACTTTTAGTACGAAAACCAAGAAAGTCCCAGGCAATCAGGGATGAGTTGGTCACCCTAATATGGAATAGGGTCGGTGAGGAAGGGAAGGAATCAATGTTGGCCGCATTCAGCAGAGGAGGCTTCTGGAGGGCGGGAAGCATAGCTTGTGCGGCTCTCTGAGACATGGGGAGTTGCTAAGAATCCCTTTCTCTGCCCCTTAGGCATCTCAGACGCTGTCATTCTCCGTGAGTAGCATTTGCAGCGTGGATCTCATCCACAGCTTCTGACTCTCTGCCCTCTCCTCACTGAGCTGTAAATAATAACTTTGAACCTTTCAACACTGCTCAGATAAGCTGTGATGGGAAACACGGTCTGTGCCAATGGACCACATGTTTCTGCCAACGACAGTCTGTTGGAGCAGGAGGTGGGAAGTCCAGATGTACAATTACTACTGGGCTTCCAGCAGCATCCCATCCGGGGTTTACAGAAGCGCAACTAAATCAACAAAGGTTTTGTTTCAAGCGTCGCCGGTCACAGCTGCTGTGGCGTCTCAGTTTTTCCTATCAAATATTTTCCAAAAGGGCTGAGTGTGAGGCCGAAGGATCAGAGGAAGAAAGGTTTAGAGATGAATGCATCTTAGGCTTGAGCAGAAACTCAGTCAAACATCTTGTTAAATCCCCTGCCTTTGTGGACAACTATATTATTGCCCCATTCTGCAGATTCAGTAACTGAGGCTGCAGAATCATTAATGGTTATGCCCAAACTGCAGCGTGATAGGTGCTAGAGAAGAGACGAGAGAACCCTTTCCTCTAAGAATAGTGCTCATTTTCCCACACTAATGCTTCCTCAATTATGTTCCTAAAATCCACATAATGTGCATAATGAGAAAGTCCTCATTAAAAAAAAAATGTTTACTGAATCTAGATTTCCCCATCTTATTTGCACATGAAGCTCTTTCTTCACCAGATTCCTATTATGAGACCACAGAGAGCTGAGTCTAAGAAAGTCGTCACAGGTGAGGAATTTGAGGTTTTTTAAAAAAAAGAAGTGAAAAATCATGGACATGGTAGAAGTACTAAAATACTATAACCACTAATGAGGGAATTGTTGGGGTTGATAACTCTGTAGGACTGATACAACATAAAGGCATTTTGGTTGGCTGAGCTATGGTTTACTTTAGACCACAAAATACTGCCCCCTTCTTTCAGTGTGGCTGTTTCAGCGGTATTTGTTTCAATCCTATTTTTCAGCCAGTAGATGAAGGACAGCAGTCATATAAAGGCTTCCATTAAGAGATTTCAGACTTGGCGCAGTGTAATCCCAGCACTTTGGGAGGCCAAGGTGGGTGGATTGCTTGATCTCAGAAGTTCGAGACCAGACTGGGCAACATGGTGAAACCCTGTCTCTAAATAGAAAAAAAAGCAAAATTTAACCAAGCATAGTTTTGTGTGCCTGTAGTCCCTGCTACTCAGGAGGCTGAGGTGAGAGGGTAGCTTGAGTCTGGGAGGTTGAGGCTGCAGTGAGCCATCATCACGTCACTGCACTCCAGCCTGGGCAACATAGCAAGACCCCGTCTCAAAAAAAGAGATTTTTAGAGACTCTGAGCATAAACACTGCTACTTTGGGGTTCAGGTGACTCCAAAGTGTTTGACACAGAGTCATTAAGAGAGTCAATCTCCCCATCTTGACACAGTCTTTAGTGCAGGGCTGGCCCTCTGAGAATTTGTAGTTTTGGAAGCATTAGGAGATAGCACCTCTGACAAATACATTGACATTTTTGTATAAGAAACTCCTGCCTGTCAGTGATAAAAAGAGAGCAACCCCATTTTTTTTAAATGGAGAGTTGCTGTGAGAAGGATATTTGTAGAATGGGAAGCCACCAAGTTTTTGACCATAAGATGAGAGCCCAAGGTTATTGGTAATTAGAAATAAGACAAATGCTCATGCCTATAATCCCAGCACTTTGGGAGGCTGAGGTGGGCGAATCAAGAGGTCAGGAGTTCGAGACCAGCCTGACCAACATGGTGAAACCCCATCTCTACTAAAAATACAAAAATTAGCAGGGCGTAGTAGCACATACCTGTAATTCCAGCTACTCGGGAGTCTGAGACAGAAGAATTGCTTGAACCTGGGAGGCGGAGGATGCAGTGAGCTGAGATCACTTCACTGCACTCCAGCCTGGGCAACACAGCGACACAGTAAGACTCAGTCTCAAAAAAAATAAAAATTAAAATTAAAATTAAAAAAAAGACAAATGCAAATTCAAACCACAGTGAGCTACTTCTTCGTGCTTACTGAACTAGGTGACTATTAGAGAGCTGGTGGGGACATGGGGCTATGGGAGACCACATGCTCCGCTGGTGGGAGGGTGGACTGGTACGACCATTGTGGTATTACTCATACAAATTATATATATGCATACACGTGACTCAGCAATTCCTTGCCTGGTATCTATCTCAGGGTCCATAATGTGACTTGTACGAGGAAGTTTTTTGCATTATGGTTTATGGTGAGGAAGTTGGAGGCAACGTGGGAATTCATTACTAGAAGTGTAGAGGTAGGGATAGGCAGGGGTCATATAGTTTGGATGCTTGTCCCCTCCAAATCTCCTGCTGAAGTATGATCACCAATGTTAGAGGTGGGGCCTGGTGGGAGGTGATGGAATCATGTATTAGTCCATTCTCACACTGCTGTAAAGATACTACCCGAGACTAGGTAATTTATAAATAAAAGAGGTTTAATTGACTAACAGTTCAGCATGGCTGGGGAGGCCTCAGGAAACTTACAATCATGGCAGAAGAGGAATCAGGCTCCCTCTTCACAAGGTGGCAGGAGAGAGTGTGAGCATAGGAAAAACTTGCCAAACACTTATAAAACCATCAGATCTCATGAGAACTCACTATCATGAGAACAGCATGGGGAAAACCACCCCCATGATCCTATCACCTCCCACCAGGTCTCTTCCTCAACACCTGGCAATTACGATCCGAGATGAGATTTGAGTGGGGACACAAAGCTCACCCATATCAGATCATGAGTATGGATCCCTCATGAATGGCTTAGCACCATCCTTTGGTGATAAGTGAGTTCTTTCTCAGTTAGCTCATGTGAGATCTGGTTGTTTAACAGAGTCTGGAACCTCCCTCTTCTCCCTCTCTTGCTCTCTCTCTTGCCACGTGTTATGCCAGATCCCTCTATATCTTCTGCCATGTTTAGAAGCTTCTTGATGCCTCACCAGGAGCAGATACTCGTGCCATGGTTCCTGTACAGCCCACAGAACCGTGAGCCAAACAAATGTCTTTTCTTTATAAAGTATCCAGCTCCAGGTATTTCTTCATAACAACGCAAGAACAGACTAACACAAGGGGTGATATTCAGCTGATAGGCAAGATACAGCCACATCTTGTGCCTGATGCCACAATTTAATATTAAATTCTGAATTTCAGGAGCCTCTGGGACCTAGCTCCAGCCCAGCATTGAGGCAACCTCCTCATTAGGACATGCCTGTGTTGTTCAAGGGTTAAGTATTTTGTACCTGTGTGGAGAGGTCAGCCACATGGTATAAATTTATACCATGGGCTACTAGGCAGTCGTTAAAAGCAATGGCTGTAGATACAAGCTTATATCTTAAAAAACTAGCTCTTATGCAAGTAAATTATTCTAGATCAGTGGCATTTACAGAAATTAAAAATTGCATGCACACAAAGCTAAAATGTGCATTTTGTAAGAATACATTCAAAAGGTGAGACGCGCAAACGATACATTAAAATGATTGCTTAGGGAAGAAAAGAGAACTGGGGTGAATAATGGCAATTAAATGGAGTGAGTGAGTGAATGAATGAATGAATGAATGAATAAAAACAAGATGGGCCATGCACAAGTCCAGAGGGCATACATGAAGTAAGGAGTATGGCCAACTCAATTATCTTCCTCTAGAGTTCAAAGTGAGAAAGTATTAGCTAAAACACACCACCACGAGCCAGGCACTGTTGAAAGCACTTTGCATATATTAACTCATTTGATCCTGACAACATTCCCAAACCTGTCCAGGTCCTATTTGCCTTTGGATGCAGTCTTGGCCATTTTCCTCTCTCTGCTGTATCCTAGCAGTGTTAACGTTGTTCCAGTGGCTTCCAGAGCAGCCAACATTGACCAACCAGAGCCGCAGAAGAAAAAGGTGGGAGAGTGGTCCTGCAGTTGGTTGGTAAGCCATCTAAAGGCGTGCACTGGGGACTGTGTTAATTTCATAGTGCTGCCCCCAGATATACCACTGATTTAGTGGCTTAAATCAATGCGAATGCATTATTGACAATTCTGTAGGTCAGAAAATTGAAATTGGTTCCACTGTGCTAGAATCAAGGTGTCAAGGGGACCATATTCCTCTTTCTGGAGGCAGTAGGGTGGCGGTCCCCAACTGCTTTGGCACCAGGGACCGAATTTGTGGAAGACAGTTTTTTCATGGACCACCAGCAGTTGGTGGGGGTGGTAGTTTCTGGATGATTCAAACACATTACATTATTGTGCACTTTATTTCTCTTATTCTATTATTACACTTTATTTCTATTGTTACATTGTAATATATAGTGAAATAATTATACAACTCTTCATGATGTAGAGTCAGTGGGAGCCCTGAGCTTGTTTTCCTGCAACTAGATGGTCCCATCTGGGGCTGATGGGAGACAGTGACAGATTATCAGGCATTAGATTCTCATAAGGAGCATGCAACCCAGATCCCTTGCATGCGCAGTTCAAAATAGGGCTCACATTCCTGTGAGAATCTAATGCCACTGCTGATCTGACAGGAGGTGGAGCTCTGGAAGGAATGTGAGTGAAGGGGTTCAATTGTAAATCCAGATGAAGCTTCACTTGCTCGCCCTCCACTCACTTCCTGCTGTGCCATCCAGTCCTAAGAGGCCATGGCCTGAGGGTTGAGGACCCCTGCCCTGGGGGATAGTCTATTTCCTTGCCCTTTTCAGCTTCTAGAGGCTGCTCACATCACTTTTCTCAGTTCATACCCCTTTCTCTGTTTTCAAATCCAGCAACATTGCATCTCTCTGACAATTCTCCCATAATCACAGCTCCCTCTCTGACTCTTTTTTTTTTTCAGACGGGGTCTTGCTCTCTTGCCCAAGCTGGAGTGCAGTGATGCTATCATAGCTCCCTGCAGCCTCAACCCCCTGTGCTCAAGTGATCCTCCTTTTTCAGCCTCCCAAGTAGCTGGGAACTACAGGCATGCACCATGATGCCCAGCTAATTTTTAAATTTTTCTTTTGTAGAGATGGAGTCTTGCTATGTTGCCCAGGCTGCTATCAAACTCTTAGGCTGAAGCAATCCTCCTGCCTCAGCTTCCCAAAGTTCTGGGATTATAAGCATGAGCCACTGTGCCCAGCCTCCCTCTCTGACTCTGACCTCAGCTGGAAAAGTTTCTTTTAAGGACTCATGTGATTAGGTTGAGCACACCTAGATAATCTGATATGATACCCTCATCTCAAAGTCCTTAACCTTAATCACATCTGCAAAGTCATTTTGTCCATGTAAGATAACATATTCACACGTTCTGGGGATTAGGAACATCTTTAGGGGGCCATTATTCTGCCCACCAAAGAAATGAACTGAAATATTTTGGGGTGAAATGATGCCAAAGGAGAAAGATGGAGTTCTTCCTGGGCTGGGTAGAAAAGAAGGGAATTTGCTGATGACATTGGTGTCCACGTGACCTCATGTTTAATTTAAACATTGATGAAGTCTGCCAACATTTGAGTTACACTTAGAATAGAGTCATTTGCAAAAGATCAAAAAAGATCCTGGAAAAAGAATAAGAGAATCAAAGGGGTTGAGGGAAGCAGTTTCCAGACTCAGATTAACCGCAGAGTGGGGAGGGTAGAGGTGGAGGGTGTGGTGTGGGAGGGTTGAAGGGGGCAGTGTGAGGGTGGGGAGGAGTTGCAGGCTCCCCAGATGTACTGTGAAATGTGAAAATGAATGGGTGAAGAGAAGAAAAAAGCTGAAAAGTATACATTTCCTTGTCTTTCATAAAATAAAGCTAAGATAGGTTGGGCACAGTGGTTCATGCCTGTAATCCCAGCACTCTGGGAGACCGAAGCGGGTGGATCACCTGAGGTCAGGAGTTTGAGACCAGCTTGGCCAACATGGTGAAACCCCATCTCTACTAAAAATACAAAAAATTAGCCAGGTGTGCTGGCAGGCACCTGTAATCACAGCCACTCAGGAGGCTGAGGCAGGAGAATCACCTGAACCCGGGAGGAGGAGGCTGCAGTGAGCCAAGATGGCGCCATTGCACTCCAGCCTGGGCAACAAGAGCGAAACTCCATCTCAAAAACAAAAACAAAAGCAAAACAAAACAAAAGACCAGAAAGCTAAGATAACTAAGCTCTCCAATAAAAATAGCAAAACCAGCTATTTTTTATTAGAGAGCTTAGTTATGGAGAGAGAATTTTGGTGTTAATGTTTTAAGGGAATTCCTAGCAGAATCAAAACTGCACGTTTGTCTTCCAAATGAGTGACAAAAATGAAAACAAGTAGAGCATTGCCCAGACATCAGAAGGCCAAATAGAAGATTCAATAGCAGAATATTAAAATACAGCATGAAATAGACTGACAGAGGCTGGATCTGTCAGTCCTCTGTCAGTCTATTAGTGTAAGGAGGCACTTACACTAATGATTTGTACCTAATGGTGTAAATTCCACTGCCAAGAAATGAAGACTCTCACACTACAGGACTGTATTTGTTTAATGAATTGCTGCTTGTGAGACATCTCGCTAAAGCTAAATGACCTCAACAGTCTGAAAGCAAAGTTGAGAAAGGCAATATTAATTTAAACAGAAAAGGTGAATTCTAGTATAGAAAATAGTAAAATAACATCTAAGGCAAAACTATTGACCATGACAAACAGGAAAATTACTTATGATAAAAATCTATAATCAATAATATAATTTTGAGATTATCAAAGTTTTATTCTTTGAATCAATATAATAAATAAAATACAACCCATGGGAAACACAATTCATAACTAGAGAATATACATATATATTTTTTTGAGACAGAGTCTCGCTCTGTCGACCAGGCTGCAGGGCAGTGACATGATCTTGGCTCACTGCAACCTCTGCCTCCCCAGTTCAAACGATTCTCCTACCTCAGCTCCCAAGTAGCTGGGATTACATGCACCTACCACCACGCCTGGCTAATATTTGTATTTTTAGTAGAAACAGGACTTCACCAGCTTCACCATTTTGGCCAAACTGTCTTGAACTCCTGACCTCAAGTTATCCACCCACCTCGGACTCCCAAAGTGCTGAGATTACGGGTGAGAGCCACCTCACTCAGCCTAGAGGATGATTTTGATTGTTATATGTTAATGACAAATTAAGGATCCAAAAATTAAATATGGATATAAATTATATAAACAATGAAAGTAAATTAGATGGAATGAATAGAATAAGGTTTTTTTACTTCATTGAAAATATACCGTCTTTTCTTTTGTTTATGATTATTTATACAAATGGTTATATGATACACACTAAAAAGCACAAAGATTCAAAAAAAGCATTCAATCAATATAGAATTTTGACAAACGTTTTATTAAATAACAATTGTCTCAAAACTCAAGGTTAAAACCACAGATTATTCAGAAAATAAGAAAACTTCTTTTTATTTTAAAACACTATAGAAACAGGCCTGGTGTGGTGTGGTGGCTCACACCTGTAATCCCGGCGCTTTAGGAGGTCGAGGCAGGTGGATCACCTGAGGTCAGGAGTTTGAGACCAACCTGGCCAACATGGCAAAACCCCGTCTCTACTAAAAATACAAAAATTAGCTGGGCGTGGCGGCACATGTCTGTAGTCCCAGCTAATTGAGAGGCTGAGGCAGGAGAATTGCTTGAACCTGGGAAGTGGATATTGCAGTGAGCCGAGATCGTATCACTGCACTCCAGCCTGGACAATGGAGTATGACTCTGTCTCAGAACACACACACACACACACACACACACACACACACACACACACACACACAAATAAAACAAACCCTGCCACCAAAACCACTGTAGAAACATATATTCAGTCATGTGCCACATAATGACATTTGGATCAATGATGAATTGTTTCTATGAGCCTGAGCAAAAGAGTGAGACTCCATCTCAAAAAATAAATAAATAAAACGCCAACAATTTCAAAAAATGAAACTAAATACTTGAAATTAGAAAAAAGGAGGTGTAACAATAGAAAATAATAATGCACTTATAACGCATGATTACAGATGCAATTATGAGATGTACATAATTACATTCTATTAATAATGAAACATCTTAATGAGATATATTATTTTTACATAACATAAATTGACAATGGCAAATTGATATAAGATCAAATAAGAATCTGAAATATACTAGGGGATGAAACAACTGAGAAATATTTAATGTGGGCGTTTTCTGCTCCCTGTCTTTACAAAAAGACAGAAAGCTATAAAATTTATCCTATGGGCCGGGCGCGGTGGCACATGCCTGTAATCCCAGCACTTTGGGATGCTGAGGCGGGCAGATCACCTGAGGTCAAGAGTTCAAGACCAGCCTGGCCAACATAGTGAAACCCTGTCTCTACTAAAAATACAAAAAATTAGCTGGGTGTGGTGGCCGGCGCCTGTAATCCCAGCTACTCGGGAGGCTGAGGCAGGAGAATCGTTTGAACGCGGGAGGTGGAGGTTGCAGTGAGCCAAGATCGTGCCATTGCACTCCAGCCTGGGCAACAAGAGTGAAACTCCATTAAAAAAAAATTATCCTATAAGGTAGATGTTTCTGTTCCCAATATCTAACCAAAATAACCAAAAGTATTTTAGAATAATCTCACTTGTGAATACAAAACTATGTGATTAATAACAATGTCAATAAGTAGAATGTAATGATACATTAAAATAATAAGATAAAAGCACAAAGGGTTTATCTTAAGTATAGAAGTGACCAATATTAAGAAAAACATTAATATATTACTATAGCTTATATTACCATCTCTGAAAAATGAGTCTATAAATCAATAAATGAGTAGATATTAAAGGGTGTTTTGTCAATTCAATCCATTATTATTTTAAGGTCTTAGAAAGACATATAGGAATAAGAGAACACTTCCTTAATATTATCAAGAATATATTATAAGCTATTAAGAATAATTGACACCATGCTCCAAGGAGACGTAAGCCCTCTAAGGATTTCTCTTCAAACAAAGCACCTAAGAAAAATACCTTGCCTGCCTTTTTAGTTAATTCACTTTTGAAAGTTATGAGAACCAGTTTTGTGTATCTTGGCTATCAGGGAGGTTAGGGTCTCAGCTTTTATCTGAAAGAACTCTAAGTATCTGATATAATTTGAAAGTATGTCCCCTTGAAATCTCATGTCAAAATATGATCCCCAGTGTTAGAGGCGTGTGGGTCATGGGGCGGATCCCTCATGAATGGCTTGGTGCCTGCCCCAGAGTAATGAGTGAGTTCCTGCTCTGTTAGTTCACTGAAGAGCTGGTTGTTTAGAGGAGCCTGGCACCTCCTCTTCCTCTCTTGCTTCCTCTCTCTCCATGTGATACACTGGCTCCCCATTCACCTTCTGCCATGACTGGAAGCTTCCTGAGGTTCTCACCAGAAGCAGATGCTGGCACCATGCTTCTTGTACGGCCTGCAGAATCATGAGCCAAATAAACCTCTTTTCTCTCTAAATTACCCAGTCTCAGGTATTCCTTTATAGCAATTCAAAATGGACTAACACAGTAACCTCGAGGCACAACTCTCTTCCTGCTGCCAGGTGGGGCACTGCTTGCTTTCCCACCAGGTACTGCTTTGGAAACACAGCACAATGAAAAGCAGAGAGCTCACCTTGATTTCTTAGGGGTGATCTAGTCTTAACCCCTCATTTTGCACATGAGAACACTGAACTTCAGAAAGGAAAAGTGAGTTACATAAGAGCAAACACCTACTGGCAGAGCTAAGGATAAAAAATCACAATTTACAGAACACCCGCCACTCACTCCTCAAACAGCCTTAGGGAAAAAATGCACTGCCTGTTACATTCTGTTATTTTGTTTTTTGTTTGTTTGTTTTTTGAGACAGAGTCTCGCTCTGTCACCCAGGCTTGAGTGCAGTGGCATGATCTTGGCCCAGTACAACCTCCAGTTCCTGGTTTCAAGCAAGTCTCCTGCCTCAGCTTCCCGAGTAACTGGGATAGCAGGTGCCCACCACCACGCCTGGCCAATTTTTGTATTTTTAGTAGAGATGGGTTTTCACCATGTTAGTCAGGCTGGTCTCGAACTCCTGACCTCAAGTGATCCATCCCCTCCTCGGCCTCCCAAAGTG
This sequence comes from Homo sapiens, assembly GCF_000001405.40. Classification (NCBI taxonomy): domain Eukaryota; kingdom Metazoa; phylum Chordata; class Mammalia; order Primates; family Hominidae; genus Homo; species Homo sapiens. The sequence goes on from NC_000007.14 coordinate 68,117,413, forward strand.
CTGGGGTTACAGGCCCTATGACGTTCTTGCAGGTGAGAAGAGTGAGACTTGGAGGCATTCAATAACTGTCCTAAGATAAAACAGTAAGAAGAAGCAGAGCAGACAGAGCACCCAGGATGTTTGTTATTTTTATTTTTCATAACATTTCATAAAATAATGTTATAATGCTTATCTCTCTCTCTCTCTCTCTCTCTCTCTCTCTTTTCTGAGACAGACTCTTGCTGTCACCCAGGCTGGAATGTAGAGGCACAGTCATAGCTCACTGTAGCCTTGACCTCCCCTGCTCAAGGTATCCTCCCACCTCAGACTTATGAGAAGCTGGGACTACAAGTGCGCACCACCACACCTGGCTAATTTTTTTTTTTTTTAATTTTGCAGAGATGGTGGTCTCGATATGTTGGTTGGCTGATCTCGAACGGGGTTGAAGCAATTCTCCTGCCTCGGCCTCCCAAAGTCTTGGGATTACAGGTGTGAGCCACCATACCCAGTCTTGTACCTCTTTTAAATATTTGTTCACTATTTATTCAATGAGGTCAGGATCAGCATATCACCAACCATGTCAAGGGCAAATCACCAAAGCAGAAGTCCAGAGCAGAGACCACATTTCTGATTTAGTATGACAGGTTGACCTGCCCTGGGACCCTGTCTCTTAATCTGGTTCAGAGACAGAGTTTTGGATTGGAACTCAAATTTGCTGGTTCCATAGCCTGTGTACTGGGCTATGGCACTCAGACCTCCTGATTCCTGGACAAGTGTACTTTCCTTGTGAACCCCTCTCTGAAAATCGAAAATGAACATGGCACGGTTTTCTCCATCCAGGTCATTCCAGAGGTACTTCTTGTCCACCTACTTTGTGCAGAGTAATAAGCATGGGACCAGGCAGGCAGGGTCTAGCCTCACCTAGAGGATAAGACCAGGCTGAAACATGCAACTGCATTTGCAGGCTGTGGTTTAACATTTGTCTCTGGAAATTCCAGCCAGGTGGGGCTGGTCTTGACTTTTCTGGCAGGAATTTCTTTAGGAAGCTTTCTTTTCTGGTTCCTGATGTTTGGCTTTCTGCAGGAAGGTGCCTGTAAACCTTCTTCCCATGGATTCTGACCTTGCTGCTTGTAATCTGATCTTTGCTTTGCTCTTTCTTGCAGGAAAAAGCTTCCACTGCACAACTGGAAGAAACCACTGCCTTGGGAATTTTCTGTCCTGCAACCCTCAGCTACCCCCTTCTGGAATGCTGCCACCATGACTGCTAGAGACACTTCGTGGAAGCCCACAGGACGTGTCACCTTTTCTCATGGGCTCATTTTGTGGGCCAGGCACAAGCTTCTGTTCATTCCACCTATGGGGTTTGTAGGTCAACTCTCTGCAGCACCTGTTTAATCTCTAGAAGAAATGCTGATAAAACTTGGAAATGTCGTAGCTTAGGTATCTTCATTTTGATTGAAACAAATTTTGCAAAAATTATGACCGTGAGAGAAATATGACATAGAAAAATTACGACAGGGAAAGAAATCTCACCTAACTCATTCCATCTTGCTTCTAACCTCCAAGCTGCTTTTGTTCAATCCTGGACATAGACCAACCTAACCATGGGAGAAATTTAATTTATAGTTTAACTCTGAATCAAGGATGAGTGTCCCTTTCTAAAACAGACCCCCTCCTTGTCCTGATACTGAAACCACCTTTGTAAGACCCAGGAAAGACCACGAAATTGAGATTATAGGAAGGGTCTGAATTCTGCTAAGATGTAGGCATAGTTAAATAATAACCTGCCATTGTTCCATAGCTTGCTTTCTTATAATCCCTAATCACTCAGGATTCATGAAGCCACAGGTCATAAGATTTGTGACTTCCCCAATTGCTCATATAAATAACATCACTACTGTAGAATCTCAGAGGGGCCTTTTGAGATGTTTTCCAGACTTTTGCATTGTGACAACTAACTCCACTTGAACCCATGACTCATGACTCAACCAGTCCTGTGGTCCCCACCCAAAGGCTGACTCAGCAGACGAGGACTGTTTTCCACACCCCTATGATTGTATCTCCAACCAATAAACAGCACCCATTGCTTAGCCTCTCCCGGGCCAAATTATCCATGAAAACCTTAGCTTCCAAGCTTTCAGGGAGACTGATCTGAGTAATAAATTTCTATCTCCTGCTTAGCTGGCTCTGTGTTTATTAAACTCTTTCTCTATTGCAATACTGCTGTCTCGGTAAATTGGCTCTATCTGTGCAGTGGGGGAGAAGAATCCATCAGGCAATTACACGATTACTCCTTAATATTTAATTAACAGCAATAGTCATAAAGCACTATTTCCACACAGTCCTCAGAGGCCCAGTGACATAACCATGACACTCAAGTTCTTCAAAGTGATGCCTTAAACTTTCTGGGCTTTGTTCGCGTCCCAGATATGATGGAAATCGTTTCATTGCTTCCCTTTAGGAAGTTAAACTTATTTCTGATTCATGCCCTAACTGCATCCAGTTCTCTCTCCTGTAGTATTTTCTGCTCAAACCAAATGGGGCTTGTTGCATTTTTATCCTCATCCACAGCATGTATTTCTACACTGCCACCCCTTTGTCCAAGCCATTTCTTTTGCCTGAGATGCCATTCTCATGGATGGATCTCTGCCTTCCCACAGTCCACTCATGCTTCAAAATGCCTCTGAAAATAAAGATATCAAAAAGACACCTGCACTTGTATGTTTATCACAACATTATTCACAGTAGCAAAGATGTGGAATCCACCTAAGTGCCCATCAATGGAAGATTGGATTTTAAAAATGTGCTATATAAATACCATGAAATACTACTCAGCCATTAAAAAGAATGAAATGAAATCTTGTCGTTTGTAGCAACACGGATGGAACTGGAGGTCATAATCCTAGGTGAAATAACTCAGGAACGGAAAACCAAATACCTCACAGTCTCACTTGTAAGTGAGAGCTAAACAATGGGTACACGTGGACATACAGAGAGAATAATAGACAGTGGAAACTACGAGAGGTGGGAGGCTGGGAGGGGCTGAGGGCTGAAAAAGTACCTACTGGGTACAATGTTCACTATTCGGGTGATGGGTACATGAAAAGCCCAGACTTCACCACTCCACAATATATTCCCTAAGAAACCTGCACTAGCACTCCCTAAATATATAGAACTACAAAAAAATTTAACCCAAAACAAACAGAAAAGCGCTTCCAAATGACAGATGTTTTATGCTGTGCTATGGAATGTGGGGAACACATTCAAAATTCAGAGATTTTTTATGTCTGCCTCAGCAGGTTCTTTCCGCTGGGCTCCCTCTTGTCTCTGACAAACTAGGATGCATGGAGAGATCACACACACACACACACACACACACACACACACACGCATAAATACATATATACATACTTATAACTACATATATACATATTTATAACTAACATATGCATACATATGTATCACATCTGTCTGTATCTGCTTATCTATCTCTATATCCATCTATAACTATTTATCTACCTCTGTATCCATCTATTTCTATCTATCTGTCTATCTATCCGTTTCTCTCTCTCCATCTATACATATCTATCTATGATCTATGTATCGATCTATTGATCTCTATCTATGTATCTATCCCTATTCATCTATCCATATTCCTATCCATCCATTTTTTCTCTCCATCTATACATATCTATCCATCTCTTCCTCTATACCTGTCTATGTATGTATGTATGTATGTATGTATGTATCTATCTATCTATTCCTATTCATCTGTTTCTCTCTCTCCATCTATACATATCTATCTGTTATCTATCTACCTATCTATTCCTATCCTATTTATCTCTCCATCTATACATATCTATCTACCTATCATCTATCTATTATCTATCTACCATCTATCTATTGTCTATTATCTTTCTATCTATCATCTATCTATCTATCTATCTATCTATCTATCTATCATCTATCTCTCTATCTATGTATCTAATTTATTCTTCACAGTATGGCTTTGTGTCATTTATCTTTTATTGCTTCCAACAACACTCTGGGGTATAAACTAGTGTTATCCTCATTTTCAGAAGCAGAAACTGAGATGCAGAGAGATAAAGCAACTTGTCCATTTTTCCTCTGAGTTTATCCCATTGGAACTTTGGGACCCGATCTCTTATAAATATATTCTCCAGAGCATCTAGCACCATGCTTGCTTATTAAACGAATGAACACAAGTGTTCAAATAATAAGAGAATGTCTCAGGATGCTACAGTCTGATTTGCTTCCAGGCCTACTGCTGGTTGGGTCCGTGCATGTAATGTCAGGGGTGGATAACTTGGCTGCTATGACATATTCCATTTGAGGAATAATTTAGAAGTGTGGCCGCAAGATAAAAATGTCAGTCTGGCTCTGGGTTAACCGGTGTTTCTAATTAAGCCACGATATACAGTGCTCACAGCCAAATACAGTGTGGCTCCGGCGATAACTCAGCAAATAGTGTGTTGTCTTCATTATCTCATTCCCTGACATTTCCCTGATGAGTTTATAAATCCCTGTGGAATCATGGCCTCGATCTCTTTAATGAGGCCTTTAAAAACCGGGGAAAATTGTAGCAGCAGATAAGGTTGGCTCCGCTGTAGACCTTCTTTATAGAGATTTCTCCTCCCCTTAGTGAAGTAAACACCATTTGCTAGACCAAGGAGTTTAATTCCATGTGAATTGTTCAGGGCATATGATTAATTCAAGCAGCAAACAAATATTAAAAGCAGTTTCTGTCTTCCCTGACCTAGTGGGTAACAGAAATGGAAATATTCCTTTGCTCTAGTAAAGAGAAGAGTAGAGGTCAGTGGCTCACGCCTGTAATCTCAGCACTTTGGGAGGCCGAGGCAGGTGGATCACCTGAAGTGAGGTTCAAGACCAGCCTGGCCAACATGGTGAAACCCCATCTCTACTAAAAATGTAAAAATTAGCTGGGCATGGTAGTGGGCACCTGTAATCCCAGCTACTCAGGAGGCTGAGGCAGGAGAATTGCTTGAATCCGGGAGGCAGAAGTTGTAGTGAGCTGAGATGGTGCCACTGCACTCCAGCCTGGGCGACAGAGTGAGACTCTGTATCCAAAAAAAAAAAAAAAAAAAAAAAAAAAAAAAAGGGTAGAGTGGAGAGTCTGGCTTTCATAGTCATGAACCCAAGTAATAACTTTCTAATATTCAATGTTTACTGACCCCCTACTGTGTGCTAAACCATGGGGTAGGTGCTGAGGTTACAGCAATGAGTAGGGAACTTGGAGAAAGCTATGCAGTGGCATGAAAAGTACTGAGAACCATCAATCCATCAATGAGTAGGAGGAATACATAACCCTGATGGGCCAGACATGTGTCTGCAGCACACAACCCTATTTCCAACCCCTTATATGCCCCCGTTGGGATTTCAGGTGCAGAACAGGACCTGGGGCCTTGTTTTCCCCATTTCCTTGCCAGCAGGATTCTGGTTTACATGCTGCTCTGAGAGTCACACATGCAAGATTTGGAAGGAGGAAGAGAAGCAGAAGCCGTTTCCACTCCCCTGCCAGTGACAGGCAGAATCAACGGTTTGGGCAGACGTGCAATTCGGCACTGCAACACCTGTTGGCGGTGCTGCGGGCAGCTGTGATCTTCCCTGTGAGTTCCTGGCCTGAGCGACACTGGTGGTTTCTTGTTTCCTTGAATAGTAGTGCTGTGCCTTAGAGAGAAGAAGTCTTTCCTGACTTTTGCTGCTCTGCCCTTGATACTATTGCTTGGAGAAGACGGGGGCTATTAGTATTAGTGATTCTAATGAATATGAGCGGCTTGTCTTCCCCTCCAACCATCTGCCCAATTCTACTGAGACACCTTAAAGGCAGAAGTAGCTCCTCCACGCCTGAGGAATCCCATCTCTCTTTGCTTAAAGTCTGCAATGATGTTATCTGAGAGAGTCATCTGGCAAAGAACCAACCTCAAGAAGTCTCTCAAGAGCCACCACTGCCACCTCTCATTGTCTCTAGGTGAAACCTCAGTTTTTCCTAGAGAGATGTGTGCAAGGTCTGACCTATTGTTATCAAAATAATAGCAATCATTTGTAATTAGTGTTGTTAGAATTTCAAGGAATATGGATGGGAATAAATTCGAAGAGGTGCAGATCTGAAATCTGGGAATATTTTTCTTTTGGGAGAGGCTCCTAGTAATTCCATTCCTTATAGTTTAAGTTGATTGAAGAGTGTAGCAAATATAGCCATGGCCACGTTTCATGAGGGATCTGATATTTCATGATGTAAAGTTTGTTACCCAACCGGAGAGAAACCAAAGCTGAGGGAACATGGTGTGGATAGTGGAAAAAGGGAGTTCTAAATAACACTTGTGGCCTCACAAACAATTATAAGCAAACAAGCAAAATGGAGCACTGTAAAATATATGCACCTCTTCCTCTTCGCTTTATGTAAATATTTGCTTACAATAATCAATTACCTTTTAAGATTCTTCTCTTCTCTTCCAATTATACATAAGGAATATTGGTGGTGGTTAAACCAAGTGTTTATTTTTTAGGTTAAAGAATTGATATGGTTTGGCTCTGTGTTCCCACCCAAATCTCATCTTCTAGCTCCCATAATTCCCACCTGTTGTGGGCAGGCCCAGTGGGAGATAATTGAATCATGGGGTCTTTCCATGCTGTTCTCGTGATAGTGAACAAATCTCATGAGATCTGATGGTTTTAAAAATGGGAGTGTCCCTGCACAACCTCTCTCTCTCTTTGCCTGCCACCATTCATGTGAGATGTGACTTGCTCCTCCTTGCCTTTGATTGTGAGGCCTCCCCAGCCACGTGGAACTGTGAGTCCAATTAAACCTCTTTCTTCTGTAAATTGCCAAGTCTCCTGTATGTCTTTATCAGCAGCGTGAAAATGGGCTAATACAAGAATACTTAAGAGAGATTGGAACTGAGTAGAAGAACCAACATCTGCCAGAGATGGATACAGTATCTGATGGGACTAGAACCTTTTTCTTTTTGGGTAGAGAGTAAGTACATCTTTGTTTATACAATGTAGAGCTATATTATGTTAAGAGGAAGCATGATATTGCTGCTTTCTTTGAAGTTAAATATGAAGAATATATGCACAGATAAGGAGAAGTCAGAGGGTTGTCTGTGCCAGGTTTTCATCTGTTGGTATTTGGCACCATTCTCGCTTCTCTCTGTGTCTTCCCCACAGTGCAAGGCTCATTCTTTAAGATTTATTTAATCATTGTGTAGAGCGTGGACCATTTTCCATCACAAAGGACCAGTGAATGTGAGAAGCTGCAGAATTTACCTTCACATTAATTCACCATGAATACATAAATAAATAAAAAGATGGATTCTCTGTTGGGTGCTAAGCAATTGGAAAGAAATCCTGTAAATTTTTCTAATCTGTGGTCTTCCCCCCAAATCCAGCACATCTGCTCAAAACCTAGAAAAAAAAACAAAAAAAATTCTGTTTTCTTTTTGCCATATTAGTCTGGTTTGTAAATAATAAAGAATTTTAAAGTGAAAAAAAAAAAGAAAAAGTAAACTTCTTTCACAGGGCTGGAGGAAAGGGAGAATGAAGATTTTCTGGTCAATAACTCAACCTTTCACCATGTTACAAACCAGATTATGGTAATGCCTCTTGCTTTCCCTGTATTTTCCAGTTGATTCCTCATTGTGCTGGATGTTTTTAAAATAACTTTGCATCATCACAAACCCTTCTAGAGTCTTTCCTACACTGCAGGAGAGAGGTCTGGAGATATATTTCTTAGAATCTCCATCTCCATGTGGTTCTAAGTTAGAACTCTCCAAAGACAGGGCAAGCAGAAAAAAAAAGAAAGTAACACAAGCCAAAAAAAGGCAAAAAAGAAAGAGGAGCTTTTAGTAGCAGAAGTAGTAGTAGTAGTAGTATTGATGGCAGGTGCACATAGTCACATGGGCAGACAGCCAATATGAAGTTTGTAGTGCCTCTTGAGAAAGCTCCTGGAAGTTACCGGGCTTGCAATTGTGGGCAGCTGACATTGGTGGTGTTGGCATTCTCTGAGCTTCCCGAGATTTGCTGTGGGTTCCAGATGAGCTCTTGTTAATTACTTCCTTCTCAAAGCTTCCCAAACAGTCATTCTTGCAGCCCTTCCAATAATTATGTAAGCCCTTGATGCCCTCTGTTAAAGGCTTTTTTACTTGGAATACCTAGGGTGGCTTCTGTTTGTTGATGGAATCTTGATTGCAAGACTATAATCATGAGGTGGAGTTTTCATCTAGTGCATATTTAAACAAAGAGCAAAATGTGGAGGAGATACTGATGCAGGTCTATAAGAAATTGGCAGCAAAACAATGTTTTGAGAATTACCAAACACATACTTCATGGGAGGAACCCTATATACTTTTCTCTGAATACGTATATTTAATGAATCACAAGAAATGTTTATTCCAGTTTATGTTGCATGGGAAGTAACAATAAAACTGAAGCTATAGGGCTAAAGCTCTAATTCTTCTTCAGAGTACACTTTTGCTCTTTCCGGTTCAGGAAGATCTCATGTGTCCAACAGTTTACTCATCCAGACTATGCGTCAGCTTCAGAACCTGCATTACACATCTCAGAAAGGATATGGTGTTAGTTGAAGCTCAGCTTGCAGTCTCTAAACATCGAGGTTTTTGCCTTGTTTTGTTTTGTGCCAAAGAGAACTCAGGTGCACAGAATAGATTCATTGTAAGCCTTGGTTCTTGGAGCACTCATTCTTGGTCCATGCATGGTTATTTGTCATTTATTTATTTGTCAATTAGTGTATCTTAATAATGCAATCAGCACTCATGAACCCATTACTCTTAGATCCTGTGAAAACTTTCTCTTCTTCAATGTGCTCTGAAAAATGCTGGCAGAATTTTACATCTTAGCAAAAAGAGCTATGTGATTTTGCAGGTGTCTTTTTAACTTCATCGCTGGATCTATATCTTAGACAGATTCTACATTTTTTTCCCTTTTATGTGAAAACAAGGACTAGACATTTCAAATCCCTTTTGGCAGAAAGAATAATGTCCTCCTAGTAGTCAAAGCTATAAATGGATCAGTCTTGGGCAAAAATATAAATGCTTTGACGTTTCTGTTCTTCACGGTGATTTCTACATGACCAGGGTGGCGTGGCTTGCATTAAAACTTTGGAAACTCTCTTTTTGGATTAATAGCTGGAATGAACCTTTTAAATGTACCTATTCATTTTAATAGTAGATACTCAAAAATATTAAACAAATAAGTAAATACTGTTTAAAGGTTCTTAAGTGGCACATCTGTTAGACTTTAATCAAAGGAAATTATATCAGAAGGCACGACAAAATATAAATGTAAAAAACGTGTAAACAATTATCTCACTACTTGATTGCAAAGTTTCGACTTTTAAAAAGTATAGATTTGAACTGAACTGATAATGAAATATAGAAAACCACATTTAAATATAAACAATTTGCTTACCACTAAATTGAACAGAGAATATATTTATGTACAAATAATAAAACAAAATAAAATTTGGGAATTCAAAACAAGTGAAAATAACAGCAAATGAAATAGTTGAATCAATTGAAATCCAAAGTGAAAAAAAAGTTTTCTGAAGTGATTGTTATGTAACCAAAAAGATATTCTCTTTTTTCTTTTAAAATTATTTTAGAGAATCATCTCTACATGAAAAGATAGTCTCTAAAGTAAATGTAAACCACAAGGCCAATTCTTTAAGATTTATTTAATTATTTCATAGAGAGTTGATCAGTTTTCATCATAGAGGGCTAGTTAATTTGAGAAGCTGCAGAATTTACTTTTATGTGAATTCAACATGAATAAACACATAAGTAAATAAAAAGATGGATTCTCTGTTGGGCACTCAGCAACTGAAAAGAAATCTTTTAAAATTTTCTAATCTGTGGTCTTTCCCCCAAACCCAGGACATCTGCCCAAATCTCCAGGAGTAATAGCTAAGCATTCAACCATGTTTATGATAAAACAGGGATTTCTCTTATGATGGACTAGACCTAATGTAGACATCAAAGGAACCCACTCATGTGCAATTAGCACCACAGATCAAGTCCACTTATGTTTAAGGGATCTTCATTCTCAGCCTCCAAATCTGTGCCTTCTCCAGCCACAGCACATATTCAGAAATTTATAGGTTACAGTTACATCTGTAAGAAAATGTGGAGGTCCCCATGTCTTCTAACCTACTAAGCAATAAGATAATAATTGCAATCACAACAACCTCTGTTGGACAGTGTACTAGTCTGTTCTCATGCTGCTAATAAAGACATACCTGAGACTGGGTAATTTATAAAGGAAAGAGATTTAATGGACTTACAGTTCCACGTGGCTGGGGAGGCCTCACAATCATGGCAAAAGGCAAGGGAGGAGCAAAAGCACGTCTTACTTGACAGCAGGCAAGAGAGAATTTGTGCAGGGAAACTCCCTCTTATAAAACCATCAGCTCTCATGAGACTTATTCACTATCATGAAAACAGCATGAGAAAATCCCACCCTCATGATTCAATTACCTCCCACAGGGTCCTTCCCACAACACATGGGAATTACGGGAGCTACAACTCAAGGTGAGATTTGGGTGGGGACACAGCCAAACCATATCAGACAGTGTCAAATACTTTCATTTATCTCTCATCCTCATGCCTGCAGGGTAAATACTGTTATTTGAATTTCACAGGTAAAAAAAAAAAAACTGAGGAAGAAAAGTGATGTAACTTGCCTGCAGCTGCACAGTAGCTGAGTGATGGAGCCAGCATGTTAACACCAATCTTTCCCTTAAACTCACATTTGCGTGTGTGTGCTACATTACAGCGCCAACCACATGATCTTTCCAGATGCTCCAACCCTCCCAAGGATGGAGAGAAGGCAGCCTGGCAATTTGTTAGCCAACTAAAATTATTAGAAGAATCTGTCCTGTCACTTTCAGTCACTAGTACTACCCTCTGAGGCAAAAGAAAAAATATCTTGTACCTTTTCTCCATGTGACAGATCTTCAAGTATTTAAAGACCCCTCTCTGGTACTCTAGGTTTTCTCCTCTCCAAGTAGGTAGATGTTCCCAAGGAACATGTATCACTCAGAGTTTTGAGGAGAAACAGGATCCATAGGATGTCTATACATGTTCACACTAGAGTCACACTAGAATTCACAGGCTCAAACTAGATCTATTCCATATATATAATATACATATATATATATAGAGAGAGAGAGAGAGAAAGACAGAGAGAGAGAGAGAGAGAGACAGAGAGAGAGAGATTAAGATTTATTTATTTATTTATTTTTTGTCTTTTGAGACGGAGCCTCGCTCTGTCGCCCAGGCTGGAGTGCAGTGGCGCGATCTTGGCTCACTGCAAGCTCCGCCTCCCGGGTTCACGCCATTCTCCTGCCTCAGCCTCTCGAGTAGCTGGGACTACAGGCGCCCGCCACCACGCCCAGCTAATTTTTTGTATTTTTAGTAGAGATGGGGTTTCACTGTGTTAGCCAGGATGGTCTCGATCTCCTGACCTCGTGATCCACCCACCTTGGCCTCCCAAAGTGCTGGGATTACAGGCGTGAGCCACCGTGCCTGGCCAAGATTTATTTTAAGGAATCCACTCACATGATGACTTAGGGAACTGTCAAATTAGTAAGTAAATCTGTAGGGCTGACCGGAAACTCAGGCAGTTATAGCCTTGAGGTAGAATTCTTTCTTCTCTAGAAACCTCAGTTTTTGTTCTTAAGGCCTTCAACTAATTGGAGGAGCCCCTTCCAGATTGTCTCCTTTGCTTGAAGTCAACTGGTTGCAAACATTAATCACATCTACCAAATACCTTCACAGCAACATCTAGGCTAGTGTTGAACCAAACAGCTGGGCATGATAACCTGGATAAGCTGACACTTAAAGTTAACCATCATAGAACAGTTAAATCGGAAAGCCCTGGGGAAGAGAGTCATGTTTTGTTTCTAACAAAGCAATAGCTGAAGGAAGTAAGAGTCAGCTATTAAGAGGGCTGGGAACAGAAATGGAAAGAGAGACCAACCCATTATACTCAACTTGGAAAGATTATCTGCATTCTGACAGCCAAACACATGAGAAGTTTATAAGACCTTTTCCCCTCCGCAGAAGGAAAAATCATTTCACTGACGAGAGCCACAGTGCAATCTCAGGGTCTGTTTCAATGTGTAGGGCAGCCCATTGGGAAACATCTCTTAAAAAGTCGCTAGATTGCATCAATTGTGAGGTTACACACACACAAAGAGATAGAGTTCCAGGCACCTCTTATTCTATTCTTGAGACTCTTTTACCAGCCAGTTACCAATAAAAGTGAGCCAGGTTTCCACAGGCTTCTTCCTAACAGATCCTCTTACCCTGTGCCTAACGTGTTCCTGTTCTCACGCTTCATGCTTGGCATCTTCTTCTGTTTATACTTCTCTTCCTGTCCCTTAAACCTAAATTAGCCTTTAGTGTCTCATATCCCTAACTTTACTCAAACAGCTCTGCGAGAAATTGGGTCAGATTCACACTAGATCTCCTTATCTTCCTCTGTCTCTTCTCTTCATCCTCGTGTGAAATCAGGGGGTTTTACTATGGTTAATCCTCTGGGAATACATTCCTAACTCCAACCCACTCTATATGATAAACCTATCAAGCTCCCCTCATGGAAGTGATCAGACAGTTGAATTTTGTGCTTCTGATGGTATACAGTGCATAGTGTATTAATCTGTTTTCACACTGCTGATAAAGACATACCCAAGACTGGGTAATTCATAAAGAAAAAGAGGTTTATTGGCCGGCGAGGTGGCTCACGCTTGTAATCTCAGCCCTTTGGGAGGCCAAAGTGGGCGGATCATGAGGTCAGGAGATCAAGACCATCCTGGCCAACATGGTGAAACAAATTCTAGTTGTTCATGCTGGAAAACAGAGAAGAAATTGACATTTATGTATTAACTTTGGATACTGCAATCTTTCTATACTCACTTACTAGTTCCAGGAGATTTCTGTGGATTCTTTTGTATTTTCTATATAAGCAATCATATCATCTATGGAGAAAGGTAGTTTTATTTCCTCCTTTCTAATCTGTTCTTGTCTGATTGCACTAACTAGAACTTCCTTTAAATGTTGGTTGATGCAACTTGATATAGATACGTTAACTTATAAAATTCTGTAAGATAACAGCATTGTTCCCATTTTACAGATAAAGAACTTGAGGTTTAAGACATTTAATTGGTTGGGTGCGGTGGATCATGCTTGTAATTCCAGCACTTTGGGAGGCCGAGACAGATGGATCACGTGAGGTCAGGAGTTCAAGACCAGCCTGGCCAACATGGTGAAACCCCATCTCTACTAAAAATACAAAAATTAGCCAGGCATGGTGGCGGGTGCCTGTAATCCCAGCTACTCAGGATGCTGAAGCAGGAGAATCGCTTGAAACCGGGAGGTGGAGGCTGCAGTGAGCCGATATTGCGTCATGCACTCCAGCCTAGGCAACAGAGTAAGACTCTATCTCAAAAATAAAAAATAAAAAAAGACATTTAATTAAGTCAGAAAAAGGATAAAAACCTAGGTGTTCTATCTTTAAGTAGGCAAGCACATAGCATGGTGCACCTGTCTTTGCCACTTGCTATCTGTGAGAGACTGAGCAAGTTGTTTAAACTCTTTTAAGTGTCAGTTTCCTCAAATGTAAAATGGGGATGATGATAACAGGCCCATCTTGTTAAATTAAGTTAAATTAAATGTGTTAAAAATTTTAAGTACCTAGAAAGGTATGTTGCACTACTGTAAAAAAAGAAGAGAAACCAAAAAAGCCCGAAGCTTTTCCTGTTTCAGCATCTGCCTTTGAACCTGTCTTTATCTGAGAGTGAAAGATATTAATAGAATCAATTTCCTGAGTTTATTGTCTGTGAAATACAGACTAAAGAGACAAGCACCAGGTAAGTACTCAACAAATATTGTCTGTAGTTATTAAAATATTTACTAATGTGGGTGTTCTCCCATATTTCACTATTACAGATATCCCTAAAATGAGCATTTTTACACACATATTTTTGCATGAGAATGATTTTTCTGCAGACTGAAATCTGAGAAGTGGGATTGCTCGGTCCAGGATATGGATGTTGTAAATTTCAATAGATGTCACACAATTTCCCTTTAAGAATTGACTACTTTAAATCCCTCACAATGTTTTTATCACAACTCCACCAAGTTTTTTTGTTGTTCCTGTTGTTTTAGACTAGGGGATCTTACTTTGTCACCCAGACTGGAGTGAATTGGCACAATTATAGCTCACTACAGCCTCCAACTCCTGGGCTCAGGAGATACTCCCGCCTCAGCCTCCTGAGTAGCTGGGGATACAGGTGTGCACCACCATGCCTGGCTAGTAATTTTTTTTTTTTTTTGTAAAGACAAGGGTTTCTCTGTGTTGCCCAGGCTGGTCCCAAACTCCTGGTCTCAAGCAATCTTCCTTCTTTGGCCTCCCAAACTACTGGGATTGCAGGCATGAGCCACCTCAACTGCTCTCAATTCAGGATATTACCAACGGTTTTCCATTTTTATCAGAATAAAAGCAGAAAAGTGGTATTTTAGTTATTTCATTATAACTTATATTTATTTCTTAGTGAGATTAAGCATGCTTATATGTCCTTTGGCTTATTCATGTTTTTTATCCATTTTTAAAATTTTAATTTAATATTCATTTCTTAAACTTACGTATTATTATTATTTTTTTGAGACCAAGTCTGTCTCTGTTGCCCAGGCTGGAGTGCAGTGGCAAAATCTCAGCTCACTGTAACCTCTGCCTCCAGAGTTCAAGCAATTCTCCTGCCTCAGCCTCCGAGTAGCTGGGATTACAGGCATGCGTCACGACATCCGGCTAATTTTGTATTTTTAATAGAGACAGGGTTTCACCATATTGTCCAGGCTGGCCTCGAACTCCTGATCTCAAGTGATCCACCCACCTCGACCTCCTGGGCTCAAGCAATCCTTCTACCTCAGCCTCACAAAGTGCGGGGATTAAGGCATGGGCCACTGCGCCCAGCCAAACTTAATATTTTTTAGATTTTTTTTTTTTTTTTTAGAGCAGCTGTTATATGCCAGCATGGTTTCTGGGCACTAACCAAGCAGACAAGATTTCTGGTCTGGTTGGTCTGAGCTTGGGTACTGACATTTTTGCTTATCATTTTGTAAAGGATCACTGTCAATTCTGGAAATTCATCCTTTGTCTATGATGCGCTACAATTTGTGGAGGGGGAAGAAATTGCATTATGAAGGCAGAGACACACATGGTACGTCTTACAGATACAGTACACCCCATCTTTACAATATAAATAAATAACTGCCATAAGTGTGACAAAATCTTAATTCTTGCTAGGCATAGAGGTGGCTTTTCCAAGCTGGAAATGCAATCACGATTGAGTGTCAATGATGTTCTTGATTTACCAGGAAGAATCAGATGCTGAGGCCCTGACGGCATCCTTGATCGCAGCTGAAGCAGGGTAGGAACAGCAGCGTCAAGGTAATATCACAATCTGGAATGCCCTGATTTACAGCAATTCTTTCTTTTTATTCTATACTAATTAAACAACGCTGAGTGTTATGGCCTGACAATGAAATCTCAGGCCCAAATCCAAAAGTCAAAATTGAAGCAAGTTACCCAATGTGGCCTGATGATAGAGTCCTTCGGGTAGTAGATTGGAAATCAATAGTTTTCATCTGAGTATAAAGTGCTTTTATTCAAGGGGACAATTTGTATCTAATCCGTGCCAATGACTTAGCACCAAACATGCAGGGCGCTGATACCTGATGTTGATAAATGACAGCAACGTTTCATTACCATTTGCGTCAGAGGAGACTGGGATGGGCACCAATTCTGCTGACTAGGACAGTTCCTGGCAGTTTGCCTGAAAAGGTGAAATTAAGCTGCTGTCCTGGAGACAGCTATAAACACTTCTTCCGTCTTTTCTGTCAGGTGTTTTCTCACAAGGCAACCACATCCACCATGAGAAATCAGGTCAGGATCTGAAAAGCTATGTTCTCTGAGAAAAAAACAGAGCATGGTCCATATGACCTGGAGGGAAAGGATATTAAGGAAAGTTCTCAAGGCTCACACCTGTAATCCCAGCACTTTGGGAGGTGGAGGCAGGAAGATCTTTAAGGTCAGGAGTTCGAGACCACCCTGGGCAACATAGAGAGAACCCCCCCCCCCATCTCTACAAAAAAATTAGCCAGGTATAGTGGTGCATGCCTGTAATCCCAGCTACTTGGGAGGCTGAGGTGGGAGAATTGCTTGAGTCCAGGAGTTCAAGGCTGCAGTGAGCTATGATTGCACCACTGCACTCCAGCCAGAGGAACAGAGCAAGACTCCATTTTTAAAATATGTCTAATAATATATAAATTAATTAATTTAAGGAAAGGGAAACTTTCCACAACACACACACACACATACACACACACACACACACACAGACACACACACACACCCCGAATCACCTTTGAAATATCCTTCTTTAACCTGAAAATATCCTTAGAGAAGTGATCCTTTAGATGTTTGTTTATTATAAGGTAACATCTTAAAAGGTATAATTTCCACTTGCCTCTTGCTGCCTCAAAGGGCCAAATTGTGACTTTTGTGACAAGTCCATGTGATTTGTATATTGGACATTTGGGGCTATGGAATATGATGTTGAAACCAACAGTGTTTGCTTTTCTCACAGAGTTGTAAGTAAGCATTCTTAGCCCAGAATTATGTTAACGAGGCAGGTGGATCACCTGAGGTCAGGAGTTCGAGACCAGCCTGGCCAACATGGCGGAACCCCATCACTATGAAAAATACAAAAATTACCCAGGAATGGTGCCAGGCACCTGTAATTCCAGCTACTCAGGACGCTGAGGCAGGAGAATCACTTGAACCCGGGAGGCGGAGGTTGCAATGAGCCATGTTCTCACCACGATACTACTCCAGCCTGGGTGACAGAGTGAGATGCCATCTCAAAAAAAAAAAAAAAGTCTGTTCATTGGAAAACACTATAGAACACAAATGAGATGTTACAACAGACTAGTGACCCCCAAATATTTTCTCCATGTGAGCTTCTCAGGTTTATGACGCATTCTTCTGATTTTAGATTTAATAACAGATATTTTTATTTAGCTTATGCTATGTAAATTTATAATGTATGTATTTTGCTTATACTATGCATCTATAAGTTATATATTTTGTTTATAGTATGAATGTTATTTATAGATAAACATATAGACACTATGTAACTATATATGTATATTATATATGGCTTATATTATTTTAATTATTATATAATAAGCCATATGTAATACCCAATTATATATTTGAAAATTCCCAATTATATATTAAATCATATATGTATACCATGTATATTTTATATGTATGCATTGTTTGTAATCCTTAATCTTCACAAGAACCACAAAATATCCATTATTATACTCATTTTTGTAAATTAAAAAATTGAATTTCAGCAAGGATTGTTAGCTTGTTAAATGTCACACAGCTGATATGTAACACAACTTTGATTGAAATACCTATCATTCTTCCTCAATCTCAATGCTAGTATTAATAACAATGATAATGCCACTATGTTCTAGGCACTGTTCCAAGTACTATGTGTGTATATATATGTGTATATATATATATATATATATATATATATATATATATATATATATTCATTTTACCTTCATGAGATCGGTATTATCACCTCCCCATTTTATAGGTGAGAAAACTGAGACACAGCGAAGTTAAGCAAATTGCTGGAAGTCACGTACTTAATAAGGGTGGAAATGGTATTTAGACCTATGACGTTTAACTACAAAGACTAGAGATCTTTCTATTACATCTTTAGGATCTATTTCCTTTTTTCTTTTTTTTTTTTTTTTTGAGACGGAGTCTCACTTTGTCACCCAGGCTGGAGTGCAGTGGCGCAATCTCAGCTCACTGCAACCTCTGCCCTCCGGGGTTCAAACAATTCTACTGCCTCAGCCTCCCGAGTAGCTGGAATTACAGGTGCCTGCCACCACGCCCAGCTAATTTTTGTATTTTTAGTAGAGACGGGGTTTCACCATCTGGGCCGGGCTGGGGATCTATTTCTTAATGTAGAATTGAAGGATGGAAGGAAATCACGTTGAACCTTTTATGAACATTGCCAAGTTGCTTTCTTAGCAGATTATTCATATTTCCTCACCTGCCAGCAAGGTACATGAATGCCCATTTCAGCACACTCCTACTAAACACTTATTTTCTCAAAGAAGAAAAAAAAAACAACACCCAAACATCTTAGCTACTTTGGAAGATACAGTATGTTATATCGTTAATGTTTAGTGACTTTGCAAGTTTGTCACATATTTTAGTAGATATTTATAATCCCTCCCTAGAATATAGTTCTCCTCCCTTAGGACAATCGTCTTGAGTGATCATTTGATCACCCGGAGGACTGGAGTCGTTGAGAGCTGTGGCATCTCCCTCGTCTGGTCCTGTTGACCCTGGATGCTTCCAGCTTCCTTGCTGACTCCAAATGTCCCTGACAAAATACCCATGCCTCATTCTAGATCCACATTGAGTTCATCCATTACCATTTTGCCAGATTGGTCTTGTCTTAGTGAATGTATTTGATCCTGAAGGAAGAAAAGAAAAAAATCTTTCTTGGGGTCCAGGAACCAAATAGCCGTCTCTTTCCTCCATCTCTGTAGGCTGTTTGTTGTTGTTGCTGTTCCTTTCTTGTGTGACTCACTAAAAGAAGAAGAAAAGAAGAAGGAGGAGAAGGAGAAGGAGGAGGAGAAGAAGTAGAGGAGGAGGAGGAGAAGTAGAGGAGGAGGAGAAGGAGAAGGAGGAGGAGAAGAAGTAGAGGAGGAGGAGAAGAAGTAGAGGAGGAGGAGAAGGAGAAAGAGAAGGAGGGGGGGAGGAGACAGGAGGAGGAGAAAGAGATGAAGAAGAGGAGGAGGAGGAAGGGAAGAAGAAGAAAAAGGAGGAGGGAAGAAGAAGAGAAGGAGGATTAGAAGAGAAAGAAGAAGAGAAGTTGAAGAGGAGGAGGAGAAGGAGAAGAAGGAAGGAGAAAAAGAAGGAGGAGGAAGAAGATGGGAGGAGGAGGAGAAGGAGGAGGAGGGAGGAGGGGAAGGAGGAGGGAGGAGGGGAAGGAGGAGGGAGGAGGGGAAGGAGGAGGATGAGGGAGGAGGAGGATGAGAAGAGGAGGAGGAGGAGTAGAAGAAGAAAAAGGAGAAGGAGGAGGAGGAAGAAGAGAAGAAGAAGAAAGCCATTCCTCTGGCTTTGGAAATGACACTCAAGTGCCAGGTTCTACAAGCATTTCTTTGATGAAGGAGCCAATGAGACTCACAGCATTCTCCAGAGAAGAGGCAGCATAGTGCAGTTATGACCACAGTTTTGGAACCAGCCAGCCCTTGGTTTGAATCCTGACTCAACCACTCATAACTGGGGTAATGTAAGGAGATACTTATAATGTAAGAAGAATTTAGCACAGGGCTGGCACATAATATGTGCTCAACCAATTCTAGCTATGATCATTATTATTATTAGATTTAGGAGATTTATATTAGGGGTATATGGGAAGAAATAAAGAAGAGAAATGTTAAGAGGAAAGGGGAGAGAGAGTAGTTCAGTAGTTCCTTAGGAAAAATAATGTCCCAACTTTACAATTTTTCCAGGAAGCAAAATACCACCATCTCCAATTTTAGTCATTTAGGCTATTAGCCATGTCCTCCTTCTTCTGATTATAATTTACAACCAAATGATGTGGCTTCCGTTTTTGAACAAATGGTGCAAAGGGCAGAAACCTGAAATATCCCCTTGACTAATTAGGCCACTCATCAATTGGGCTTTAGCTTATCTATTGAGTCAGAAGGCAGTCAGAAGACATCAGACTCAGAGTCGTTACAACGGGCAAAGACATTACTAAGGGGTCAGAGATTGGAAAAGTTGAACTGTATCTCCTGGTAAGATTTTTGTGAGAACTTCATTTTCTAAACCTGCCTCTCCATATCCCAAAGATTTATACAGATGATTTAATGGTTTGATGTGAAGCTGAATATGCCTGTGGCTTCAGAAATGTCAAAAATATTGCTTGAAAATGAATTTCAGGCTGCCAACTTCATGGTCTACATGGAGTCATAGAAACTGTTTGGTTAATTCTTGCCATCATATTATTTCCATAAGTTCCCTACTCCACTTCCCATATACAAAGAAAATAGCTGAACCCTTCTTTACATACACATGCATTTATTTACTCAGTGATCATCTGGATTGGCACCCTCAATCAGCTTAGTCGTACAACTAACTGGTCAACACAGTGATAAAGCTTGGCTTCCTCCACCTCTGCCTCTCTCACATCTGCCTCTTCTATCTCATCCTCACTGCTCTTGTAGTTTTGTGAAATCTTGTGTAGTTTTGCATGCTATTTTTTCTTATTTTTCCCCAAATTATCCTCCTGCCAAAGCTATTTTTCTAAAGTGCAAATAGTCACATAGCATTTTCCCACTTATGCAAATTTTAAGGCTCCCAAACATCCATGGTAGTGCTGCCAATAGACAATGATGATGGGAATGTTCTATAACCGAGTTATTCAATATGGTAGCCACCAGTCACATGTGGCTATTGAGGATGTCAAGACTGGTTGGCTAGAATTTAAAATGGAATTTTTAAAAATTTTAATTAATTTTAATTTTAATAACCATATGTGGTTAAGGTGGTCCATATTGGATGCTACAGATCTGTGGGATAAAGTCCAAGTTAAGCACAGTACAGGGATGCCATGCTAATGGAAAATGATGGAGAGCCTCCAAGATTTAGCTTCTGACTGCCTTTTTAGTCTTAGCTACCACTCTTCTCTGCCTTGTATTTTTGCCAGCAATACATATACCTTGCAGCTCTTCCAACATACTTTTCCAGGCAATGCTATGATGTCTTTGTACAACCCATTCCTTTGGCCTTGAATATCCGCCTCTCCTGACTTTGTAAAACTGACATATCCTGTAGGATCCTTTAAAATAGACGTGGGAAAGAAATCACTCTATCAAAAAGACCTGCACTTCTATATTTATCATGGCACTATTCAAAACAGCAAAGATAAGGAATCAACCTACGTGGCCATCAAGGGAGGACTGGATAAAGAAAACGTGGCAGTTATCTACCATGGAATACTACTTAGCCATAAAAAAGAATGAAATTATGTCTTTTGCAGCAACATGGATGGAACTGGAGGCCATTATCTTAAGTGAAATAACTCAGAAATGGAAAGTCAAATCCAACATATTCCCACTTATAAATGAGAGCTGAACAATGGAGGTAGGAGGCTGGGAGGAGGGTGAGTGTTGAAAAATTGCCTATTGGGTACGATGTTCAATATTTGGATGACAGGCACACTGAACGCCTAGACTTTACCACTACATGATATTTGCATGGAAGAAATCTTCACTTGTACCCCCTAAATATATAAATTAAAATAAATAAATAAATAAATAAATAAATAAATAAAATGGACCTGAGACTTATCCCTCCAGAGAATCTTTCTTATCTAACCCAGAAAATCAATTTCTTTCTTTTGATTATTTTTTCCTCTGTAGGTGGTTTTACTATTGCACTGAAAACATTAAATTATAATTACTTACCAAATTGTCATTTTCTTAAGAACAAATTCATGACTTCAGTTGTTTGTTTTTCTAGCATCTGCCACATTACCCAGGATAGAGTGGTCACTTAATAAATGTGTGTTCAATTAGATGTCACTGAATTATTTCATTGACCTGACACAGAAAAAAAATTATTATTTAACTCATGCTTTTCTAGTTCAGTGAATATCCTTTAGACTCAGTTTTAAGTACAGCACCAAGAAATCTCATTTCCTTAGCAATAGAAAAAGAGTTGGGGATAGAGTGAGATTACTGAATAGAAAATTGGCCACAAATGTCAAATATCCGGTTTCACCTGTCCATTCAGCCCAGTTTGAGAATCAAAACACATTAAAAGCACAAAGCCTCTTTTCAAAAAATACTTTTTTTAATTGTAAAATTGTTTCTCCTACAACCTCTTACCAGATTTTGGTTGCATTTAAAATATATATAGTGCCGGTGTTTTCAGGAAACATATATAAATTAGATCTGTCCTTTGCACGGGTTAAAATATTGTAGTTATTTCTCCAGGTGGAGGGAATCAATTTTTCTTTTAGTGAGTTCATTCCTTTCACAGATGTCCATACAATTCACGGACTCCATGTGGGTATCTATGAATCTGACCTGGAAAACACCATGAATTGCTCTCTCATTTTTCCCTGGCTGCTCTTAAATCTAGCACGTAGTACTAGCCAGCAGAGTTTAGAGGCACACCTAGGCTTTATTCATAGGGCACTACAATAATATTGGGTTCTCAAATCCAAAGGATCTAGCGGACTCTGAAAGGCAGAAGTCAAAAGTCAGACATGAGACTGAAGCCTCACATCTGTACATCATTTCACAATTTGCCAAGCACATTTAACCCTATTATCTCATTGGATTGTTACAAGAAGCTTTTGAAATAAATAGCAAAACCCATTATCTGCTTTAATAAGAAAGAAAGAAAGAAAGAAAGAAAGAAAGAAAGAAAGAAAGAAAGAAAGAAAGAGAAAGAAAGAGAAAGAGAGAAAGAGAGAGAGAAAGAGAGAAAAGAGAGAGAAAGAGAGAAAAGAGAGAGAAAGAGAGAAAGCAAAAGAGGGAGGGAGGGAGGAAGGAAGGAAGAAAGGAAGGAAGGAAGGAAGGAAGGAAGGAAGGAAGGAAGGAAGGAAGGAAGGAAGGGAGGAAGGAAAGAAGGAAGGAACTGTTGGCCCTGTGGCTGATCTGACATGTCCAAGTTCTTACAGCCAGCACGGCAGGGATAGAAATCTTCTTCAGCCTGGCCAGAAGTCCAGAGCTATTTTCCCTACTCACTCTGCTGCTCAGATTATGGGTTGGCCATATCCCCTCTGGGACCAGGATCTTGCAGCCAACCATCCAAGTCTTCCCAAAACTGCAGTCTCAAAGTAAAAGTGTGTTCTCACCATGCCATCCCGCTATTTTCTTCCTGGAATGTTGCTTCTAGTAAATGAGGGGGAAAATTGCCAGTGATGGCTTGATAAGTACCCCCAGCCATGGTCGACAGAGGTTACCTTCAGCCACTAGGTGGGAAGTGGTCTCCATGGAAACCCAGAAGCAGAGCTATTTCTCAAACACTTTCCAGCAGCAAGAGCTCAATTATAAACTTTGTCAAGAGTTTGAATGTGCTAAAGTTTGAATCAGACTGGAGTCATACTTCTGAATAGGGGAAAAGGACTCCAAATAATCAAGAGATATATTTCTAAAATTTGTCTTTGGGTCACTGATGTGTGTGTGCCTGTGTGTGTGTGTGTGTACATCATATTGTATATCCTTTTAATCCAATTTGATACAACAATACCTCTATTTCATTGTCTCCTGGATTCAGGATTTTGGTAATACCCTAAAGGTGAAGGCATGTTATCATGAGGATATTAGAAACATTCTTTAACCAAACCTTGTATGGAGTCCAAATGGGACCTACTTCATAATAAACGTGACTTTGTCTCACATGTTCATACAGGGTTCTCTAGTGTTTTACATCAATGGATCAGTGAGTCTTACAAAACATTCCAGTGAAATACTGTACTTTTTTTGCCAGATGCATTTCATACGCAAGAAAATAAAAGTATCTCTATTTTCCACTAAGGACCTGGAATGAAAAGGGAAACTTATTCAGTCCTTCCCCAAATACCAATGGCTTGCCCTACAAATATGAACTTCCCACTACATCTCTGGGGACCTCATGTTCTTTATGAGGGGCCTGCTATAGACTGTCCTCCAGATGAAAGACTCTCTTAATTTGTATTTTGTGTCACACAAAATAAGTAGTAGACCATTGGCTAAATGTTTCCACTTGAATTCAGATGCCTTGGCAAAATGTAAATATAGAATAACACAGAGATAAGTGATATGGTTTGGCTGTGTCCCCACCCAAATCTCATCTTGAATTGTAGCTTCCATAATCTCCACGTGTGGTGGGAGGGACCCAGTGTGAGATAATTGAATCATGGGGCCAGGTTTTGCCTATGCTGTTCTCATGATAGTGAATAAGTCTCATGATATCTGAAGGTTTCATAAAGGGCAGTTCCCCTGCACACGCTCTCCTGCCTGCTGCCATGTAAGACATGGCTTTGCTCCTCTTTCGTCTTCTGCCATGCTTGTGAGGCCTCCCCAGCCATGTGGAACTGTGAGTCCATTAAACCTCTTTTTCATTATAAATTACCAGTCTCAGATATTTCCTCATAGCCATATGAAAATGGACCAATACAATAAGTAAAGGTAAAATATAAAATAGAACAAACTCTTAGTCATTCATGAGAGAATTGTCTACAACTTATGTTCAGTACCAAGCAGGTAACCTCCCTTTCTTCTGCTTCTAGATTGCTCACTTAAACCATGAGTTGTTATGAGTCTAAGCAAATGATACAATTTCAGTTACAAAAAAACCATTGTGAGAGCTTGTATCAGTTATTTATTGCTGTATAACAAATAACCCCAAGCCTAATTGCCTAAAATTTATAATTTCTCATGGTTTTGTGTTCAGCTGGATGTTTCCTTCACTCCATGCCCTACTGGCTGGGGTCATGTATTCAGCTGCATTCAGCAGGGAGTTTGACTGGGGTTAGGACATTCACGATGATGTATGTCACTCACATGCCTGGAAGCACATGTGGTGTAGCCTGAATGGCTGGTGGTTGGTGGGTCCCCTCTCTCCACCAAGGTACCTAGATTCTTAAACAGGGATTCAAGAGAATAAAAACTAAAGATACTAGAACTTTTAATGACTAGGTCTAGAATTGTTACAATGTTATTTCCATTGAGTTCTTTTTTTAAATTATTTTTTGAGATAGGGTCTGGCTCTGTCACCCAGGCTGGAGTGCAGTGGTGCAATCATGACTCACTGCAGTCTTAAATTCCCAGGATCAAGTGATTCTCCTCCCTCAGCTTCCTGAGTAGCTGGGACTCCAGGTGCATGCTACCATACCCAGCTAACGTTTTGATTTTTTGTAGAGACAGAGTTTCCCCATGTTGCCCAGGCTTGTCTCAAATGCCTGGGCTCAAGTCATCCTCCCACCTCGGCCTCCCAAAATGTTGGGATCACAGGCATGAGCCACCACACCCAGCCTGTACTGCCTTCTGTTGATCACAGAGAGTTAAAGTCGAGGCAAGATTCAAGGGAAGGAGAGGGAGAGTCTACCTCTTAATGGGAAGAGTTGCATATGCATGCAGGGATGTAAGAATCGGACATGGAGAGAGTTATTTGTGGTCATCTTTGGAGATAATCTACTAGTCTTCCCTATAGCCACAACAATTTATGTGCCCCCATAAGCAAATTTTACCCTTCCACCCCAAAGACAATCAGTTTCAACCGAACAGTGCGTCGATCTCAGGCCCAAAATCCAGGATTTAAACCAAGTTTGGATGTGGCTGGATATGGATGGAGCTACTCAGATATGGTTCCTCTTGATCTGGAAACTTGGAAACCAAAACAACAACAAATATCCAAGCTATCAGCTCCCCCTACCCGAAAAATCCACTCAACATACATGGTGAAATAACATACCCCTGTTGAAAAATTATCTGTCGTCAGTTTCCCTAACTGTGGGGGCAGGAAACATTCCTTGATTAGGGCTCATTTCTGCACTCTGGGAGTGATTCCCTAATCCATAGTTCTCTGCTGTAGGTTTTGCACTCAGAGCCCTTGGGTCTGCCCTAGAAATCATTCTTCTTCTTGCATAAGAAAGAGCCAATGCTTATGGCCAAGTAGCTTTCTCAGCCTGCTTTCTGCCAATATGTTGTCATTTTGAATCTTTCATTTCAGTTCAAGTGTAATTGCCCAAGGGGTTCTTCTTGCCTGCTGCACAGATAGAGCCAATTTACTGAAAAAGTGGTATTGCAGTAGAGAAAGAGTTTTATAAATGCAGAGCTAGCCAAGCTAAAGGATGGGAGATTATTGCTCAAATAAACCTCCCCAAGAACTCAGAGGCTAGAGTTTCTGTGGATAATTTGGCAGACAGGGGGTGAAGGAATGGGTGCTACTGATTGGGTTGGGGATGATGTCATAAGGTTGTGGAAAACAGTCCTTATGCACTGAGTCAGCTTCTGAGTGGGGCCCACAGAACCTACTGAGTCATGAGTCACAGATCTGGGTGGAGTTACTTGGTCACCAGAATGCAGAAGTTTGAAAAACATCTCAAAAGACCAATCTTGGCTTCTATGATAGTGATACTATCTACAGCAGCAATGGGAAAGTTACAAATCTTGTGACTTCTGGTACAGCAAATGATTATAGAAAGGCAAGCTTTGCCTACATTTTCAGAATTCAGACCACCTCCTACAATCCTACTTTTGTGGGTTTTTATTAGTCGTACAAAGGCAGTTTTGGTCCCAAGCAAAAAATAGGTTAGTTTTAGGGAGGGACTACTATCATCCTTGCTTCAAAGTTAAACTATCAACTAAATTCCCCCCATGGTTAGCTTGGCCTACATCCAGGAATGAGTGAGGACAGTTAGCCCGTGAGGCTAGAAGTGAGATAGAACCAGCCATGCTAGACTTCTCTCTCTGTCATAATCTTTGCAAAGGTGGTTTCACAAGCAAGGGTTGTTTTGCTGATACAATTGTTTTAAAACTTTGTGGGTTTCCTATGAATCTTAAGGAGTTCAATCCTTACCCTCAAAGCCACATTCATAATTCCCTCTAAAACATGCTTCTCTCTACTTGAGATCTGTCAGGGTGATGTGGAACACATCTTTAAGGTTCTTGGATGGTCTATCGTCTAGCTTTGAGAGTCTACTTTCAAAATCTTTCAAAGGTCTTAAAAAGAGGTCTTGCAACCCAGATTCAAGACGAACATACTGACACTTGTGCAGGATGGGTGTTGTGATGGTTAATATTGGGTATCAACTTGATTAGACTGAAGGATGCCTAGATAGGTGGTACAGCATTGTTCCTGGGCATGTCTGTGAAGATGTTGCAAAAGGAGATTGATATTTGAGTCAGTGGACTTGGAGAGGAAGACCCACCTTCAATGTGGGTGGGCACCATCCAATTGGCTGCCAGCATGGCTAGAACAAAACAGATAGAAGAAGATGGGATAATCTGGCTTGCTGAGTCTTCTGGCTTCCGTCTTTCTCTCATGCTGGAAGCTTCCTGCCCTTGGACGTCAGCCTCCAGGTTCTTCGGTACTTGGACGCTTGGACTTATACCAGTGGATTGCTGGGGGCTCTTGGGCCTTTGGCCACAGACTGAAGGCTGCACTGTTGGCTTCCCTACTTTTGAGGCTTTTGGACTTGGACTGAGCCACTACTGCCTTCCTACCTCCTCAGCTTGCAGATAGCCTATTGCAGGACTTTACCTTGTGATTAGGTGAGTGAATTCTCCTTAATAAAGTCCCTTTCATATATACATATAGCCTATTAGTTCTGTCCCTCTGGAGAACGCTGACTAATACAGGTGCTATGATGCTCATGGATGAGAGGCATTACTGGTGGCTATCTTTGGAAACAATGTACCAAAGAGTTGAAAGGGACCTTAAAGATCATATGACTGTACTCATTTTGGACCAAAATTAGCCCATTTTATTTATTTATTTATTTTTTGAGATAGACTCCTGCTCTGTTGCCCAGGCTGGAGTACAGTGGTATGACCTTGGTTCACTGCAACCTCCACTTCTTGGGTTCAAATGATTCTTGTGTCTCAGCCTCCAGAGCTGGGATTACAGGTGTGCACCAGCACACCTGGCTAATTTTTGTATTTTTAGTAGAGATGGGGTTTCACCACGTTGGCCAGGCTGGACTTGAACTGCTGGCCTGCCTCAGCCTCCCAAAGTGCTGGGATTACAGGCATGGGCCACTGCACCCGGCCCGAGCCCATTGTAGAGATTAAAAACTCAAGGCTTAAAGAGAAGAAAGGAGTTGACCACAGTAACAAAGCAAGAAAGATAAATCTTGTCTTGTATGTAGGTTCGGAGGGCTTACTACTACATTTCCCTTCATGCTCAGTTGAAAAGAAAAACTGCTTTAAAACTCATTATTAGGCATATCAAAGATAAACTATCTTTGATGTATCTTTTTAAAAAATTCATAACATTGCCATCTTCCTTTAATATGCAGAGTAGAGTTGACTGTATCAGAAAGATATAAAACCAGAGAACAGCAAGCAACACAAAGTGAGAAAGCAATGTCCGGATTCTTGTATTTTTAGTGCATCTGGAGGAAAAAGAAAATGTCATTTACTGGGAGGTTATAAGGGTGCTACTTTTCATTCATTCTTCATCCATTCATATCACACACTTTTTAAACACCTTCTATGAGTCAGACTATATTCTTCACATGAGATATTGGGCCTTTGATAGACTTTTAAAGGGTTGCAGGCAGTTGATAGTTGGAAATATAAACATATAGTGAGAACAGAGCAAGCAACTCTACCTGGAGCCGCTGAACAATATCTTGCAGAAGAAGGAGCAGAAATTCAACAGGGGTCAGTGCTTTCAGGGAGATCTGGGAGAACAGGCTGCCTGCAGTTGGACACGATTAGAATGGAGTGTGAATGGTGGGCAGTGATGGGAAGGGAGATGCTGGGGAGGTTGGAAACATCAAGCAGCACTTTGAGTTGAACGAGGAAGCTGCAGAGTCAGTAGCTTCATAAGCAGAAGTAGAAAGAAGGCAACATAGCAGTTTCTGTGCCAACCTCAAATTAGAGTTTCTTTCACCCTAGATTAGAATGTAGAGTTTCTAATTTATTGGTCAACATAATGTCTACTCAACCAAGTTTCCTTTTGTCTTTTCCTTTTTTTTTTTTTTTAGACGGAGTCTTGCTCTGTCACCCTCGCTGGAGTGCAGTCGTGCAATCTCAGCTCACTGCAACTTCTGCCTCCCAGGTTCAAGTGATTCTCCTGCCCCAACCGCTGAGTAACTGGGACTACAGGCATGCACCAGCATGCCCGGCTAATTTTTGTATTTTTAGTAGAGATGGGGTTTCACCATGTTGGCCAGGCTGTTCTCGAGCTCCTGACCTCAGATGATCCGCCCGTCTTGGCCTCCCAAAGTGCTGGGATTACAGGCGTGAGCCACTGCACCCGGCTTCTTTTGTCCTTTTTTTTGTTTGGTCATTGATGTTCCCTATGATAACACAACCTCATCATGGGAACCATGGCCAGAGATATTTGAAGGAGGCAGCTGGCAGAAAGACACACGGTCATAATATGAGCTAATCTTAGCAAAGACACATGAGTGCTAAGAAAGAGTCCATGCTGAGTGCACCTACATTTTCCATTTGGGTCACACCTTTCACCTCCCTGCTCCCCCGCTAGCCCCCACCCCCCCAAAAAAAACCATGTAGAATTTCCTTTTAAATCATTTATCCCTGCCTCAGGACCACTGCCATGAGACAGTTGGAACAGAAGTTGTAGAACATGCTTTAAGCAAAGTGAGTATACATTATTTGAAAACATCATTCATTTTTAGAACCTGCAGCATTTCACCAAAATGAACATTAGGGATCGTTTAGCTGAAAAATCTGTTGCAAGATAAAAAAACAAAAAACAAAAAGGCCTCATTGTTCTGTGCCCAGATAAACCTGGGCAGGGTGACTTTGATCAGATTTGTGTTCAACCTCCAAAGGCTGGCTGCCTGTTTAACCTCAACTGTGGCTCAAAACAAGGCTGGGGCCAGACCAGTCATATTCTCAAAGAGGCAATCAAGCCGCCTAGCAAAGACAACAGAGGCAGCAAGAGGGCATGGTGCCATGAAATAAATTAGAATGAACATCCCATTTTTATCTCCATGGCAGTCAGCCCATTCCATTCTTTGCATGCTATTTTCATATGTTAACAGCAGTTTGAGAGCTGAATGGGAAGGGAGGAAGAATAGTTTAATGAAATGAGAGGGGAAGAGAGAGAGGGGAAGAGAGAGAGGGGAGAGAGAGAGAGGGGAGAGAGAGAGAGAGAGAGAAACATTTGTTGACTATTAATCCAGACCTGGTAAAACCTGGTTGTGTCTATTGCAACCAAAAGTAACTGGAAATTGTTTCAGGGGCTTGCACTGAAATGATGGTATTTTCCTCACTCATCTCGACCCTCTCTGCCTCTCTCTTCAACCTGGCTTCCACGATTTTTGCAAGCTTTTAGTAAAGACATTGACATTCCCTTGGGTCTTCTCCAGGGATCTATCCAGTTGGGATTATGGAACCCTGATCTGGCGCTTAGAACTCTTTCTGGTGGAGGAAGGAGAGACTGTCACTTCTCATCCTTCTCTCTCCCAAGGGCTCAGCGGTCCTCCCACTCACACATCCCTCTGTTTTCCCGCACTCATGAAGCACTGCAGAGAGCATGATACCTCATGATGGGCTGGGTGCCAAGCCCTGAGATTGCATGAGAAAATGGCCAGTTTCAATGGCAGATTTTGTCCATTAAAACCTATTACTAGTTTCCTCCCAGAGCCCAGCTGGTTCCATTATAGAAAATTGGAGTGAAATGATGTCAGGTTTGTGCCATAAAAATGAATAGGAATCTTGCTTTTCATTATTTTAAATTGCAGATTGTTGCACTGATAGGTATTTATTTTTGTCATTTCTCTCTGGCCCTGGTGAGGGTCTGACCCCTGAATAATGAATAAACAGAAAGACACATGTTGGCACTTGAGCCTTGCCTGTGTCACCCTGGCTTTTCCTTCCCATTTGTGACAAATTCAAAAAATGCAACACTCTTAAATGGGTTTGTAATCTGTACTCTTTTAAACTGTCACTCAATCTCTGTCTCAGAAAATAGGCTATTGAAACTATGGAGGAAATATTTCACAGAGACTTCAACATTGCAAACTTGCTTTCAGGATTAGAGGCAGTCCTTTGGTAGCTTTAGAATTAAAATAAGAACTTGGAGTAATTGTTGCTTATTGAGATAAAGGAGGCTCATTTGGAAATGCCAAATGCACTTTAGCAACCTTAAACATGATGACTTCTTCTGTTTGGGAATAATCGAGTTTTTTAGATATTTCTTTCAGACCTAGGATTTTAACATGGTGAAACTCACAAGTGGACAAAAAGGGAGAGCAACAGTGACTATAATAGTAATGAGTGTGGGTGTGGTTTTGTCTTTCAATGTTACCAACATTTTTTTATCTTGTTGATTTAGCACTTAAGTGGCTACTTAAAGTATAAGGACTAAAAATATAATAAGTCCTGGAACTACTAGACATATGAGAAGCAGCTGAAGTACTATAGAGATAAGAGAACTTATACCCCAGGGCAGCCTTGATTTTCACGAAAATGTACAACTCACAATGGCCTCGAGCCTTAGAATCACAGAACAATACAAATGAAAAACCCTAGCAAACAAATAGTAATTGCTTGCCTTTAAAAAATTTTTAAACACCATTGTTTTAGTTTAGTTTGTTTTGTCTTGTTTGAGACAGGGTCTTACTCTGTTGCCCAGGCTGGAGTGCAGTGATGTGGTCACAGCTCACTGCAGCCTTAACCTCCCAGCCTTAAGCAATCCTCCCACCTCAGCCTCCTCAGTAACTGGGACGACAGATGCGCACCATCATACCTTGCTTATTTTTAAATTTTTAATTTTTTGCCAAGATGAGATCTTGCCATGTTGCCCAGGCTGGCCTGGAACTCTTGGCCTCAATTGGTACTCCTGCCTCAGCCTCCCAAAGTGCTGTGATTATAGGCATGAGCCAGCATGCCTAGCCTAAATACTATTGTTTTCATAGATGCATAAAATGTCCAGGCATGTATTTTTTTTTCTCAGTTTACTAATTAAAAAACGCAGCTAGTAGATCTCAGGGAAGACGGTGGCATGAGGAGCAATCCCACAAACGTCTTCCACTCAGTCCCATTCTCCTAGATGAGTCAGAGTCCACTCTTATTAGCAATGGCCACAAGAACTGCAGAACCTGGGCTGTCCCTGAAATTGTGCCATCTTTTTTTTTTTTTTTGAGAGGAGTCTCACTCTGTCACCCAGGCTGGAGTGCAGTGGCACCGTGTTGGCTCACTGCAACCTCCATCTCCTGGGCTCAAGCAATTCTCCTGCCTCAGCCTCCCTAGTAGCTGGGATTACAGGCACCCACCACCACTCCTGGCTAATTTTTATATTTTTAGTAGTAACTGGGTTTCACCATGTTGGCCAGGCTGGTTTTGGACTCCTGACCTCAGGTGATCCGCCCGCCTTGGCCTCCCAAAGTGCTGGGATTACAGGCATGAGCCACCATGCCTGGCCAAAATCATGTGACCTTTATATTCAGCCCTCTGGCCAATGGTTAAAAGCCTGGGCTTCAGAGAGATGGAGAATGAGGGTGGGGGGCAGGGCATGATCCTCCCATTGTCAAATTTGAATGTGAGAAATACAGAAATGTCAAAAATCTCTTATTCCCCTTAAATCAAAGTAAATCCTATCCTGAGATCTCTCCTGGTATGTTGAGAAATTCAAATTTGGTCATTATTGGAACTCCCTACCCCTAAATTCATGACTGTGTGAGAGAAACTTAGGGTTTCATGAAGACTCGAATATTTAAAAAAGGCTTCCAAAATGTATGTCTGTGCTGGTTATCCATGATATGAACTTTTTTTTTCTAAGTAGAAAGTCCTTTGCATAATTGCATCTTCACCATTGTGTGTCATAGTTGAAATGAGTTCCTTCTTGAGACGAGAAGTTCCCCACACCCAGGCGTCATGACCTTGGTGTGACTCAAGATCATTCATCTCTGAGATCCACCAACTTGCCAGGGAGTTGAACAGAAGTTAGCCTTGTTCTCTTTCCAGTCTTGGAGAAGCTCTTCCTTTCTCTTGTTGGCCAATTGTGTCTTCCTTTCCAACATCTTTCCTCCATTCTTTTTCTTCTGGGAAGATCTCCTGCCAATAGCCTTTGGAAACACAAAGAAAACATTGATGTCCTCACCCCATCCCTTTGTGAAAGGAGGAGCTGAAACTTGACAACTCTAAAGCATCGTCTTAAATCTGGATTTCTTTTATTTATTTATTTATTTTTGAGATGGAGTCTTGCTTTGTTGCCCAGGCTGGAGTGCAGTGGCGCGATCTTGGCTCACTGCAATCTCCACTTCCCAGATTCAAGGGATTCTCCTGCCTCAGCCTCCCAAATAGCTGGGATTACAGGTGCGTGCCACCACACCCTGCTACTTTTTGTATTTTTAGTAGAGACAGGGTTTCACCATGTTAGTCAGGTTGGTCTCGAACTCCTGACCTCAAGCAATCCACCTGCCTCGGCCTCCCAAAGTGCTGGGATTACAGGCGTGAGTTACTGTGTCTGGCCTTATATCTGGACTTAAATTTTCATGCCATCACTTACTACCTCTGGGACTTCGGAAAAGTTAAATAAGCTCTTTGTGCCTCAATTTTTTTTTTTTTTAGTGGCACAATTTCAGGCCAATATTATAAGATTACTGTGACAATTAAATGAAAGAAAAAAAGGCATGTACATTTCTTAGCTCAGTGCACACAAAACACTCATACAAGACCAACCATCAAGATGGAATTGTGGGCTGGGCACAGTAGCTCACGTCTGTAATAACAGCACTTTGGGAGGCTGAGGCACGTGGATCACCTGAAGTCAGGAGTTTGAGACCAGCCTGGCCAACATGGTGAAACCCTGTCTCTACTAAAAATACACAAATTAGCCGGGCATGATGGTGTGTGCCTGTAACCCCAGCTACTCCGGAGGCTGAGGCATGAGAATCACTTGAACCCTGGAGGCAGAGGCTGCAGTGGGCCGAGATGGCGCTGCTGCACTCCAGCCTGGGTGACAGAGCAAGATTCTGTCTCAAAAAAAGAAAAAAAAAAAAAAGGTGTAATTGTGGCTTAGCTATTCATTAGGCTTCAGATCTTGGTTGCAGTAGTTCTCCTGAATAAACTGTATTTCTAAAACTAGATGGTGATTTCTACCAGGAGGTGCCAATAACAAGATACAGGCTCTCATAAAAAAGAATGAGATCGTGTCCTTTGCAGCAACATGGATGGAGCTGGAGGTCATTATCCCGAGCAAACTAACGCAGGAACAGAAAACCAAATACCTCATGTTCTCACTTAAAAGTGGGAGTTAAACACTGGGTACACGTGGACACAAAGAAGGGAATAACAGACACTGGGGCCTCCTTGAGGGTGGAGAATGAGAGGTAGGAGAGAATTGAAAAACTACCTATTAGCAACCATGCTTATTACCTGGGTGACAAAATAATCTGAACACCAAACCTCCATGATATGCAATTTAGTTATATAACAAGCTTGCATATGGACCTCTGACCCCAAAGTTAAAAAAAACAAACAAACAGATGCAGAATCCAAAAAATAAGAAATAAGGTGCCTCTCTGTGACTTGTTCTCCAGCCAGAGCTCAAATAGGACAAGCCACAGAGGGTAGATGCATGCCCCATCATGTGGCTTTATACATGGGTGTTTCTCTTTATGTGTAACTATGCTGTGCTCATGGGCTCAGAGACCTACACCTACACCCAGGATGCTCTCCAGCCTCAGCTCAACACAGAATTCCTGCACACAACTCACAGATCATTGCTTTTCAAACAAAGCTAACACAACAACAGATGCAGATGTTTTAGAAAGAGGTCTTCAGAGAAATTATTTCTCTGGGTCATGGGTCTTGGCAGGATCGTTTCTGAAGGGTGTTTTAAGCTGAACAGTGGTCACCTACAGATATTGGTACCAGATTTTAATCATTGGAACCTCTAAATATTATGCGATTTGAACAAAGGGATTTTGCAGATGTGAATAAGTTGAGGATCTTGAAATGGGGAGATTATTCTGGACGATTCTCTGGGCCATAAATGCTCACAAGCATTCTTCTAAGAGAGGAGCAGAGAGAAATTAACACACAAAGAGAGAAGGTAATGTAAAGGCAGAGCAGAGAGAGACTTGAAGATGCTGGCCTTGGAGATGAAAGTGGTGTGACCACAAACCAATGAATACCAGCAGCCACAGGGGACAGGAAGTAGCAAGGAATGGATCCCCCTCAAGGGCTTTTGGAGGAAGAGTGGCCCTGCCAACACCTTGATTTTGGTGTAGCAATGCTGAGTTTGGATTTTCGGCCTCCAGAGAGAATAAACATCTGTTGTTTTAAGCCAACAATTTGTAATTTATTATAGCAGCCACAGGTAACTAATACAGTAGGAAGAAAAAAGAAAGCTGATGACAAGAAGACAAGAATATTTGATGACAATAGAGGGAAGAAGACAATGTATCATCCTTCCTAAAATTAATGCTTCATTCCCTTATGAAGTTAAACAGAGTTCTGAATATGGGATCTGTGGGGTTTTGAAGGTACATAGACGTGGTATATAGGGTATGAGGATATATAGCTTTTGAGGGTATATAGGCATTTATTGAAATGGCTGTGAATTAGATATAGGCATAGAGCAAATCACTCTATAAGCACAAGAGAGTCTGGCAGAGCAGTTTATAAGCCAAAATGAAAGGGCTTCCACTGCAGTAAACTATCTCAAGTGTGGCATCAATGAACAAGGCCAAGGACATGGTGATGGAGAGGAGAATGTTTTTCCCCTTCCATCCATAGCTACTGAAATAATGTTAAATTTTGTGTTTGCTAATGAAACAATATAATTCTGTGCCAGTAATACTTGCAATATCTATTCCTGGTATATGACCACCACCTGCTTTATTGTAATAGGAAAACAGATTAAACAAAGTTTAATACTCATAACATTTTTCAGTTGGGTCCTTTGAGTCAACAATGGGAAATGGCAGAGGATACATAAACAAACTGGGATAACTAGAAAAAATCTACACACACACACACACACACAGACACACACACCATAGATATAACATTTTCCTCAGAAAATAAAAACTTATTTCACAAAACAGAACAATATTTGAAAGTGGAAGTTTTCTATTCTGTTTGGAAAAAAAAGTACCACTATCGCTTAAATAAGAAGAGCTTAGGTTTTAAAAGATAAAGAAATGAAGCAGATAAAAAGAAAGTAAATAGTATGCAGAATAAGCTACAAAACATGCTCAGATTTATATCTAAGAAATATCTCCAGACTATAGAAGACAACTTTAAAAATAATTGAAAAGAATGTGCAGAAAGATAAATGGACATGTTGTAAGAACTCAATCCTTTTATTTTTACTTTGAAAAGTAAGATGGTGGATATAGAAGTTAGAATAAAAAGATCCAATCTGTTAATAAGAAAAGATTCCTTTTCCCCCTGAAATAAAATAAGTAGTTTAAAATTTTATCTTTAAAACTGATATGGAAGAAAAAAAAATCCAGAACTTATAAAAAAAATCCAAAGATGAGAAATCAGGTGGACAAAATAAGTTCAAATAAACCAGACAAATCTCTTGCAAAAATTTGAAATGTAAAGGATAGAAATACAATCCTGTAAGCTTCAAACAAGCAACCATTTACTTTCAGAGGAGTTAAAACCAGATTGGCTTCAGATTTTCTTGCTGGTACTATTAATATTTAAACATCTAGTTCTACAGCACTTGTCAAGGCCCATATAGACACTCTCAGCTCTTCAGGGTCTCAGGCTATATGCTGTTCAATGTGCCTTTTCAAAAAATATAATAATAGTAAAATGGGAAAGTGTTTTGCATGGTGCAGAGATGACAATTTTAAAGAACAGAAAATGGTCATTGAGATAAAGAGTTATTATATGGATGATTAAAGATACTGAGCAGTAATGAAATACAGATTGTTGCAGATGTAAGCTGAGTACCCCCAAATCCTCCAGCATGCTTTCCTGTAGAATCCAAATACAGTAGCCAGAGGCTCATCCCACAAACCCAAAGCATGCCCAGGGCCCACCTGTCCTTGTTTTCTTGTGGGGGGAGGGGGTCCCTGGACCACTTCACCCCCAAATGTGAATATAACTGACCGTATCCATTCCTTAAGCAACTACAAAGATGGTACTAAAATATAAATCTTACGAAACTAGGGATTTTGTCTGTTCCATACATCATGGTATCCCCAGGGTTTAGAGTGATGTTGCATGATTGAATGGATAAATGCTATTGTCAATGACATTTTTTTTTTTGAGGATTTGACAGTGGTGTTGGAGGTCAACAGCATCAAGCAAAAAATACTCAAAATTGTATTTAATGCATCACTGTTCTTAAAATTCTATGGCCATTTCTACCATTGTGTCATCTTTTTCATACAACATTCTCTGTCCTAAGGCTTCTGACCTCCTGCCCAGTAGCGAGGCTGGTCCTCTCTTTCAGACTTTCTCATCTCCTTCCTTCTCTGAGCAAAACGGGCCCAAAGGCTTTCTGTCTCAAGCCCTCAATAGGGAAAGTGGAAATCCATTCATGTTGAAGCACATCCTTATTTTTACTTGAAGCAGCCGTGTTAGCCCGGCCTTATCTACCATAACCCAAAGACCTTTTATCTATACTCTAAGGCAAAAGATGTGTTTACCATCCCAAAACAAAACGTTCCATTTGACTAAAGTTCAAAAAAATAATATATTTCCCTACATACATGGCTTTATTTTCCTTGGTCCTGTGCAATTGGTAATGACATGCTGAAAGAAAGAAACACTTGACTTCCAGGGTTCAGGCGATCCTCCTACCTCAGCCTCCCAAGTAGCTGGGACTACAGGTGCACACCACTGTGCCTGGTTAGTTTTGTTTATTTTTTGTAGAGACAAGGTCTCGCTCTGTTGCCCAGTAAAATCAGGTCTTTAATACAAATGTTCTGACTCCCATGCAGAATTCTTTCCTGTTGGCTGGGGAGAAAGAAAACATTACTCTCCATATTTCCTATATCTAGATCTATTATATCTATGTTTATCTCTGTTGCTATGTGTATGCCTGTGTCTATCTCTCTCTCTCTCTAGATCCCCTCACATTCAAGTTTTCTATTTAAGAGAGAACCACAAATTCAGAGTATTTAGCAGGATCAAGAGGTCCCATAGGGCAGACCAGAAGGAAGATACGCTCTCTGAAATCAAGTTTTTTATTATTATTATTTTATTTGTATAAATTTAGGTAGTACAAGTACAGTTTTGTCACATAAACATATGGCCTAGTGGTGAAGTCTGGGCTCTTAGTGTAACCAATATACGCAGTTTAACAATCTTGATGGACTAACTGGTTAGTTTAACTACCTGCTCTTTTTGTTAGACTGTAGAAAGGTAACGTGATATACCATAGAGATCTCTGAACCAGGAGACAGCCGAACCTGGTTCAGTTCCCCACTCACCCTTTCACCAGCTGGGTTACCATAGACATGTTAATCCACCCCCATCCCCATGCCATAATTTTAACAATTTATAAATAAGCTACATCAGTGTTTTCCAAATATTGACTCATGTAGCAGCAGGTGCATCAGGCTCCACATTCAAAGATACTGACTCAGAATCTGTTCTATTTAAGCTCCCCAGGTCATTCTGATGTAGAGGCAGGTTTGAGAATGACTCACATCGATGACCTCTGAGGTCACTTGGCTAATTCTGTATGGTGCTCACTTACATGAATACACCACAACTGATTTATCCATTCTCTTATTGAGGGATGGAGTTTATTTCCAAATGTTTGCTATTATGAGCAATGTTGATATGAGCATTCCTTCTTGTGTACGTGTAAAACTGTGCACCTGTGCAAGAACTCTGTAGGGTAAATTCCTAAGAGAAAAATCACTGGGTTATAGGATATGTGCATCTTCACATTTCCTAACTATTACCAATTTGTTTTCTAAAGTGGTTATACCAATTTACACTCCCATTAGCAGTGTACAGCAATTCTTCTTGTTCTATATATATGCTTACTCCTGATGTTGCCAGACGTTATCATTCTAGATATTTTGAGTAAATGCTTTGTATGAAATTCATCAAAAATAAACTGTTAGCCAGGTATGCTGGCTCACGCCTGTAATCTCATCACTTTAGAAGGCTGAGATGGGAAGATCCCTTGAGCCCAGGTGTTAGAGACCAGCCAGGGAAACACGAAACACAGAAAGACCCCATATCTACAAGAAAAAATAAAATGAGCTGGAAATGGTGGTGCACACCTGTTGTCCCAAATACTCGGGAGGATGAGTTGGGAGGATCACTTGAGCCCAGGAGTTTGAGGTTGCAGCAAGCTATGATTGCACCACTGCACTCCAGTCTGGGTGACTGAGTGAGACTCCATCTCTAAAATAAAATAAGGAAAGAACTTTTATTTTTTTTTTGGAGATGGAGTCTCACTCTGTCATCCAGACTGGAGTGTGGTGGTATAATCTCGGCTCACTGCCTCCTACACCTCCCAGGTTCAAGTGATTCTCCTGCCTCAGCCTCCCAAGTAGCAAGTATTACAGGCAGCCACCACCATGCTTGGCCATTTTTTGTATCTTCAGTGGAGACGGGGTTTCACCATGTTGTCCAGGCTGGTCTTGAACTCCTGACCTCCAGTGATCCGCCTGCCTCAGCTGCCCAAAGTGCTGGGATCATAGGCGTGATCCACTGTGCCTGGCCATGAACTGTTGTTAATGTCTGGTGTTGGCTGGTGTCCTTTTGCTGGTGCTGCATGTATGCGCTCAGTCTGCTTCAAGAGTAAGTTTATTAAGCAAGCCCTTGCCTTAATATTCTGTGCACTCAGCACATAAACAATCTGAACCAAACTTGAGAAGGAGAAATTCTTTTCTGGTGTCTCTTGTTTAGATTCCCGCTTGTTTGAAGACACCAAGTCTATAGTTGTCCATGATGGTGTTTATTATAGCTTACTATGAAATTAATAAGATAATAAATAAAAGTTTGTGAGGTTTAGATCAATGTTAACTGCAGTGGTAAATGTAATAGTGATTTAGAAAATGACTTTATGTTACTAGATCAATGGAAAAGAGATATCCTCTAAGTGGGTGGTTAGAATATGCAGGTCGTATGCTACCAGAATAGATGGATGGCTAAAGAATTTCTTCTTTGTATGTACATGGATGTATATATGTAAAGTCCTTTAAAGAACTTCTCCAGTGACAGATCCCTTGAAAACTGTATCCTTAGCCTTTGGAGACCTTGAGGGGATGTCTTAGGAGAATACATGTAGGAAATAGAGAATGAACAGGCAGCTGCCCTTGACCATAAAAAGTTAGACATAGAGTGCTTTTAGAGAATGAGAAGCTACCCTGCAACTAATAGGTTAAAGCTCATAAAAATATTAAAATATGGGCTGGGCGCGGTAGTTTACACCTATAATCCCAGCACTTTGGGAGGCCGAGGTGGGTGGATCACAAGGTCAGGAGTTTGAGACCAGCCTGGCCAACATGGTGAAAGCCCGTCTCTACTAAAAATACAAAAATTAGCCAGGCATGGTGGCAGGCACCCATAATCCCAGATACTCAGGCGACTGAGGCAGGAGAATCAACTGAACCCAGGAGGTGGAGGTTGCAGGTAGCCGAGATCGCACCACTGCACTTCAGCCTGGCGACAGAGTGAGACTCCATCTCAAAAAAAAAAAAAAAAAGAAAAGAAAAGAAAAGAAAAATGAAAATATGAATCCCATGAAGGTATCATAGACTTTTTTGTGTCCCTTTTTGTGTCCCAATATCATGGGATATTGAAAGAACCATTGGAGATAGCATGATTTTGAGAATGTCTTGCTACATTCCCAAATGCCACATTTGACAGGTCCCTGATTCATAGTGTGAGATGTCAGTCTGCTTTCAGATTCAGGAGCAAAGTTATTTGGTTGTCTGCCTGCCTGGGAGCTATGAGAAGATGACTTGGAAAGAGACACATTCAGAGTGTTCTGATTGTCTAGGAGCTGTTTCGTGTTTCTCTCCTTATGCCAGCATACCAATTCAGGGCTCAGAAATCGATATCCCGAAAAATCTCACTTTGTACATGCTGAACTGAAAAAGGAGGCTTAAGTTGTCTTTGACATTCTGTCCACCTTCCACACCCCACCACCATCTCTCCCAAAGCACAGGACAAAGTTATTCTCTGAAATTCCTTTATCTGCTTAAAGTTCAGCCCTACCAAAGAAGAAGACAATTACCTCCAGTATTGTCCATGCCCTGATTTTCATTAACTAAACTTATATGGCAGGAAGAATGGCTGAGGTCAACAAACCTGGACAGATTTTTGTCACAAACCATTGTCTGCTCTGCAAGCCCAGCAGACTTTGCCAGAGGCCATTGTATGTTCTTCAAGCCCATTGAAATCTCTCTAGTAATCATTTATTTCCCCTCAAAAAAACTCCTCTTTTTCCCCTCCTATAACCTGTTTTGCCAAGATCCAAGCCCCATTCTTTCTGTAACCTCAAGATGGTTTATAAGCTTCTGCACCCCACTGGGGGATTGAGTCTTCATTCTGAAGGCTCCTGTGTAAACACATGAAATAAATTTGTTTGCTTTTTCTCCAATTAATCTGCCTCTACAAGCTGATTTTTAAGTGAACCTTTTGAGGGTGAAGGAAAATTCCCTTTTGTTCCTACACCAGCCTCTAAGCAGCAGTGGTGTGGGTGGTTCAGAATTTGTACAATAAGGTAGGCATAGTAGTGGAAGGAGATCCAGACAGAGAATTCAGAATGAAATAAATGACTGAGGTAATGAAAAGAACTTGAATTTCACTGAATGTTTTTCTGAGAGAACCTCAGATTTTTATAACCAGATTGAATTGCAGACATCATTGGACTGGACTAAGATTTAAGTGGGAAAGGAGCAAAAAATGTGATGTTTATTCTAGTGGTTCAAGTTTCAGAACAGAGTGCAGCTGTGAGATTAAAACTAGCTCTGTGTTTAGTCACGGCTGAGATGAGATTCCTCACACAGGCTGACGATTATTGTAATTTTCTTATTATAAAAATAATACATATTTCCCACAGAAAATGCACTTTGTCTTTCCTCTTGAGTTTTCTATAATTTTAGTTGTTGGTTCCTGCTTATTCTGGGAGTCTTTTAGAGAAGGTATGGGCTAGGTCACCTAGAATATGATGACTTTCACTGCTATATTAAGTCTGTGTGTACAGTTAAGGTTTCCTTCATTGTTGGTGACCAAGAGAATCAAAAGGTTTTTTTTTTTTTAGGAGATCAGTGTATTTTTATGAGGAGATCCATGTAGTCCATTCTCACACTGCTATAAAGAATTGCTGAGACTGGGTAATTTATAAAGAAAAGAGGTTTAGTTGATTCACAGTTCTGCATGGCTTGGGGGGGCCTCAGGAAATTTACAATCAAGACCAAAGGGGAGGCAGGCATGTCTTACATGGCGGCAGGAGAGAGAGAGTGTGCGAAGGGGAAGCACCCTTTATTAAATCATCAGCTTCTGTGAGAGCTCCCTCACTGTCACAAGAACAGCATGGGGAAAACCACTCCCTTGATCCATCACCTCCCACAATGTACCTCTCAGGACACATTGAGATTATGGGGATTACAATTTGAGATGAGATTTGGGTGAGGACACAGAGCCAAACCATATAAATCCATTAGGGGAAAATATCTATGTGATAAGGCAGAGAAAGAACAGGCAGTTACATGCTACCATATAAATGTAGAGGCAGAATTCCTCTAGAATTTCATTTAGAATTTATCTACTCTGGCCTGGTGCAGTGGCTCATGCCTGTTATCCCAACACTTCAGGAGGCCAAGGCAGGCAGATCGCGAGGTCAGGAGTTTGAGACCAGTCTGGCCAACACAGTGAAACCCCCTCTCTACTAAAAATACAAAAAATCAGCTGGGTGTGGTGGCAGGCACCTGTAATCCCAGCTACTTGGGAGGCTGAGGCAGGGGAATCACTTGAACCCAGAAGGCGGAGGTTGCAGTGAGCCACGATCATGCCACTGCACTCCAGCCCAGGCGACAGTAAAAAAAAAAAAAAAAAAAGAATTTCTCTATTCCTATAACTTCATCCTATGCACCAGGACTACAGGCATGAGCCACCATGCCAGCCTAAGTGGTAACTTTTAGGGCATGATACAGATAATCCAATCACCTCCAGGTACAAGTCATCAGGAAATAGACCATCTGATGAATTAAACTCTTGTCTTCACAAACACCCCTTCACGTCTGTTAAATGCCTACTTGAGCTAAAGCATTGAAAGGAATAAACTACCAGGAATAAAGGTGTTGGAGCTTGATTCTTAAAGGTCAGCTTGGGGTGAGGGGGAGCAAAATTTCTTTCCTTTATGTCTAAGTTGCAAAAAAATGATTGACCTCTGATATTTCCTACAAGTTAATCTTTGATTTCATGAAAAGAATTGACTTAAGTACTAGAAATTCTAAAGAAAATTCTAAAGGAATTCTACCTCTAGCTTCAAATGGTGAATTTCCTTTATGAATTCCTTTTGGGGAGAAGACATGGCAATTTTTGTTGGCTGAATTCACATATCTTGAGCTTTATGAACTAAATGATGAGGAAGACTGTTGAGGACTGTTGGAGCAAATTCCTCCTACGCAACTAAGTCACATAAGTAGATTGTGTCATTTGAGAAA
Source organism: Homo sapiens (assembly GCF_000001405.40). Taxonomy (NCBI): domain Eukaryota; kingdom Metazoa; phylum Chordata; class Mammalia; order Primates; family Hominidae; genus Homo; species Homo sapiens. The sequence continues at coordinate 68,160,866 of NC_000007.14, forward strand.
TGATAGCTCAGAACTCCAACACGTTACAGAGAGGTTGTTGAGAATATATTGAAGGCCAAAGGTAGTGAATCACCAGACAGGCGTAAGTGTGCATTGAATGGTGTTTTGGGCTCTTACCGTATTCAAGGCAAAACACATTTACTTGAATTACTTCATTTAACCCTCACAGTAACCCCACTGAGTTGAGTGTTATTGGCCTCATTTTATAGGTGAGTAAACAGAAACTTTAAGAGATTTAATAACTCTCTCAAGTCTCTGAACAAGTGAGTAGCAGATTCAGCCCTCAAATCCAGTGTATAGTTTTGCTCTTAACCATTTTTTTTCATATTTGGTTGTGTTATATGCAGTCTGGAATATGATCTTGCTTTCATAGCATGATTTTGCTGTCAAACCATATTTTTATCTGGACTGAAAGTTACATTCTCCAGAGAACCAGAGTGTTATAAATGCAGATTTTCTAATAAATCTGGACTCAAGAAGGGAGGTTCTTATTGCAGAGTTTGGTTTCATGCACAGAAAAGGTAGAGTTCCTTATTTTCCAGGTATCTAGGAAATGGTGATGAATACCAAGAAGGATCTTAATGGATGTGCTTGTTTATTTTATTTATTTATTTGTTTTTGTGATGGAGTCTTGCTCTGTTGCCCAAGCTGGAGGGCAGTGGTGCAATCTTGGCTCACTGCAACCTCCGCCTCCTGGGTTTAAGTAATTTTCATGCCTCAGCCTCCTGAGTAGCTGGGAGCGTGCAACTACACCTGGCTAATTTTTGTATTTTTAGTAGAGATAGGGTTTCACCATGTTGGCCAGGCTAGTCTCGAACTCCTGACTTCAGGTGATCCACCTGCCTCGGCCTCCCAAAGTGCTGGGATTCGAGGCTTGAGCCACTGTGCCTGGCCTACAAGTTTATTTTTGATTTCATGAGAAGAAATCAACTTAAGTATTAGATAACCTTAACTCTGGTTCCACTTCTCCCATTATCTTGTTGTGTGGTTTTGGAAAAGTTAATGAACCTCTCTGGATGTTGGGTTTCTTAAAGCAGGCAAAGCACATTTACCATCCTTCATTCACAGCATTATTAGGAACAAATAAAATATTATGTGTACAACGACAAATATTTCAGTCCCCAGTAGTGAATGGAGAAGGCCATAGTTGTGTTTGAGGTGGTTTTTATGTATCTGTGGCCAGGATGTAGCCTTGGGCTGAATGTATTTTTAGGTTCTTGCATTTGTAGGAAAAGCAGTATAGATACAGGAAGATTTGGGCTCAGACTGGGTGCAGTGGCTCACACCTGTAATCCCAGCACTTTGGGAGGCCTAGGTGAGAGGATTGCTTGAGGCCAGGAGTTTGAGATCAACCTGGGCAACGCAGCAAGAGCCCATCTCTACACACACAAACACAAAAAACAAAATTAGCCAGGTATAGTGGTGCACACCTGTCATCCTAGCTACTTGCAAGGCTGAGGCAGGAGAATTGATTGAGATCAGGAGCTGGAGGCTGCAGTGAGCTATGATTGCACAATTGCGCTCCAGCTTGGGTGAGAGAGCAAGACCCTGACTTGCTTTCTCGATATAGGGAGACTCCATCTCTACAAAAAATAATTTTTAAAAATGAGCTGGACATGGCAAGACATGCCTGTGGTCCCAGTTACTCAGGAGGCTGAGGCAGGAGGATCGCTTGAGTCCAGGAGGTCGAGGCTGCAGTGAGCTCTGATCATGCCACTGTACACTGATCAAGCCTGGGTGGAGTACTCCCTCCCTTCAGAGGGAGACCCTGTCAGAAAAGAAAAAATAAAAAGATCTGGGGTTGGTGTTTCAAGTAAATAAAAATTTGCCAGTGAGTAGGGGGGCAATTGGATATCACTAAAGGGGGACACTTCAGGGAGGACTTTGATCACCACTTCAATGTTACCTAGAATTATCCTCCACCCCTACCATTAGAATAGCGACCCAGCTTGGGAAGGATAGGGATTCCCGCCTCCACCCCCCGCCTCCCAGTTTGGGTAGTTTCTTCATACACATGCACAGAGCAGTATTCAAAGATTCAGACAGAGGCTCACTCCTTCTGTCGCCTAGGCTGGAGTGCAGTGGTGTGATCTCAGCTCACTGCAACCTCCACCCCCACCAGGGTTCAAGCCATTCTCCTGCCTCAGCCTCCCCAGTAGCAGGAATTGCAGGCGTGCACAACCATGCCCGGCTACTTTTTGTATTTTTAGTAGAGACGGGGTTACGCCATGTTGCCAAGGCTGGTCTGTGAATCTCTGGATCTCTCTCTGGCTCGGCTTCCTTATCTCCAGGAAACATCCATGCAAACTCCAGCCTCCTGGCCTCCTGCCCTAGAACCACACTCTGTCCCCTTGATTCTGCAAGGCTTTGCTGTGCTCCCTGGCCATTGGGATTAGCCATGGTACCTCTCTGCAGGGAGTGAGTTGGGGCACTCCTACAGGTCACCTCATTGGCTGGTCTTCTTGCAACGATCAATGTCCTGTGTTGTCTATTGTTCAATCTCCGAAAACTCTTGTTTCTTCCATTTATCTGATGTTCTAGTCATTTAAGGCTGGAGTGGAACTCTGATCCTTGTTTTTCCTTCATGGCTAGAAATGGAAATCTTTCACTTCATTTATGTATTTATTTAATTTCATTTTATTTTTTTTTTGAGATGGAGTCTCACTCTCTCACCCAGGCTGGAGTGCAGTGGCGTGATCTCTGCTCACTGCAACCTCTGCCTCCTGGGTTCAAGCGATTCTCCTGCCTCAGCCTCCCGAGTAGCTGGGACTACAGGTGCATGCCACCACACCCAGCTAATTTTTGTATTTTTTAGTAGAGATGGGGTTTCACCATGTTGGCCAGGATGGTCTCAATCTCTTGACCTCATGATCTGCCCACCTTGGCCTCCCACAGTGTTGGGATTACAGGCGTGAGCCACTGTGCCTAGCCTTTATTTATTTATTTATTTATTTATTTATTTATTTGAATTTTTTTATTTTTTGAGACGGAGTCTCGCTCTGTTGCCCAGGCTGGAGTGCAGTGGCGCGATCTCGGCTCACTGCAAGCTCCACCTCCCGGGTTCACGCCGTTCTCCTGCCTCAGCCTCCCGAGTAGCTGGGACTACAGGCGCCCACCATCACACCCAGCTAATTTTATGTATTTTTAGTAGAGACGGAGTTTCACCGTGTTAGCCAGGATGGTCTCGATCTCCTGACCTCGTGATCCACCCACCTTGGTCTCCCAAAGTGCTGGGATTACAGGAGTGAGCCATCACCCCCAGCCGGGCCTTTATTTTTAATATGTGATTCAGGATTGCCTTTTCCACATAAATTTCTCCAACTATTTCAGTACTTATGCTCTCTCTCTCTCTCTCTCTCTCTATTTGGGGGGACAGGGTCTCGCTCTGTCACCCAGGCTAAAGTAGTGGCACTGTCTCAGCTCACTGTGACCTCCACCTCCTGGGTTCAAGCGATTCTCCTGCCTCAGCCTCCCAAGTAGCTGGGATTATAGGCGTACGCCACCACGTCTGGCTAATTTTTGTATTTTTAGTAGAGATGGGGTTTCACCATGTTGACCAGGCAGGTCTCAAACTCCCGACCTTGTGATCTGCCTGCCTTGGCCTCCCAAAGTGCTGGGATTACAGGCGTGAGCCACTGCACCTGGCCTCGCCTTGTTTTTAATACATGATTCAGGATTGCCTTTTCCACATAGATTTCTCCAACTATTCCAGTTCTTATTCTCTCTCTCTCTTTCTTTAGCGGGGACAGGGTCTCACTCTTGCCCAGACTGAAGTACAGTGGCACGATCTCAGCTCACTGCAACCTCTGCCTCCCAGGTTCAAGGGATTCTCATGCCTCAGCCTCTCAAGTAGCTGGGACTACAGGCACACGCCACCACACCCGGCTAATTTTTGTATTTTTAGTAGAGATGGAGTTTCGCCATGTTGGCCGGGCTGGTCTCGAACTCCTGGTCTCAAGAGATCTGCCTTCCTCGGCCTCCCTAAGTGTGGGATTACAGGTGTGAGCCACCGCACCCTGCCCCAGTTCTTACTCTCTATCTGTCTCCTGATAGATGGGGTGATGTGCAGCAGCCCCTTGTCCCTGTGCTAGGCAGCCAATTAAAACAAATCTCACTAATTCTGTATGCAGCAACTCACAGGAGATTCACAAGCAATCTGTATGGTAGGTGAGATCATTTTTGCTTCCGTGAATCAAAAGTAACATAGCTGATGGCAAAGACAGGATTTGGACCCATGTCCTCTGAGTCTTCATATGGCATGTTAAAATAACATCTATATAGAACAAAGGGTTAGAAGGAAGAAATGAGGGCCAGGCACAGTGGCTCATGCCTGTAAACCCAGCACTTTCAGAGACTGAGGCAGGAGAATTGCTTGAGGCCAGGAGTTTGAGATCAACCAGGGCAACATAGCAAGACCCTATCCCTACACACACACAAAAAAATCCCTACAAAATTAGCCAGGCGTGGTGGTATACACCTGTAGTCCCAGCTACTTGGGGGACTGAGGCAGGAGAATTGCTTGAGCTCAGGAGTTGGAGGCTGCAGTGAGCTATGATCACACCATTGCACTCCAACTTGAGTGACAGACTGAGACCCTGACTCTGAAAAAAAAAAAAAGAAAAGAGAAAAAGAAAGAAGAACATCAGGCCAGGCATGGTGGCTCATGCCTGTAATCCCACCACTTTGGGAAGCCAAGGCAGGCGGATCACTTGAGGCCAGGAGTTTGAGACCAGCCTGGCCAACATGGTGAAATTCCATCTCTACTAAAAATACAAAAAATTAGCCAAGCGTCGTGGCATATGCCTGTAATTCCAGCTACCTGAGAGGCTGAGGCAGGAGAATTGCTTGAACTTGGGAGGGGGAGGCTGCAGTGAGCCAAGATTGCACCACTGCACTCCAGCCTGGGTGACTGAGCAAGACTTTATCTTAAAAAATAATAATAATAAAAATAAAAATCTAGAAAAAAATACAACTGACTATTTAGCTTATCTACAGATATAAACAAAAGCACTGGGTGAAAGAAATAACATATTTTGTTGTAGGACTCTACTGTGACCAAACCAGATTTCTAGATTGAGTCATTTTTAATTTTTCACCCACTTTACCCCAGTAATAACAAGAGTGTAACCAATGTCTTTTTGCATAAAACTGTTCTTTCCTCACCAATCTTGAATTATTGCTTTAAGATAAGTTTTCAGAACCAGAATTCAGAGATAATGTTTCTGTGTACTTTTACTATTCTTTACAGATAATTCTGAAAAGAGGGAACTAATTCATATTCTAACCAAAAGTATATGAGGCTGCACATTGCATTATATATTCCTCACAATTTGGATCATCATTTTTCTATCTTTGCTAATTTCACAGACAGAAAAGGACCTCCTACTTTATTGTATTTTTCCATTTCTGCTGTGGCTATATATTGTTCTAAAAGTTTGTTAGAAATTCTTTGTGTTTTTTGTTTTATGAGTGGATCTCTAAGTGTTTATTTAAATTATTCATTTGCTCTGTAGAAGATAATTAAATATTAAATACACGAATCATTTGTTATATTTGTTGGAAAATGTTAATTATTTTAACCCCAAATTTTTTTCATGTAAAATATGGAGGTTGCCTTCCCGAAGCCCTGATATTTAAGCAAGCAGTTTAGAAGAAAGCAAGGCTGTGCTTGTATGAAATAAACATCTCTGCTGTCAGTTAACTATATCCACCTAATCCCCCGGATTTTACCTTGTATGTAACTGGCTTCCTCCCCACCCCATCTCCGCCTTCCATTTTTGAGCTGCAATTCCTCCTCTAAGTGGGATTTGAAATATGAACAAATGGTAATTGTCTTTTATCTCATCTCCATCTCTCTCTCCTCCCCTCCCAGACTCTGCTTATGCATTAAGTACCATAACATTCACAGGATGGGCCTGCGAACCATCTGCCATTACACAGAGAGAGCAGTTGAGAAGAAATCATGTGTAGATTAAAGGCTGTCTCCTTCTGTCACTTAAACAAGCACATCCCAGATTTGTACTGTAATATAAATGAGAGAGGTAAGCTAAATGTCTGGGCCGTTTAAGTTGTATGAAATTAGTACCGTGTGGTTGGACAATTCCCCAGAAGGTACTGGGAGAAACATCATCCCATGAATATCTCGGTGGAATTTTTTAAAATATAGGATGGAGGGCTGGGCACAGTGGCTCATGCCTGTAATCCCAGCACTTTGGGAGGCCGAGGTGGGTGGACCACGAGGTCAGGAGATCGAGACCATCCTGGCCAATATGGTGAAACCCCGTCTCTACTAAAAATACAAAAATTAGCTGGCATGGCGGTGAGTGCCTGTAATCCCAGCTACTCGGGAGGCTGAGGCAGGAGAATTGCTTGAAACTGGGAGTCGGAGGTTGCAGTCAGCCAAGATCATGTCACTGTAAAACAGAGAGAGACTCCGTCTCAAAAAAAAAAAATTTATATATATATATGATGAAGAGCAAGAGAAGATAGCAGCAGTTAATCAAGGCAGAAAGCTAAAGACAGCGAAATAAAATATTTGTTCAAAATCTGTTACACGTGATTGCATCTGTGCCATGTGAAAAATCATTTGTTCATTGATTCATTCACTCATCCACTTATTCACTCAACACATGGGCATGGCATGCTAAGGGCAAGGTGGTGACTGTGTGTGAGTTTGGTACAGTCTTGGCTCCTATAAACATCACGGGCTAATGGAGGTGTAGACAAGCAAATAAATAACCAAGTGCTATGATCAGGATGAGGTTCTTAAAAGGGCCTGCCCTTTGCAGCTGACACATCTCAATTAGACTTTGAGCCTAGGAAACTCACTGGCTGTATGACTTTGGACTTAAACTTTCTGAGGCTTAAATCTATCATTTATAATATATGCATAAAAACATCTCTCTCTGGCCAGGCGTGGTGGCTCACACCTGTAATCTCAGCACTTTGGATGCCCTCCTAGTTTTGGTAGTTTCTTTTTCCTCAATTTGGAGGCTGAGGCAGGAGGATCTCTTGAGATTGGGAGTTCAAGACCAGCCTGGGTGACATAGGGAGAACCCCATCTCTACAAAAAGATTTTTAAAAAATTAAGCAGGCATGGTGGTACATGCCTGTAGTCCCAGCTACACAGGAGGTCAAGGCAGGAGGATTGCTTGAGCCCAGGAGTTTGAGGCTGCATTGAGCTATGATCATGCCACTGCACTCCAGCCTGGGTGACAGAGTAAGACCCTGTCTCAAAAAAATAAAAAAAATCTCTAAAAGGCATTTTTGTGAGAATCGAATACACAAAATAGCAAACTCAGAGCCTATATTCAACAGGTATTTAATAGGTGATTAAAAACAAAGGCACAAAGTACAATGGTAATTCCAAAAAAATTAAAAATAAAAACACTTTAAAAAGAGTCATCACAATAGAGGGGATATTTGGGTTTTGGGGGAAATGTAGGAGTTCTCCAGGTAAACAAATCAGAGAGAAAATTCCAGGCACACAGATGAACATACACAAAGCCTGAGAAGAATGAAACTGCCAACAATTTGGGATAATACTTGAAGAAAGTCCTGTCGTAAATGTGGAAAGTCACCAAGAAAGTTTGACATATTTCCTGTCATGAGGCTTTGCATGGGGTCATGGTCAGTGAAATGTCCCTCTGTTTGGCAAGCCTAGAAACTTGATATTGTCATTGCACTCTCAGGGGAACTGATCTTCAGAAAGACTAACACTAACCCAACTCTCAATAGACTGATGTATAACCAGAAAGCCTGTGTTACCTCCCATTGAGATCCCTATAAATAAAGGGTACTTACAGTAGCATATCAACACCTTTCCCCCCTCTACATAGGTGCATGGAAGATGGCTTCTCAGATCAGACAGCTTGAGATACATTTTTGTCTAATAAGAAGAGTGAAAGGGCTGTAGTGCGCTCTCTCTTTTCTGCTGAGGGATATCACCAAGACAAAAGATGCCTCTCTGAATCTTGGCCATACTGACCAACAACTGCCTGTTCTAGTTAAAAAGAGAATAATTTTTGAGATTGTTAACTCATTCGCTTAGATCATGGTTAATCTTGCTCCTGTCTGGGAGGCAGTCAGTACCCCAGCAACGACCATATGCCTTTTTGCTCTGATCCTTCAGGTAACTTGCCTCTCACTGTAGCTATACTTCCTAGAACAGTGCCTCTCCACCGTCAGCACACAGCAGATATCGCTTAAAGAATGAATGAGTGGCTCACGACTGTAATCTGGCATTTTGGGAGGCTGAGGTGGGAGGATCGTTTGAGCCCAGGAGTTTGAGACCAGCCTGGGCAATGTAATGAGACCCCATCTCTAGAAAAAAAAAAAATTTTTTTTTTGAGACGGAGTCTTGCTCTGTCGCCCAGGCTGGAGTGCAGTGGCCTGATCTTGGCTCACTGCAACCTCCGCCTCCTGGGTTCAAACAATTCCCCTGTCTCAGCCTCCTGAGTAGCTGGGATTACAGGCACACGCCATACAAAAAAATGTTAAAGGAACCAGACATGGTGGCTCATGTCTGTAGTCCCAGCTACTCAGGAGACTGAGGTGAGAGGATTGCTTGAACCCAGGAGTTAGAGGCTGCAGTGAGCCGTGATCATGCCACTGTGTTCCAGCCTGGGCAACAGAGCAAGACTCTGTCTTTATAAAAAATAAATAAATAAATAAAAAGATAGAGAGAAAAAAATGAATGAGACATTTAACTGAAGAAGATATACAGAAGGCAAATAAGCACGGGAAAAGATATTCAATATCGTTAGCCATTAGGGAGATGTAAATTAGAACGGCAATGAAATGTCATCCCACACCTATCGGGATGGCTGAAATTTTTTTAAAAATAGTAATAACAAATGCTATTGATAATGTGAGGAAACCAGATCATTTATACACTGCTGGTGAGAATGTAAGATGGAAAAACAGTTTGGCTGTTTGCTAAAACAAGTCAATAGAAAAGAAGGTTGGAGGGAAGTGGGCGTGGCTATAAAAAGCAACAGGAAGGATCCTTGTGGTGAAGGAAATGTTTTGTATCTTGGTTGTATCAATATCAATATTCTGATTTTGTTATTGTACGGTACTTTTGCAAGAAATTTCTATCAGAATAACTGGGTAAAAGTTACATGGAATCTCTGATTTATTCTCTATAACTGCATACAAATCTATAATTATCTCACAAATTAAAGAATACATAAATTATTGGGTTTGCAATATTCTGATTTTATACCTAGCTTTCAGAAGGCTGTCTTTTGGCCGACTGAGGTGACTTCAATTCTGCTCCCTTTCCTCAGTGTTCCCGCTGCAGCCTTGTGCAACTAGAATTTAGAGAGTGTGCGGGCTGGTGGGAGACTTGGGGGAGAAAGTTGGGGTATAAAGAGTCTTGTTTTTTGTTTTTTGTTTGGTTTTGTTTTTTGAGACAGAGTTTCGCTCTTGTTGCCCAGGCTGGAGTGCAATGGGTGCAATGGCGCAATCTTGGCTCGCGGCAACCTCCACCTCCCAAGTTCAAGCAATTCTCCTGCCTCATCCTCCCGAGTAACTGGGATTACAGGCGTGAGCCACCGTGCCTGGCCCTAAAGAGCCTTGTATTTTAAGCCAAGGAATAATAATCAGAGACCTCAGTGAGGTCTTCCTCTATGTCTTCCTCTTCTGCACTGAGACAACTATCGTTTCTTCTGCCTTAGTTGGGTAATTCAAGCCTCTATGATGGTTAATTCCCAAATCTCAGAGGTTAAACACACTCTGGCTGGTCTCTCACTCAGAGCCCCAGGTTGGTATTTGCTGGTTGACCTTTCCTGTGTGATAATTCAGGAATTGAAGCTACTTGCATCTACTTTTCTGCCACCCTTGAGAGCAGAGTTTCTCTAAATGTGGTCCTGAGTCCAGTTGCATCGAGACCACCTGGGAATTTGGAAGAAATGCAAATTCCTCTGGGTGCGGTGGCTCACACCTCTAATCTCAACTCTTTGGGAGGCTGAGGCTGGAGGATCACTTGAGGCCAGGAGCTCGAGATTAGCCTGGGCAACAGAGCAAGATCCCATCTCTAGAGACAAATTTTAAACATTAGCCGGGTGTGGTGATGCATGCCTGTGGTCCCAGTACTGGGGAGGGTGAGGTGGCTGGAGGATCACTTGAGCCCAGGAGCTGTGGGCTGCAGTGAGCTATGATTGCACCACAGCACTCCAGCTTGGGCGCACGAGAGAGAGAGAGAGAGAGAGAGAGAGAGAGAGAGAGAGAGAGGGAGGGAGAGAGAGGGAGAGAGAGAGGGAGAGAGAGAGACTCTTTCTGAAAAACAAAAAAATAAAACAACAACAAAAAAGCAAATTCCTGGGCCCCAGTGCAGACCTACTGAATCAGCAATTCTGAGGGGTGTGCCCAGCCATCTGTGTTTGAACAAACCCTTCAGGCAATTCTGATAAACCTGACGATTTAGAACCACCTTTCTAAGAGGAAGGTGGCATTTTAGTGACTTGAGTTGGAATTTGTTCCAAAGACATAATTTTATTTTGAGAAATTAGATGTAGTAGAAATGGCAATTGTACTGTAATTCAACAAGCACTCAACCGAGCGCCTGCTGTGTGCCAGGCCCTGTAGCAGGCACTGGAGATGCATCAGTAATCAAGATGTTGGTCTAGTGGGAGGGAGGTAGGTGAGGGATGAGATATTATCTAATGGGTACAAGGTACATTGTACTGGTGATGATGGTTACAATAAAAGCTCAGACTTCACCACTACGCAGTATATCCACATAAAATCCTCAAGTGGATCACTTGAGGCCAGGAGTTCGAGAGCAGCCTGCCCAACATGGTGAAAGCCTGTTTCTAATAAAAATACAAAAATTAGCTGGGCGTGGTAGCACATACCTGTAATTCCAGCTACTTGGGAGGCTGAGGCAGGAGAATCGCTTGAACCTGGGAGGCAGAGGTTGCAGTGAGCCGAGGTTGTGGCACTGCACTTCAGCCTGGGCAACGCAGCTAGACTCCATCTCAAAAATAAATAAATAAATAGAAAAGAAAAAGAAAAAGATGATCATGGTAATGATAAAGTGAACAATTAGTGATCACGGGCTGAGTGCCAGGCACTTGACACGTGTTATTTTACAGAATCTTCACAATCTTTGGGGTGAAGTCACTTTCGTTTCTTCTACATCAGAGATGAAGGTATCAAGACAGAGATTCAGAAAATTGGCCAAAGCCACACATTTAGTAATTGGGCAAACTGGGATTCAAGTTCAGGCTGTGTGTGGCTCTAAAGTCAGTGTGTGTAACTTGTAGCTTCAACTATGGAACCGACGTTAAACTTATGGAAATAGAAGAAAACCCTTATGCCACAGTGTGAAGGAGGTGAAACAGAAGAGGAAGAAAGCTGTTGATGAAAGCTTCTGTTGCATATTGATAGCAGATGTGTCGGGGCAGTGAGAGAGGCCCTTTGGGAGAGACACACAAGAGTAAGGAAGCCTCTAGAACAGAGAGATGAAGGTTCAAGCCTCTGTGCGCCTGGATCCTAGCACAGCCCCCACCTACAGGCTGCAGGACCTTAGACAAATCAATTAACCTTTATGAGCTTTACGAGCATATGGCCTATAAAATGAGGGTGATACCTTTAATGACTGTCTTACAAGGCCATTTTAAGAGTCCAGTGAAAAAAATTATAGCTCACATAAAAATTGTACCCACAGAAGCCGTTCTTAGAAAGCCGAGTAGTCCGGGCACTTTAGCTCACAACTGTACTCCCAGCACTTTGGGAGGCTGAGGCAGGTGGATCACCTGAGATCAAGAGTTTGAGACAAGCCTGACCAATATGGTAAAACCCCGTCTCTACTAAAAATACAAAAATTAGCCAGGCATGGTGACGGGCACCTGTAATCCCAGCTGCTCGGGAGGCTTAGGCAGGAGAATTGCTTGAACCCGGGAGGCGAGGTTGCAGTGAGCCGCTATCGCACCACTGCACTCCAGCCTGGGCGACAGAGCGAGACTCCATCTAAAAAAAAAAAAGCAGAGTGGTACTGCAGGCCTTAGTACGAAGCATCTAACATTGCCAGGTTAACATTGGTGGGTTAAATAAGGAGATCCTTGAGCTGGTCAAAATAAATTCCTGGAAATTCTGCAGACAGGTGAGAGAAAAACATCCAGCGCAGAGAGAGGGACAACCCCACGCAGAGACGCGGGGGCAGGTAACAACATGGTGTGTGTGTGGCTATCATAATTGACTTGTGTGAGTGGAAGGGTGAAATGTGACTAAGGAATGAGAAGCCAGGGATGGAAAGAGACAGGTTGCAGTGATGCTTCTGATATTTTCCATGAGAATGAAAAATCGGTATATTTATATTGAAATGAAAACAAAAATACTGCTGGAGCGTAAATGAGAAAATGTTTCCTGAAAAACCTGTGCTGGCTTTAGAGCACCAGGCAAACATCAGTTATTGCTGCTGCTGCCCATGTTGTCAAGTGACAGAAAGCTAGAGAATGCTATCCTTCAAAGATTGGATGTAATTTCAAACCGTTGTAGGAAATGCAAACAAACAAACTAGCAAACAGAACAAAAAAAGCATGCATAAAACATCCTTAGCCAGTGGGGAGGAGGGATGCCATCTCGATTTAAATTGAAGGTGATTTATTACTGTGAGTAATCAATAGTAGTAGGTCCACATCAATTTTATATCTAATTTAAAATTTTGAGGTCTCCATGTGCTCATTAAAGAATATAATGGATTTACATATTTTAATTACTTTTTATGGATTGTGAACATAATGTAATTAAGAGACTTTTCAGGAGGTGTGATTAATGAACAGGGTGGCCGGACATATGGCAACAGACGCCACACCGAGTGGACTTGGGTGAGAGGACTCCAGCCCCCCCAGCTGACAGCCCAGGACTGAGCGTTTATGACACTATTCACGGGGATGGGTGATTGGAGCCTCGTGATGCTGTGTAGCAGCAACATGGCAGAAACAGAAGCGATGGGGAGCAAGTGAGGCCAGCAAGAGGCCAAGTGCAAAGTCTGAATGAGTGTGCATGCCTGTGTGCCACAAAAGATCCTTGCTTTCTGCCTCTTCAGCCTCCCCCAGTCTGCCCCCCATCACCTTCCCCACTGCTGCTGCCTTAGTTTCCAAGCCCATTAACTCTTTTTTTTTTTTTTTTTTTTTTTTTTTTTAATTTTGAGACAGTCTCACTCTGTCACCCAGGCTGGAGTGCATTGGTGTGATCTCAGCTTACTGTAACCTCCGCCTCCCGGCTTCAAATGATTCTCCTGTTTCAGCCTCCTGAGTAGCTGGGACTACAGGCATGCGCCAGCGTGCCTGGCTAATTTTTGTATTTTTAGTAGAGACAGGGTTTCACCATGTTGGCCAGGCTGGTCTCAAACTTCTGACTTCAGGTGATTTGCCTGCCTCAGTCTCCCAAAGTGAACTCTTTTACTTTATTTTTAATTGCAAAAAAAAAACCCCACATAACATAAAATATACCATCTTAACCATTTCTAGTGTTAAGTATATTCACATTGTTGTGAAACAGATCTCCAGGAATTTTTCATCTTGCAGCTCTAAAATTCTACCCGTTAAGCAGCAAACTCTTTTTTTCTCCTTGCCCCAGCCCTTGGCAAGTATCATTCTACTTTCTGGCTCTATACATTTGAGTACTCTAAGTACCTCGTCTAGGTGGAATCATACAGTCTTTGTCTTTTTGTGATGAGCTTATTTCATGTAGTATAATGTCCAAGAGGTTCACCTATGTTGTGGCATGTGACAAAATTCCCTTCCCTGACTTTTTTTTTTTTTTAACGTCGGGGTCTCACAGTTTTGCCCAGGCTGGGGTACAGTGTCAGGATCATACCTCACTGCAGCCTGGAACTCCTGGGCTTAAGCAATCCTGCAGCCTCAGCCTCCCAAGCAGCTGGGACCACAGGTGCATGCCACCATGACCAGCTACTCATTTTTTTTTCCGTGAGACAGAGTCTTGCTCTGCACCCAGACTGGAGTGCAGAGGCACATGGCTCACTGCTGCCTCATCCTCCCAAGCTCAAGCAATCCTCCCATCTCAGCCTTTTGAGTAGTTGGGACTACAGGCGTGCATCACCACACCTAATTAATTTAAAAATACACATATTTGTAGAGACTGGTCTAGAACTCCTGGACTCAAGCAATTCTCCTGTCTTGACCTCCCAAAGTACTGGGATTACAGGCATGAGGCACCATGCCCAGAAGATTCCCTTCCCTCTTAATGACGAATAATATTTTGATGCATGGGCCAGGCACCGTGGCTCACGCTTGTAATCCCAGCACTTTGGGAGGCTAAGGCAGGTGGATCATGAGGTAAGGAGTTCGAGACCATCCTGGCCCACACTAAAAAATGCAAAAATTTCTAAAAATACAAAAATTAGCTGGGTGTGGTGGTGCAGGCCTGTAATCCCAGCTACTTGGGAGGCTGAGGCAGGAGAATCTCTTGAACATGGAAGGCGGAGGTTGCAGTGAGTCGATATCGCGCCACTGCACTCCAGCCTGGGAGACAGAGTGAGACGTCATCTCAAAAAAAATTTTTTTTGATGCATGTATATACTGCCTTTCTTCTGTTCATCCCATGATGGACTTGACAATTTCATTAGCTCTTTCTGCTGTAGTGATGCCTCTCAGCTGGCCTTTCCAGCTCCAATCTCAGGAATCCTCAGGCTCACCTCTTGATAACCCACAGGTGGGGTCTTCCTAAGATGATAGGTCACTGTCCTGCTTAAAGCCTGTTGATCTTTGGACATTTGTGATCCCATAGTCAGGTTTACGGCACTCTCATGGCCTGGCTATAGGTTGGTGCAAAAATGATTGTAGTTTCACCTTTAAAGTAATGGTAAGGCCGGGTGTGGTGGCTCATGCCTGTAATACCAGCACTTCGGGAGGCCGAAGTGGGCGGATCACCTGAGGTCAGGAGTTTGAGACCAGCCTGGCCAGCATGGTGAAACCCCGTTTCTACTAAAACTACAAAAATTAGCCGGGCATGGTGGCACGTGCCTGTAATCCCAGCTACTTGGGAGGCTGAGGCAGGAGAATTGTTTGAACCTGGGAGGCGGAGGTTGCAGTGAGTTGAGATCGCACCAACACACTCCAGCCTGGGTGACAGAGGGAGACTGTTTCCCCCACCCCGAACCCCCTGAAAAATTAGTGGCAAAAATCGAAATTACCTTTGCACCGATCAAATACTTCATGGTGCAATTCTGCCTCTGCTTCAGTCATGCGGTACATCTATTCCAGGCTCTGCCACCTGCATCCAACATTCACCATTTCCAAATACACTTGCACCTTCAAGTCTGTGCACACCTGGTTTCTGTGCCTGGAAAGTCTGAGTTCACTGTGTGTTGGCCTTTCTGGATCTACCTTTCTCTAGGCGATCTTTATTTTTTTTGTGGGGGGATGGAGTTTGGCTCTGCCACCCAGGCTGGAGTGCAGTGGCACAGTAATAGCTCTCTGCAGCCTCAATCTTTTAGACTGAAGCGATTCTCCAGCCTCAGCCTCCAAAGCAACTGGGACTACAGATGTGCATCACCATGCCCGGCTGATTTTTTTATTATTATTTTTTGTAGAGATGGGTTTGCCTGTGTTGCTTAGGCTGGTCTTGAACTTCTAGTCTCAAGCAATCCTCTTGCTTCAGTCTCCCCAGGTGCTGAGATTACAGGCCAAAGTCTAGGCCATAATTTTATTTTATTTTACTCACTCTGTTGCCCAGGCTGCAGTGCAGTGGCACAATCTCGGCTCACTGCAACCTCCACCTCTGGGGATCAAGCGATTCTCCTGCCTCAGCCTCCCAAGTAGCTGGGATTACAGGTGCCTGCCACCACGCCCAGCTAACTCTTGTATTTTTAGTAGAGATGGGGTTTCGCCATGTTTCCCAGGCTGGTCTCGAACTCCTGACCTCAAGTGATCTGACGGCCTCGGCCTCCCAAAGTACTGGGATTACAAGGATGAGCCACTGCGCTGAGCCAGTAGTAAGCATTTTAAAGATGATTTATGGGTTTAAAACATGCTACACAGCAGCAGCAGAAAACAGACACTCAGGAAAAGTCAGTTTCCTCTCTCCTTTCCTCCAGTCTATCTTCTAATGATGAAATAGGCAATTCACAGCTCTCATGGTTTGCTTTGCTCTAATAACTTTACAACATCCTTCTTCCTACAAGATCATCGTGAAGGGGCCTCCTGGACTGATGCGCCTGAGCGAGCCCCCTCTCCTTTCTCTGGGTCCTCGTGCAGCCTCGCCCTCCCTCTCCAGGGCAATGATCTAATAATGACTGTCTTCTATATTGGCCTGCAGTCTCCTCTCCGCTTTCCCCGCCTTGGAATTGCTATTGGCCTCTAGGGGGAGCTCAAGACCTCATCATGTTGTAGGCCCATGTCCAAGGCAGGAGTCAACTCACAGATATTCAGTAAATATTTGTGGAATGAAGGGACAGATGACTGAAGGGATGGATGTCAAAAGTAAGGATAAACCTTGGCTTCCGAAGCTTTTTCTCCGTCAACATTTTATGCTTTTGGATTCTCTCCTCTTTGCTTCGTGTTTGGCTCTGGGGCACTAAGGCCATCTTCTACTTGGATGGAAACAAATAGACCTGCCATTCCCCCCACCATTTCTCTTTAGAAAGCCAGGTGCCCAGCCGGGTGCGGCGGCTCATGCCTGTAATCCCAGCACTTTGGGAGGCCCAGGCGGGCAGATCACCTGAGGGCAGGAGTTCGAGACCAGCCTGACCAATAATTTACTAAAAAGTACAAAAAATCTACTAAAAAGTACAAAAAAATTATCTTAATTAATCTACTAAAAAGTACATTTACTAAAATTAAAAAATTAAAATTAATCTACTAAAAAGTACAATAAAGTTATCTGGCCGTGGGGGCATGCACCTGTAGTCCCAGCTACTCGGGAGGCTGAGACAGGAGAATCACTTGAACCCGAGAGGCGGAGGTTGCAGTGAGCCATGATCGCGCCACTGAACTCCAGCCCGGGCAACAGAGCGAGACTCCATCTCAAGAAAACAGAGGGCCAGTTGCCCAGTAAAGTGAGGTCCAGAGGCAAAGAACAGCTCGGTGTGGGCACTTAGGCCAGCTATTCCAGGTCTTCTAGAGAAATATTTTCATGCCAGAAGTATTTTCCTTCATGTCTTTAAAAATTGTATTTTAATTTTTTTAGACAGGCTTTGTTGCCCAGGCTGGTGCAGTGGTGCAACCATAGCTCACTGCAGCCTTGAACTCCTGGGCTCAAGGGATCATTCCCATTAGCCTCCCAAATAGCTGGGACTATAGGTGTGTGCCACCACATGGGGATAATTTTTAAAATTTTTGTAGACGTTCGGGTGCAGTGGCTCATGCCTATAGTACCAGCACTTTGAGAGGCCAAGGCGGGTGGATCACTTGTGGTCAGGAGTTCAAGACCAGCCTGGCCAATATGGTGAAACCCTGTCTCTACCAAAAATACAAAAAAATTAGCTGGGTGTAGTAGTGTGTGTCTGTAATCCCAGCTACTCAGGAGGCTGAGGCAGGAGAATCGCTTGAGCCCAGGAGGCGGAGATTGAAGTGAGCTGAGATCGCACCACTGCACTCCAGCCTGGGCGACACAGCGAGACCCCATCTCTAAAAAAAAAAATTTTTTTTAAGACGTGGTCTCCCTGTGTCTCCCAGGCTGGACTTGAACTCGTGACCTCAAACTCCTGGCCTCAAGTGATCCTCCAGCCTTGACCTCCCTAAGTGCTAGGATTACAGGCTTGAGCCACCACACCCAGCTGATTCATTGGTCATTGCCTTGGCTCATCCCAGAGTGATGAGGTCTTCTGACTCCAGAATTGCAGTCCTCTGGGAAAGAGGTAACAGTGGCTACTGAGCCTTGGTTCTTTTTTTTGAGACAGAGTCTTGCTCTGTCACCCAAGCTGGAGTGCAGTGGCATGATCTCGGCTCACTGCAACCTCCACCTCCCGGGTTTAAGCGATTCTCCTGCCTCAGCCTCCTGAGTAGCTGAGATTACAGGTGGACACCACTACCTCTGGCTAATTTTTGTATTTTTAATAGAGACGAGTTTTCTCCATGTTGGTCAGGCTGGTCTCAAACTCCTGACCTCGTGATCCACCCGCCTCAGCTTCCCAAAGTGCTGGGATTACAGGCGTGAGCCATTGCGCCTAGCAAAGCCTTGGTTCTTTGTTCACATCCTGGCGACACATAAAATCTCTGACAACTTATTTGGTGACTATGCTGCTGCTTGAGAACAAAAGTTTCAAATAGCAATAAAATGTTGCTTAGCCTGGACTTTTTCTCTGTTTCATGAAAATGACTTAAGCCTTGTGTGTGCTTGGTTGAGGATTTTGGAAACTGAATCTTAGCTTACTCATGTAGATACATATTTTTTTTTCTCTCTCAAACCTGGAGACAAACAAAAGAATGGTTGCATGGAGGAAGGATTGGTTCATTGTCAGGAAAACGTCAGAGAAACTTTCTCAAAGGGAATTACGTTTTGAGAATAAAGGAAGGGGGTTCCAAGTATAACAGATTGTATGGGAGCGAGATTCTACCACGTGGGAATGCCATGTACAAAGGTAAACAGGTGGCACAAAGCACAGGACATGGTGTGTTGATGTCAGGGATGGTTGAATCTTAGGATCTAAGGAAGGAGTGGTGAGAGATAAGGCTAGAAGTTGAGAAGTTTCTTGTAATAGCAGACCCAGGATTCATTCTTCCAACAAGCAATTTTCTCAGCCTCTATTCTGTCTTCTGTCCCAAGGGCTGTGGGTGAGTAAATAAGAAGACTCGTTTTTTGTTGTTGTTGTTTTTTGCTTCAAGGAGTGTAAACTCCTCCCCACCCCCCACAAAACCCAGAGGGGCTCCGATCCCTCCAATGGTATTGGAGAGTTAATAGAGAAAATGTCCTGCAAAATGGTCACATGATCACTGCTGTGTTTTTGTTGTTGTTGTTGTTGATGTTGTTTTTTTCGTTTGTTTGTTTTCGTTTTTGGGACACAGTCTTGGTCCATGGCCGGGGCTGGAGTGCAGCAGCGTGATCTCAGCTCACTGCAACATTGTTCCCCCAGGTTCAAGTGATTCTCCTGCCTCAGCCTCCCGAGTAGCTGGGATTACAGGTGCCTGCCGCCATGCCCGGCTAATTTTTGTATTTTTAGTAGAGACGGGGTTTCACCGTGTTGGCCAGGCTGGTCTCAAGCTCCGGGCCTCAAGTGAGGCCCACCTTGGCCTCCCAAAGTGCTGGGATTACAGGCATGAGCCACCTCGCCTGGCCCAGAGCTGTGTTTTAGAAATGTTGGTGATGCTGGTGTGGAGGATGGACTGGAGGCAGGAGACCCTAGAAGTGGAGAGTCCATTGCAATGACACAATGAAGAGAATATTTGGCTGGGCATGGTGGCTCATGACTATAATCCCAGCACTTTGAGAGGCCTAGGCAGGAGGATCACTTGAGCCTAGAAGTTCAAGACAAGCCTGGGCAACATAGTGAGACTTGTCTCTATTAAAGAAAAAAATAGACTGGGTGCTGTGGCTCACACCTGCAATCCCAGCACTTTGGGAGGCCAAGGCGGGCAGATCACTTGAGGTCAGGAGTTTGAGACTAAAAATACATCTCTACTAAAAATACAAAAAATTAGCCAGGCATGGTGGTGCGCACCTGTAATCCCGGCTACTTGGGAGGCTGAGGCAGGAGAATCGCTTGAACCCAGGAGGCGGAGGTTGCAGTGAGCTGGGATCACGCCACTGCACTCCAGCCTGGGTGACAGTGCGAGCCTCCATCTCAATAATAATAATAATAATACTTGAGGCAGATTGGGAGGAACAAAACCAGGGGATAGAATTGGAAGTTGTTTCAGAGCTAGATTTCAGAAGTACGTTGGGAAGAACTTGATAATATTTTATAATCAGTTGATCACTGGAGGTTAGGGATAAAGGAATGGACAAAGTGAGAAAGGTCTCGAGTTGTAAGGAAGAGATATATGACACAATATACCAAGATAGGTGATACAGAAGGAAAAATAAGTTTTCAGGGGAAAGGAGAAAGGAGGGTTTGGAAATTTGAATTAGCTGTGCCTGACGTTCTTACAGAAATACGTCTGGTAAACAGCTGGATGTTGTCAGATGTTCAAGATCCTCTCAGCAGGATTCAAGATACAGATTTATAAGTTATAGGGGATTTCTCCAAGCAGGGTAAGGAGGAAGAGCTTGAAATGACAACATAGTAAACAGCACTCAGAAAGGAAGGAACAAGACTGAGAGCGTGTAGTAGGGAAAAATAGGAGTAGAGAAACTTGAATGAGAGAGTGGTGAGGCTGGGTATGGCGGATCTTGCCTGTAATCGCAGCACTTAGGAAGGCTGAGGTGGGAGGATCACTTGAGCCACTAAGTTTGAGACCAGCCTGGGTAGCATAGCAAGACCCCATCTCTACAAAAAATACAAAAAAGTATCTGCTGTGGTGATGTGCACTTGTGGTCCCAGCTACTCGGGAGGCTATGCCGGGAGAATCACTTGAGTCCAGGAGTTCGAGTCTGCAGTGAACTATGATTGAATCACTGCACTCCAGCCTTGGTCACACAGGAAGAACCTGCCTTAAAAGAAAAAGAAGGAAGAAAGGAAGGAAAGAAGGAAGGAAGGAAGGAAAGAAGGAAGGAAGGAAGGGGAAGGAAGGAAGGAAAAAGAAAGGAAAGGGAAGGAAGGAGAGAGGGAAGGAAGGAAGAAAGAAACGAAGAAAGGAAGGAAGGAGGGAGGGAGGGAGGGAAGAAAGGGAGGGAGGGAAACAAGGGAGGGAGGGAAGGAAGGAAGGAAGAAAGAAAGAAACAGGGAAAGGAAAGGAAAGAAAGAAGGAAGGGAGGGAGGAAGGAAGGAAGGAAGGAAGGGAAGAAAAGGAGTGGTGAAAGGTAACAAAATCCTTGGAGAGATCTAATCTACAGACAGTGAGAAAGGATATTGGTGGCTAAGGCAGGCCATGTCACTGTTGAGATAAAGACCATGGCCACAGACTGAAGGATAGATAACAGTAATTCAGAGAATGATATTAAGAAGCTAGCTAATGGTGGTAACTAACCTTTAGGCTAATGGCTTGAAAGTCAGGAAGGGTTGAGAATAGGAATTTTCAAAAAGGAAAAGTAGCTGGGTGCGGTAGCTCACACCTGTAATCCTAACACCAGAAGAGGCCAAGGCGGATGGATCGTTTGAGCCCGGGAGTTTGAGACCAGGCTGGGCAACATGATGAAACCCTGTCTCTACAAAACATGCAAAAATTAGCCGGGCATGGTGGCACACACTGTGGTCCCAGCTACTCAGGAGGCTGAGGTGGGAGGATCACTTGAGCTTGGGAGATCGAGGTTGCAGTGAGCTGAAATCGTGCCACTGCACTCCAGCCCAGGCAACAGAGTGAGACCCTGTCTCAAGAAAAAAATAAAAAAAGTGACTGGCCTTACTGTTGAAACCTTCCCAATGCCATCGGGTGGGAATTTTGACAAAATCATTATTTTTCTTGGGTAAAACTGCTCAAATGCTGGTAATAAGTGGAGAAAGCTTCTCAATATACATCTCCCATTTCTGTCTGCTTAAAGTGTCATGTCGTGTCGTGTTATGTGACATTATGTGTAATATCTGTGAGCATTGAAATACCTGGAGTGTTGAGTACTCTCTGAAAAAAATTAATTATGCAGAGAAATGGCCTTTCTCACTAAAGAAAATCAGTGTAGGTGAAAACCCTGCTTCTCCGTTTTTTTTATTTTTAGGTTACGGTGCAGTGGCGTGATCACCGCTCACTGTGGCCTTGAACCCCCGGTCTCAAGTGATCATCCTGCCTCAGCCTCCTGTGTAGCTAGGACTACAAACACATGCCATGATGCCTAACTCATTTTATTTTCTTTTTTGTAGAGATGGAGTCTTGCTATGTTGCCCAGGCTGGTCTTGAAATCCTGGGCTCAAATAATCCTCTTGCCTCTGCCTCTCCAAGTGTTGAGACTACAGGTGTAAGCCACCACATTTGGCCCAAATTTGGCTTCTTGACTTTTGTGGCCACCAAAGCCTCTGCCTCTTACTAGTCATGTGACAATGGGCTAGCTACTTATTCTCTCTGAGTCTCAGTACTCTTATTTATAAAACAGCAAGAATATCACATTATGAGGATGTTTCTGTTGACACGCATTGTGCACCATTAATTTTCTTGGAGCCTGGCAGAGTTAGGCACTCAATAAATGTTAGCTCCCTCTTCCCCATCCCCTACCTGCATTTGATTACCAAGCATTTGATTACTTTGGCCTGAGCGAACTCCCTTAACAAATGTTTCCACCTTAGATTAAAATTAATTCAAAGACAGGGACGGGCAACACATCCTGTAAGGGACTAAGAAAATGGCATTAATTTTGCAAATTAATAAATATGCAAATGGCAGCTTTGCATAGACTAGGCTATATAAGCAGGAGTTAAATTGTGCTGTAAATTATGCAGTGCCATATGGAGCAGATACCCTTGACTTCGCATGCAAGGCAGAGAAAGCAGAAGCAGCCCTTGCTGTAATGGCTTCTGAGAGTGAGTGGCATGTTCGTCCAATGGCAAGCCCGGTGCTGAGTCACGCAGCTGACTCTGGAGTGGCAGTGGGAGCCCCATGGCGAACAGGCTGCAACCCAGTTATTGCTGAGAATAGTCTGGTAAAGAACACTCTGTAGTCACCAAGAGGATGGTCACCCACCAGCTCATGTGAGACAGCCACTTGTGCACTGATCGCACCGCTTGGGGGAGGTGGTAGGACGGGAGGGCTCTCTTGGGTTTCCAGAGCCTGAGCTGGTATCGCCACCATTCCAGCTTCAAGGCAGGTGTGACTGGCCTGGGGACATGTGAGTTGCTGCTAGATTGATACATCAATCACTAAGAAACAAATAGTCTAAGAACGGTCCAGGTGTTCTGCATTTTGCTAAATAGATGCTGGAGGGCAGCAGTTTCTTGTTGTGATTATTCAGCAGTATCACCCAGGGAACTTTTTAAAAATAGATTCCTGGGCTCCTGCCTCTGGAATTCTCATGCAGCTGGTCTGGGCTGGGATCTGGGAACCTGTTTTCTTTTTTTGAGACAGGATCTCACTCTGTCGCCCAGGATGGAGTGCAGTGGTGCGATCATAGCTCACTGCAGCCTCAACGTCCAGGGCTCACGCAATCCTCCCACCTCAGCCTCCTGAGTAGCAGGAACTACAGGTACACACTACCATGACTGGCTAATTTTTGTATATTTTTCTAGAGACAAGGTCTTCTTATGTTTCCCAGGGTGGGCTTGAACTTCTGGCCTCAAGCAATCCTCCTGCCTTGGCATCCCCAGTAGCTAGGATTATAGGGTACACCATGACTGTCTAATTAAAAAAAAATTTATAGAGACAGGATCTTGCTATGTTGCCCAGGCTGGTCTTGAGCTTGTAGCCTGAAGCCATTCTCCTGCCTTGGCCTCCGGAAGTACTGGGATCCACCAGTATTTTCAATGTGGCCTCCCCCTCACACTCCTGCAATAAAAGAGGTTTAATTGGCTTATGGTTCTGCAGGTTGTACAGGAGGCATGGAGCTGGCATCTGCTCAGCTTCTGGGAAGGCCTCAGGAAACTTACAATCATGGTGGAAGGCAAAGGATAAGTAGATACTTCACGTGGCTGAAGTAGGAGCAAGAGAGAGAGGGAGGATATGTTACACACTTTTGAAACAACCAGGTCTCAGGAGAACTCTGTCATAAGAACAGCACTAAAGGGAAGGTGTTAAAGCATTCATGAAGGATCCATCCCCGTGATCCAATCACTTCCCACCAGGCCCCACCTCCAACACTGGGGATTACAATTCCACGTGAGATTTGAGTAGGGACAGAGATCCAAACCATATCACCTGGACTTATACACTTGGCATGATGGAAAACACCCATTCAGAAAACCACACAGAAAACAACGCCTGCACAACTGTGGCACTTACCACGCAAACTCAACACTGCAGTAGAAGCGTGGGCTTTACGGTTATCACGACGTGCCAATAAATCCTGCGTTCTTCATGTTCAATGCTGGAACCTTGGACATAATTCCTCAAGTCTTGGTATGTTTAACTGTAAAATGGGAATGATTAAAAAAGACATGATCTCCCAGAGCAGCTAAGAGGGTTAAAAGAGAAAACACGGCCGGGTGCGGTGGCTCATGCCTGTAATCCCAGCACTTTGGGAGGCCGAGGCAGGCGGATCAGGAAGTCAGGAGATCGAGACCATCCTGGCTAACATGGTGAAACCCTGTCTCTACTAAAATTTTGTAAAAAATACAAAAAATTATCCGGGTGTGGTGGCGGGCGCCTATAGTCCCAGCTGCTTGGGAGGCTGAGGCAGGAGAATGGCGTGAACCTGGGAGGCAGAGCTTGCAGTGAGCCAAGATTGCACCACTGCACTCCAGCCTGGGCGACAGAGCGAGACTCCAAAAAAAAAGAGGAAACACATTTTTTTTGTTTTTGTTTTTGAGACGTAGTCTCACTCTGTCACCCAGACTGGAGTGCAATGACCCAATCTCGGCTCACTGCAACCTCTGCCTCCCAGGTTTCAGCAATTCTCCTGCCTCAGCCTCCCAAGTAGCTGGGACTACAGACGCCTGCCACCACACCCGGCTAATTTTTGTATTTTTAGTAGAGGCGGGGTTTCCCCATGTTGGTCAGGCTGGTCTCGAACTCCTGACCCCAGGTGATCCACCTCCATCAGCCTCCTAAAGTGCTGGGATTACAGGCGTGAGCCACCGCACCTGGCCTAGGAAACACGTTTAAAGGCAGAAGGGATTTAAGGAAGTAATGAGGTGTTTTAAGTAATTAAGTAATTAAGACTATGTCCTGAGTCCGATCTGCCTCTCTAAAACATCCACTGAATCCGGCTGCTGTTTCTATCCTCTGAGCCAACCCTTTTCTACTTGGCAGGGCTTCATATCCTCTCTAAAGCCTGAGATCCTGCCCCTCCGCATCTCATTTCCGGGCTAAACATTTCCATGGATCCATGAGAGCTGGCTGTGTTTGCCATCCCTGGAGATATCTCATTTTACAGCTGGGCAAACCCCAGCATGCACAGTTCATGTCTTTGAAAAGTCGTGCCGTTATAGAAATGTCTGGGCAGCAGGTGGCAAAATGGTGTTGTTATCGGAGCCACATAGATAATCACGCCTTGCTACTAATCATTCTCCATCTCTTTCGCGCTTTGTAATTTACAAGGGCCTTCCACGTCCATTACCCACCCCCCCACCCTTCCAGCAACCGGTGGGAGGTGATTGAATATGGAGATGCTAGCCATGCCCTTGGACAGCACGCTGTCCTTTTCAAAGCACTTCTACTCCCATTATCTCACTGGATCTCCCTCACACCCTCAGAAGATGGAAACTGCGGGAATGATCAGAAGAAGAAACCAGGAAACAGAGCACTTGCTGGCAAAGATCCCATACAACCAATGACTACATCCAGGCCTGGACTCAGATGCAGCCTCTCCTAACACCGTGTGCTGATTCCTAGACATAAAATCCACTGCCCCTACCACTCCTTTCCTAAACAAGTGGATTTTTTTTCTTTCTTTCTTTCTTTTTTTTTTTTTTGAGACAGGGTCTCACTCTGTCACCCAGACCGGGTGCAATGGCATGATCACGGCTCACTGCAGCCTTGACCTTTCCTGGCCCAAGTGATCCTCCTGCCTCAGCCTCCTAAATAGCTGAGACTACAGGCATGCACCACCATATCAGGCAATCTTTTTTTCTTTTTCTCCTTTTTTTTTTTTTTTTGAGGCGGAGTCTCACTCTGTTGCCCAGGCTGGAGTGCGCGGTGCGATCTCAGCTCACTGCAACCTCCGCCTCCTGGCTTCAAGCGATTCTCATGCCTCAGCCTTTTGAGTAGCTGGGATTACAGGCACGTGCCACCATGCACAGCTAATTTTTTTGTATTTTTAGTAGAGATGGGGTTTTGCCATGTTGACAAGGCTGGTTTTGAACTCCTGACCTGAGGTGAACCACCCGCTTCAGCCTCCCAAAGTGCTGGGATTACAGGCATGAGCCCCTGCACCACATTCTTCAAGCTATTATAAAATATACACTTAAGTTATTATTGACTATAGTCACCCTATTGTGCTATGCAATACTAGGTCTTGTTTGTTCTTCTATTTTTTTTTTTTGTAACCATTAACTACTTTCTCTTGCCCCCAACCAAACTTATTTTTGGAAGCTTCATCCTATGATATATAAAAATGTACCATATCCTGCAATAAACACTCACACACACACACACACACACACACACACACACGTGTACGTATGTAGGTCAGTGGGTTGCAGTTGGTTTGTCACCTTAAGATCTGTAAACAAGGGCTGGCGTGGTGACTCACACCTGTAATCCCAGTACTTTGGGAGGCCGAGGCGGGTGGATCACCTGAGGTCGGGACTTCGAGACCAGCCTGACCAACATGGAGAAACCCTGTCTCTACTAAAAATACAAAATTAGCCGGGCGTGGTGGCACACGCCTGTAATCCTAGCTACTTGGGAGGCTGAGGCAGGAGAATCAACTGGTGGAGGTGGAGGTTGCAGTGAGCCCAGATAGAGCCACTGCCCTCCAGCCTCCAGCCTGGGCAACAAGAGTGAAACTCCATCTCAACCACAACATCAATAAAAGATCTGTAAACATTTAATTAGACATGCATATTAATGTTTGGCTTTGTAGTTTTCTTCTCACATTTTGGGACCATTTGGGAAACTGTCTCAGGTGCGGCTATGAGGCTCTACGGGGTTCTTTGTTTTCTGCCAAAGCATTCTGGTGAAATATTTCTCAACATGAGCCTCCGTGTGCTTTTCCATATGCTTAACGCGATAGCTCAGGATGTCTGCACAAGTGACTTCACTCCTCGGGGACTTTCCCCCTTCTTACATCTGTGTGCCTGAGGCTAGAGTCTCCCTCCTGAGCTGCTCCCATCTGCATCAGCAGATTGGGAGGCCTGTGGCACGGCTGTCTCCTGAGGTCCTCTTTCATCATCACCCTGGTGAAAGCATTCATCTCTCTCTGATGTTAGATTCTTTGTTTTGGGAATCCCAGACCTTCCACTTTCTTAATGCACTCCCTCATTTTAGCAAAACAACATCATATAGG
This sequence comes from Homo sapiens, assembly GCF_000001405.40. Lineage (NCBI taxonomy): Eukaryota > Metazoa > Chordata > Mammalia > Primates > Hominidae > Homo > Homo sapiens. Next base: position 68,187,956 of record NC_000007.14, read on the forward strand.
GGAATTCTCTCTCTGTCTCTCTCTCGCTCGCTCTCTTCTGTTTTTTAGAGATGGGATCTTGCTTTGTTGTCCAGGCTAGTCTCGAACTCCTGGACTCAAGTGATCTGCCCACCTTGGTCATATAGGGAAGTCCCGAGAAAGGTGCTTGAAAGTGTGGGAAGTCTTTTCCTTTTATTTTTAGGTGTCTTTTTTTGTTCTCAATAATCTCAATAAGATGTATTTGTGTCTGTGTGTGTGTAAGGACGTATTTGTGTCCTTATACACATGGACATAAATATGTCTTCACCCTCTCCCTTCCCAACACACACATTAAGAGGTTTGTTTTATAAATGTGGAATAATAGACACTGGAGGCCTAAAAAGGTGAGGGGGTATGTTGCGGGGAGTAAGCATTGAAAAATTACTTATTACTATTACTATTTAGGTACTATTTTTTTTTTTTTTGAGACGGAGTCTCACTCTGTCCCCAGGCTGGAGTGCAGTGGCGCAATCTCGGCTCACTGCAACTTCCAGCTCCCGGGTTCAAGTGATTCTCCTGCCTCAGCCTCCCGAGTAGCTGGGATTACAGGAATACACCACCATGCCCAGCTCATTTTTGTATTTTTAGTAGAGATGGGGTTTCACCATGTTGGCCAGGATGGTCTTGATCTCCTGACCTCATGATCCACCCGTCTTGTCCTCCCAAAGTGCTGGGATTACAGGCATGAGCCACCTAGCCTGGCCTGGGCACTATTACTAACGGTACCCAAATTACTATTTTAGCAATGGCTGAACTAAAAGTCCAGACTTCATCACTATGTAATATATGCATGTAAGAAACCTACACTTCTGACCCTTAAATATATAAACATTTTTTAAAATTACTGTTTGCCCCATGAATATGTACAATTATTATTTTTCAATTTAAAAAATTAAAAATATAGGCCAGGCGAGGTGGCTTACACCTGCAATCCCAGCATTTTGGGAGGCCGAGGTGGTTGGATCACCTGAGGTCAGGAGTTCAAGACCAGCCTGACCAACGTGGTGAAACCCCATCTCTACTAAAAAATATAAAAATTAGCCGGGCATGGTGGCTCCCAACTGTAATCCCAGCTATTTGGGAGGCTGAGGCCGGAGAATCACTTGAACCCAATAGGTAGAGGTTGCAGTGAGCCGAGATAGCACCACTGCATTGCAGCCTGGATGACAAAGTGAGACTCCGTCTCCCAAAATAAAAGAAAATAAAATATAAAAAATACCCCCCCATAGAGTTTTGTTTTATAATATGACAGTTTTGATCTTGGATTCTATTTACATTTTTCTTGAAACAATCTAATTTGCCTCAAGGCAACGTAGATGACTTTGACTATTGTAAGGCGTATACATGTAAAGGTACGGGAAATAAAGCAGAAAAGTGAATGTTATTTAGTGAGTTGTGTACCCCACACCAAGATTCAGATGTTGAAGCCTTAACCTGCAATGAGATTGTATTTGGAGATAAAGTCTTCAAGGAGGTAATTACATTTACACGAGGTCATAAGGGTGGAGCTCTAATCCAATAGGCCTAGGGTCTTTATAAGAAGAAAAAAGGCCAGGCGTGGTGGCTCACACCTGTAATCCCAGCACTTTGGGAGGCTGAGACTGGCGGATCATCTGAGGTCAGGAGTTTGAGACCAGCCTGACTAACAAGGTGAAACCCCGTCTCTACTAAAAATAAAAAAATTAGCTGGGCATGGTGGCACACGCCTGTAATCCCAACTACTCGGGAGGCTGAGACATGAGAATTGCTTGAACCTGGGAGGCAAAAGTTTCAGTGAGCGGAGATTGCACCACTGTACTCCAGCCTGGGCGACAGAGCAAGAGTCCATCCCAAAAAAAAAAAAAAAGAAGAAGAAGAAGAAGAGACACCAGATACCAGGGACGTGCACAGAGAGAAAGGGCCATCTGAGAACACGGTCTGCAAGCCAAGGAAAGAGGCCTTGAGAGAAAGCACAAAAATAAGTGTTACAGAGTGATTGTGTCCCCTGCCCCAAGATTCAGATGTTGAAGGCTTAACCTGCAATGTGATTGTATTTGGAGATAAGGTTTTGTTTTTTGTTTTGTTTTGTTTTTTGAGACAATGTTTCACTCCAGTCACCCAGGCTGGAGTGCAGTGGCGCCATCTCGGCTCACTTCAATCTCTGTCTCTCAGGCTCAAACGATCCTCCTGCCTCAGCCTCCCAAGTAGCTGGGACTACAGGCACACACTACTGTGCCAGGCTAATTTTTGTGGTTTTTTGTAGAGATGGGGTTTTTCCGTGTTGGCCAGTCTGGTCCTGAACTCCTGATCTCAAGTGATCCACCGGCCTCAGCCTTCCATAGTGCTGGGATTACAGGCATGAGCCACCGGTTCCCAGCCAGCATAAAGTCTTCAAGGAGGTAATTAAGTTTACATGAGGTCATAAGGTTGGAGCTCTAATGGTATCAGGACTTAGTGTCCTTATAAGAAGAAGAAGAGGCCAGTCGCAGTGGCTCACGCCTGTAATCTCAGCACTTTGGGAGGCTGAGGGGGGCGGATCACCTGAGTTCAGGAGTTCAAGACCAGCCTGACTAACATGGAGAAACCCAATCTCTACTAAAAATATAAAATTATCCAGGTGTGGTGGCGAGTGCCTGTAATCTCAGCTACTCGGGAGGCTGACGCAGGAGAATTGCTTGAACCCGGGAGGCAGATGTCCTGGTGAGCCAAGATCGTGCCATTGCCATTGCACTCCAGCCTGGGCAACAAGAGCGAAACTCTGTGTCAAAAAGAAGAAGAAGAAGAGCTCTATGCACACAGAGCAAAGTCCATCTGAGGACAGTCTGCAAGCCGAAGACATAGCCTTGGGAAAAAGCAACCCTACTTGCACCTTGATTTCAGACTTCCAGCCTTCAGAGCTGGGAGAAACACATTTCTGTTGTTTAAACCACCCAGTCTGTGGTATTTTGTTACAGCTGTCCTAGCAGAGTAATACAATGAGTATTTTAAGGTTTGTAATCTCACTCTGTGGTAGTATGTGTTCATCAGCATCTTATCTGATGCTGAGAGAAATTCACTGAAATAGTTAAAAAAATAAACAGAAAAGTAAAGGCCTCGCGGTGGCTCACATCTGTAAACCCAGCGCTTTGGAAGTCTGAGGCGGGAGAATTGCTTGAGCCCAGCGGGAGTTTGAGACAAGCCTGGGCAACATAGTGAGACCCTGTCTCTACAAAAATATAATCAAATTAGCCATGTGTGATGGCGGGTGCCTGTAGTCCCATTTACTCAGGAGGCTGATGTGGGGGATCGCTTGAACCCAGGAGGCAGTGAGTTGTGGTGGTGTGCCATTGCACTCCAGCCTGGGCAACAGAGCAAGGCTCTGTCTCAATCAATCAATCAATCAATCAATCAAGGGTCCTACTAAGAGACATATTTCCAAGAATGATCAGGACCAGCTGAACAGCTCAAAAGCAGCCTCCTGTAAACGCTTTCTTCCCTAGTAGCTGCACAGCTCCCTGGAGTCTTCTAACCCATAGATCTCACCTGCCTGTCTGGATCTGCTGGGTGAGTGTTCTTTGTGCTGGTGGGTTGCAGCGTTTGTGTCTTCTGCTGTGATGGAGTGATTTGGGAGCTAGGGAATGCCCGCGTGTCATTGATTTGTCATTTGAAAGTTAAATCACAGACCTGGATGGTGGCCAGGAGTTGGGGCTGGCTCTCCCCTCTTCTTCCGTTTTACGCACCTGTGTATTGACTGATAAGTTGCAGTGCTCCCTGCTGCATTTCACAAACAATCCGGCAAATCCTCGAGATTTATTTTAACGATTGATTAGAAAAGTCAATGTTGTACACAAAGGATTAAAAAAAAGAAATATTTGGAATCTACTTAAGTACCTGTTATCGCAAAGACAGTCTAGACTGCTCCAAATTTATATGCCACAGACAGGAAGAGAAGGAAAATTTCTTTTTATAAATTGCATAGTCTATAAAACGGAAGGAACATGAACTGGCCTCCAAATGACATTAATCCTACCCTGTTTCTATCTACTGGTCAATAGAGTGACCTTGATCAATTTGTTTAACCTCCCCAAATCCCAGTTTAGTTATTTATTTTGTTATACTAAAGAAACACATATGGCTTCAGGATTCCTCAAGGATCTAGAACCAGAAATACCATTTGACCCAGCAATCCCATTACTGGGTATAGACCCAAAGGATTATAAATCATTCTACTATAAAGACACATGCACATGTATGTTTAATGCAGCACTGTTCACAATAGCAAAGACTTGGAACCAACCCAAATGCCTATCAATGATAGACTGGATTAAGAAAATGGGCACATATACACCATGGAATAATATACAGCCATAAAAAAGAATGAATTTATGTCTTTTCAGGGACATGGATGAAGCTGGAAACCATCATCCTCAGCAAACTAACACAGGAACAGAAAACCAAACACTGCATGTTCTCACTCATAAGTGGGAGTTGAACAAAGAGAACACATAGACACAGGGAAGGGAACATCACACACTGGGGCCTGTCGGGGATAGGGGGAAAGGGGAGGGAGAGCATTAGGGCAAATACCTACTGCATGCAGGGCTTAAAACCTAGATGACGGGTTGATGGGTGCAGCAAACCACCATGGCACATGTATACCTATGTAACAAACCTGCACATTCCGCACATGTATCCCAGAACATAAAGTAAAATAATAAAAAGAAAAAAATGCATAACATAAAACTTATCCTACTTTTTTTTTTTTTGAGATGGAGCCTTCCTCTGTTGCCCAGGCTGGTGTGCAATGATTCGATCTCAGCTCACTGCAACCTCCGCTTCCCAGGTTCAAGTGATTCTCCTGCCTCAGCATCCTGAGTATCTTAACCATTGTTAAGTGTACAGTAGCATTAACTACAAGCATGGTGTTATGCAAAAATCACTGGAATGTTTTTGTCCTGCAAAACTGAAACTCTAAACCCATTGAACAACTTTTTCTCCCTCCTCCTCTCTACCCCTGGCAACCCCCATTCTACTTTTCATTTCCAAAAAGCTAGACTTTTTTTTATCATTATTAATAAAACCCATCTACAAAAAGAGAGACGCCATTCCAAACTTTCCTGCCTCCAGTCTTTGTTGTGAGGCAATGCTGAGTCAAGGTCAATGAAATTGCTCTGGAAGCAAAATCACTCTTCGAGTGCCAGCGGTTATTTAAAACATGAGCCCGCCTCACCAAGTTAAGTAAGGAGGATCTTGATGTAAATCTGGCATTAGGCTTAAAAATTCTAACAGTCTGGTTATTTGGAGATACGCAGAATTTCTTATTGTGTTTGTACACTCACAGTTTTGAGGAGAACTGGAAAAAGAGATTGAAAGGTTGTGTTTCAGGGAAACCTCTTTTTTTAAATATAGATAAGCAAATGTTAAGTTGAAAATTATTCTGGCTGGGGCCGGGTGCAGTGGCTCACGCCTGTAATCCAAGCACTTTAGGAGGCAGAGGCAGGCGGATCGCCTGAGGTCAGGAGATCAAGACCAGGCTGGCCAATATGGCGAAACCCTGTCTCTGTTAAAAATACCAAATTTATCCAGGTGGTGGTGGCGGCGGGGGCCTGCAGTCCCAGCTACTCAGGAGCCTGAGGTAGGAGAATGAATCGCTTGAACCCGAGAGGCAGAGGTTGCGGTGAGCCAAGATCTTGCCACTGCACTGCAGCAGTTTGAGAGGCCGAAGCGGGCAGATCAATTGAGGTCAGGAGTTCGAGACCAGCCTGGCCAACATGGTGAAACCCCATCTCTACTAAAAATACAAAAATTAGCCGGGAGTGGTGGCACCTTCCTGTAGACCCAGCTACTCGGGAGGCTGAGGTGCAAGAATCGCTGGAATCGGGAGGCAGAGGCTGCAGAGAGCTGCCATTGCCCACTGCACTCCAGCCTGGGGGATAGAGCAAGACTCTGTCTCAAAAAAAAAGAAAGGAAATTGACTTGGACTTTCATCTTTGTTTATCCTGGTTCAGTTCTTATTATATTGCAATCATTGTAGTTTGACCTTTGTCACCTGTCACCTTGGTCAGCTGATTTCCAAAAACTGTGAGGATGCCTTGGTGAATGCACAAAGGAAATGCTTCAACTTTGAGTTCCAGTTATTTATTTATCTATTTTTTTAGACGGAGTCTCACTCTGTCGCCAGGCTGGAGTGCAGTGGCATGATCTCGGCTCACTACAACCTCCACCTCCTGGGTTCAAGCGATTCTTCTGCCTCAGCCTCCCGAGTAGCTGGGATTACAGGCACCTGCCACCACGCCTGGCTAATTTTTGTATTTTTAGTAGAGACGGGATTTCAACATCTTGGCCAGGCTGGTCTCGAACTCCTGACTGCAGGTGGTCTGCTTGTCTCAGCCTCCCAAAGTGCTGGGATTACAGGCGTGAGCCACCGCGTCAGGCCCATAGTTCATCCTTTAAAATTAATCTATTTTTGTGTTTTATAACGTATACAACATATTAGTACTTGGGTACATGTAAATAATTTCTAAATAAAAATATATGTATATTGAAGTGTAATGTGTCTTCTAAAATTTAATGTTATTTTTAACTTATGGCATACACCAACAAAAAGCTTCAAAGGCCAATAACTGATTTCCTGTGTCATTCAGTTCTCCAGAGAAAGAGAACTGATAGGATTTATTTATCTCTTTCTTTCTTTCCTAGGGATGAGTATTATGAGAGACAGAGAAACAGAGAGAGTGTAAGAAATTGGCTTATATGGGCCAGGCACGGGGGCTCATGCCTGTAATCCCAGCACTTTGGGGGGCCAAGGAGGGTGGATCACCTGAGGCCAGGAGTTCGAGACCAGCCTGGCCAACATGGTGAAACCCCATCTCTACTAAAAATACAAAAATTAGCCAAGCATGGTGGCAGGCACCTGCAATTCCAGCTACTGGAGAGGCTGAGGCTGGAGAATTGCTTGAACCCAGGAGGTGGAGGTTGCAGTGAGCCGAGATCATGCCACTGCCCTCCAGCCTGGGCAATAAGAGTGAGACTCCATCTAAAAAAAAAAAAAGAAAAAAAAAAGAAGAAATTGGCTTATATGATTATAGGGACTGGCAAGTCCAAAATCTGTAAGGGCAGGCTGGAAGCTAACTGGGGCAGAATTTGTCTGTTACAGTCTTGAGGTAGAGTTTTTTCTTCTCCAGAAAACCTCAGTTTTATTCTTTTTTTTTTTTTTAATGGAGTTTCCTTCTTGTTGCCCATGCTGGAGTACAATGGCACTATCTTGGCTCACCACAACCTCTGTCTCCTGGGTTCAAGCCATTCTCCTGCCTCAGCCTCCCAAGTAGCTGGGATTGCAGGTTCCTGCCATTATGCCCAGCTAATTTTTTGTATTTTTAGTACAGACAGGGATTTTGCCATGTTGGCCAGGCTGGTCTCGAACTCTTGACCTCAGGTGATTCACCTGCCTCGGCCTCCCAAAGTTCTGGGATCAGAGGCGTGAGCCATCGCACCCGGCCCTCAGTTTTATTCTTAAGGCCTTCAACTGATTGAAAAAGGCTCTGCCATATGACAGACTTTACTTAAGCCCACTTCACTTAAGTCTACTTTAAAGTCAACGGATTGGTCAGGCATGGTGACTCACGCCTGTAATCCCAGCACTTTGGGAGACTGAGGTGGGAGGATCACCTGAGTCCAGGAGTTCGAGAACAGCCTGGTCAACATGTTGAGCCCCTGCCTCTACTAGAAATCCAAAAATTAGCCGGGCACAGTGGTGTCTGCCTGCAATCTCAGCTACTCAGGAGGCTGAGGCAGGAGAATTGCTTGAATCTGGGAGGCAGAGGTTGCAGTGAGCTGAGATTGCACCACTGCACTCCAGCCTGGGCAACAGAGCAAGACTCTGTCTCAAAATAAATAAATAAATAAATAAATAAATAAATAAATAAATAAATAGTAAAGTCGATGATTGTAGTTGTTAATCACATCCACAAGACACCTTCACAGAAACACCTAGATTAGTGTTTGATTCCATAAGTGGGTACCACAGCCTAAGCAGGTTGACACATAAAACTCACCATCACCCTACCCTATTGCCAGGTTCCCTAAATTGGCATCCCAACTCTAGTCTATGCCTATTCTGAGCGCCTTCCATGCCATTTCCAGGCTCAGCTTACTGAAGGAAATCTCTGGCCAGGTCTCTCCTCTGCTTAACTTCCACCACCCCCAGAAAAAGACCAAGACTGACATCTGCTCCTTTTTAGACTGTGGTCCAAGCTCTCCCTACCCCTCTCCCCTGGCTTTCTGTCAACATAAACATCTCATTCATGCTCACTCTTGCTCCCTGCTGCTCTCCATCCCATCGCACCCCCATGCCTAGGCTTTTCTGTTACTGTGCCCTGTATTAGGCCATACTCGCTTTGTTATAAAGAAATACCTGAGACCAGGTAATTTATAAGAAGAGAGGTTTAATTGGCTTCTGGTTCTGTAGGCGGTATAGGAAGCATGGCGGGATTTGCTTTTGGGAAGGTCTGAGGGAGCTTTCAATAATGGCAGGAGGCAAAGGGGGACACAGGCACTTCACATGGCTGGAGAAGGAGCAAGAGCGGGAAGAGGGGGGCGGAAGTGGTGCTACACACTTTCAAACCACCAGATTTCGAGATAACTCACTCACTATCATGAGAACAGCACCAAGTGGATGGTGTTAAACCATTCATGAGAAATCCACCTCCATGACTCAATCACCTCCCACCATGCCCCACCTCCAACTTTTGGAATTACAATTGAAAATGAGATTTGGGTGTTGACACACATCCAAACCATATTATGGCCCCTGAAAACATGCCATTCCCATCAGTTGTCACATCTTCTTCTGGCTTTACCTGTCAAAATCCTACACTCTTCAATCAATATGTCCACTCTCCAACCTTATCTTACTCTGAAATGTGCTTCTTCCACTGTATTTCTGGGGCTCAGTTAATGTATTCCTTCTCCTGGCATCAGCTAGAAATTGCAAATACAAATTATATAGATGGCAGAGTGTGAGAAGATATTCCCAATGCCTAAAACAGTCAAGGGAATAATTTCTAGAATATACAAAGAAATCCTGCAAACCAACAACAACAACAAAAAGGACAAAAAAAAAATAGAAAAATATTTCTATTGCCTAATATATTTCAAGGCAATTCACAGAAGAATGAGCTGTGGTAGGCAAAAAGAATATAGATAAATACTTAAATAAATGAAAAGTAGAACAGCATTGAGATGGTTCTACATCACTACAGATGGCAAAAATTAAAAAGACAGGTAATACCAAATATTGTATAGGAGGTGGCTGACTTCATGTCTTTCTCTGTCTTTACCTATCACTCTATTGATTTTATTGAATTCCTTAGCTCAGCTTTGTCTCTGAACCCTACACATGCAAATCCAACCCATTTTAGATATCTCTGCTTCAAAGTTCCATTGGTTTGTTAAATGCAACATGTCCCATACTGAACCTGTGCTATGCTTCTCTAAATGTGTTTCTCCTCCTCTGTATCCTGTCCCAAAGAGCCACCCATCATTCTCTACTCTACCTAAGTCATTCAAATCCCTGGCTCCTCCTTCCCCTTCACCCTCACTGTCCGTGACAAAGTCCTGTATATTTTCCAGCTAAAGTGTAGCAGATATCTGTTCCCCACGTTCCATTCTTTTTTTTTAATTTTTGAGATGGAATCTCACTCTGTCACCAGGCTGGAGTGCTGTGGTGCGATCTCAGCTCACTGCCACCTCCGACTCCCTGGTTCAAGCGATTCTCCTGCCTCAGCCTCCTGAGTAGCTGGGATTACAGGTGCACATCACCATGCCCAGCTAATTTTTGTATTTTTAGTAAAGACAAGATTTCACCATGTTGGCCAGGATGGTCTCAATCTCCTGACCTCATGATCCGCCCGCCTCAGCCTCCCAAAGTGCTGGGATTACAGGCGTGAGCCACCGCGCCGGGCCTCCATACTTTACAAATGTGACCCTAGCTCAGGCCACTCTCATTTCTTGCCTGAACTACTGAAATTGTTTGTCATTTGTTTTTCCTCCGTACAATCTTGCTAGCTAATATAATACTGACAGATTTCTAAGAATATGGCCCACTCCATGACCTGAAAACACTTGGCTTTCTCTCTGGTGGGAGGGAAGGACATGTGAGCAAATCATTACAATCCTATCCCATGAGAGGCTTGCAATGAGGGAGGGGAGAAGCGTAGTAACTACGGGAGCAGGGAGGAAGACTAGCCAATCCTACCATCCACCCATCTCTCAAAAACCATGCAAGTGATCTTCCTAAAACGCAGGTCTCACCAAATGCCCGAGTCTTTAAACTTTCCAAAGGCTGCTTTTAGGATGAACTCCTTGACACAATGTAAGCCCATGCATGGACAATCTTTGCCTACTTGTATAAATTTTTTCTTTCTTTTTTTTTTTTTTTTTGAGATGATGTTTTGCTCTTGTTGCCCAGGCTGGATGGAGTGCAATGGTGCGATCTCGGCTCACCACAACCTCCGCCTCCCGGGTTCAAGCAATTCTCCTGCCTCAGCCTCCCGAGTAGCTGGGATTACAGGCATGCGCCACCACACCCGGCTAATTTTGTATTTTTAGTAGAGACGGGGTTTCTCCATGTTGGTCAGGCTGGTCTTGAACTCCCGACCTCAGGTAATTCGTCCAGCTTGGCCTCCCAAAGTGTGGGATTACAGGCATGAGCCACCGCACCCACCCTTTGTATAACTCTTTTACAAATTCTTGGGCAATGATAGACTACTCATAATATTCAACACACACACAAACCATCCTTTCTATTCCCCTTTGATGGACCAACCTTTACAAACTGCTTTAAATTGAATGTTAATTTGAGTTGGTAAAAAAAAAAAAAGTTCCAGTTTGGATGAAGTTGCATTTAAAATATTTCCAGTTGCCTCCTGTCACTTCCTTGATAAAGGAGGTAAATAATAATGCAACACACATTACGGTCATGAAATGCCAGCAGTGTGCAATGCATTATACTAAACATTATGGGGAAGGCAAAGAGAATTTAGCCAAACTCAATCACCTGCTCTCTCCCAATCTCCCCAACTCCACATCAATAAGCTGTCTCTAGACAGACTTGCAAGCTCTCTGTCCTTTCATCACTCCACACTGAACTCCTGCCTCACCCATGCAGCACGATTCCTTCCTATTCTATGTTATTCCTGCTTGTGTACACGGCCAATCCCTGCCCACGTTCAGAGTCTGATCTCCTTTAATGTAGGGGTGCTTTCTGATTTATCTTTGTATGGTGTCTGGCACTACAGTCTACTACTGAATAAATTCACTGAATTAATGAGAGATAGTTCTTGCTTTCTTTTTTTTTCTTTTTCTTTCTTTCTTTTTTGTTTTTTGAAACAGAGTCTCACTCTGTTGCCCAGGCTGGAGTGCAGTGGCATGATCTTGGCTCACTGCAACCTCTCCCTCCTGGGTTCAAGCAATTCTCCTGCTTCAGCCTCCCGAGTAGCTGGGAGTCCAGGTGCCCACCACCATGACTGGCTAATTTTTGTATTTTTAGTAGAGATGGGGTTTCACTATGTTGGCCAGGCTGGTCTCGAACTCCTGACCTCAAGTGATCCACCTGCCTCAGCCTCCCAAAGTGCTGGGATTACAGGCATGACCCACTGCAGCCAACCAATACTTTTTGTTTTCTAGGAGCTCACAAATTGTCTACTGACTATGATATTAAGAGCAAATTTCCCAGCAAAGATGTCAGAGTCTTCTGGAACTAGGCACTGCCTTACCTGTTCAGCTGGCCTGACTCATTCATTCACTTAAACAATATTCATTGAGATGGGTAGTAAAGACATACATTCAGAACCGACCCCACGCTAGGCCCAGCTCTAAGATGCTCAGGATAAAATAATAATAATAAAAAAAGATTGGATGTGACCCTTGCCCTACTAGCATGTATAGGAGAAAGAGGCTACCAACCCTAAATAAATGAACAATAATTACAAATTGTGAAAAGCTCTATGAGAGAAACAAGTGGTGTTTTATGAGAGAGCTTAGAGTGGGGCGCTCAGCTATTCTCCTGGCTGGAATGTTCATTGACCTCTCTCTGCCAGTCTTAACCCCAGACCTCTTTTAACCCATGGCTGAGTTCCCGGAAGTCTTCCCTGATTACTGCAAGCCCTGCCTGACTCCTAAAACATTTATTATGTGCACCACAAAATACGCATAACTCTTCCAGCCAAGAAAGCTGCATTGGAGCCTGTGACACATGCTTATCTAGTACACGAGCTACAGAGGTGATCACTGTAGCCACCAGGCCTCCTTTCAGTCATCCATCACGCAGGCCCTTCCATGCTAACAGAACCAGGCTCATGGGCAAAACAGTGCAATTTCTGGGATCTTTTTGTATACTCTTTTAGCGACGGAGAGAAAGGTCCCATCCACCGCAGCCACCCCAAACCCACAATCGCAGTAAGCTGATTGCAAAGTTCAATATCCATCCGTCTAACTTACCCTTTCTTGACCCTAGCTTGACTCATCCTCACTTGGAGGTAGCCATAAATAATCTTTCTTCCCTTTCCCGCTATCTCTACCTCATGCTGAAGACTTTACTCATGATTAACTCATTTGTAATGGCTCAGTCATTCCTTGTTGATGCTTGGAATAGGCCGCTTATTTCCCAAAACCCTAACAGACTCTTCTCCTGGAATTATACCTCTTGGATGGGTCTATTTGGCAAGGTAACGGGCAGTTTCATATGAAGACCATCACACCAGCCAACCATGAATACAGAGTTTGGAGGTGAGAGTGGAGGCGTCTGGAGGGAATTAGTGCTTGAGATGTTTATTAATTCTAACTTTAAGCATTCCTGTAACGTAATATCGTGTTCAGAATTAGTGGGTTCTTGGTCTCGCTGACTTCAAGAATGAAGCCACGGACCCTCACAGTGAGTGTTACAGTTCTTAAAGATGGTGTGTCCAAAGTTTTTTCCTTCAGATGTTCAGATGTGTCCAGAGTTTCTTCTTTCTGGTGGGTTCATGGTCTTGCTGACTTCAGGAGTGAAGCGCAGACCTTCAAGGTGAGTTTTACAGCTCTTAAAGGTGGCAGGTCCAGAGTTGTTCATTCCTCCCCATGGGGTCATGGTTTCCGTGGCTTAAGGAGTGAAGCTGCAGACCCTCGCAGTGAATGTTACAGCTCTTAAAGGTGGTGTGGACCCCAAGAGTGAGCAGCAGCAAGATTTATTGCCAAGAGCAAAAGAAGAAACACTCCACAGCACAGAAGCGGACCCCAGCGGGTTGCCGATGCTGGCTCCTGAGGCCTGCTTTTATTCCCTTATTTGGCCCCACCCACATCCTGCTGATTGAGCCATTTTACAGAGAGCTGTTTGGTCCATTTTACAGAGTGCTGATTGGTCCGTTTTACAGAGTGCTGATTGGTCTGTTTTTACAGAGCGCTGATTGGTGCATTTACAATCCTTTAGCTAGACAGAAAAGTTATCCAAGTCCCCACCCCACCCAGAAGCCCAGCCACCTTCACGTCTCAATATGATCATTCCTTTTTTTTTTTTTTTGAGATGGAGTTTCGCTCTTGTTGCCCAGGCTGGAGTGCAGTGGTGCGATCTCAGCTCACCACAACCTCCACCTCCCAGATTCAAGCAATTCTTCTGCCTCAGCCTCCCGAGTAGCTGGGACTACAGGCATGCGCCACCATGCCTGGCCAACTTTGCATTTTTAGTAGAGACGGGTTTTCTCCATGTTGGTCAGGCTGGTCTCGAACTCCCAAGCTCAGGTGATCCACCTGTATCGGCCTCCCAGAGTGCTGAGATTACAGGTGTGAGCCACCGCACCTGGCTAATCATGCCTATTTTTAACAGATGAGGAAAATTAGGACACAAGAAGGTAAAAGAAGTTGGCTAAAAGCCAACTCTTATAGGACAGAGTCATATGTTTAAGCAAGTGATTTTGAAAGTGTAGGAGGCAGGGTAAAGTGGAAGTTTGCATCGAGCTATTGTTCTCTAATGTGAGTGTGCATCAGAATCACGGGAAAGGCTCCTCACACAGGTTGCTGAGTCCCAGCCCCAGAGTTTCTGGTTCAGTGGGTCCACGATGGAGCCAAGTAATTTGCATTTCTAACAAATGCTAAGGTACAAAAAGCTCACTATAATAATAATAATAACAATAAGTGGTATTTCTCAAGCCCTTACTAAAGTGATACTGGCCTAATATGTGCCCAGATGATATTGCTTCTGGTCCAGGGACCACACTTTGAGAAGCACTGGCATAAAATATGCTGTGAGCCCAGAGGAGAGATAAATGACCAATGCTTCAGGGAGGCCAAAGGATGGCTTCATAGGGAAAGGGGCATCTAGGTTGGGCACTGAAGCTCATATAGGAGTTCTAATTCACTCTCCCATCTACATTTGTTGGTCATAGAGGAAAGGACTGAGCACATGCTGTGTTCAGACTTATAGGTACAAGTCAAGCTCAAATGTGGTGAATGTTCAGTGAGTTTGTATAATTTCGGGTGGCTCAGCAGAGCTTGTACTGACAGGGAGAAGGCCGGTAGGTAAGCCTGGGGCCAGATGGAAAGCCACACGAAAGAGTTCAAATTTCATCCTTTGGGTACCAGGCTTTTAATCAGAAGAGTAATGCAATTCTCTTTGCTTAATTGTGTTCTAATTGTTCATTCATTAACTATAAGAAGGTGTTAATCACTCACTACACCAAGGAATGCTAAGGTATAAAAGCTCACTATACAAATAATAACAACAACAAGAGGTGGTATTTCTCCAGCTTTCACTACAGTGATACTAGCCTTGCATGTATATGACTTATTCCCTACAGCAATCTTTTGCAGCAGATGCTACTGTTATCCCATTTTAGAGAAGAGGAAACTGAGGTGTAGGGAGGCAAGGACACAGTGCTTGAAAGTAGCTGAATGCCAGTTGGGCACGGTGGCTCACGCCTATAATCCCTGCACTTTGAGAGGCCAAGGAAGGAGGATCACTTGAGACCAGGAGTTCCAGACCAGCCTGGGAAACCTCTCTACAAAAAATAAATATTTACAAAATTAGCTGGGCCTGGTGGCTCATGCCTATGTACCAGCTACTCGGAAGGCTGAGGCAGGAAGATCGCTTGAGCCCAGGAGTTTGAGGCTGCAGTGAGCTATGATCATGCCACTGCATACACTTCAGCCTGGGCAGCAGAGTGAGATCCTGTCTCCAAAAATAAAATAAAATAAAATAAGGAAAGTAGCTTATAGGGATTTTGGTTTAAGTTTAAAGGGTCATTTTTGCATCTTAAACCTTGCTTTCCATTATGACATCCTTGAGTTCAAGGACTGTATCCTTACCTTCCCTTTCACCCAAACTTGTTGCCTCTAATATGAAGCCGTTCCTGCTGTGCTCGGTAAAAGTAGCCCAGGCTCTCCCAGCAATGCCCTTTCCCTTGCAGGTATCCTGACCTCTATACAAAGGCATGAGGCAAACAGGAGCTACTGCTTGTTATCGGAGGATCTGTGGTCTTCATAGTGCAGGAATGTCATCCCGGGGGGACTGTAGGATCTATCACTGTCAAACCCGAGGCCTTTTTTTTTTTTTTCTTATTCTTGCAAACTCAGGGCTTTTCAGATCTTTAGGGCTGATCAGAGATAGGGCACTACAATAGACGGCTTAAATCGCAGCAAGTGGGGAGAAGAGGCAAAGAGAGGTACCACGCATAAAATAAAGTACACTGACTCTTTTTGGGAAGATAACACATAACTCTTGGTACACGCAGCACAATAAAAGTCCTTGGAGAACAGAGAAGATCTTTGTCAGAAATTGTATCTCATTTAGCAACATTGTTTCACTGTGTTCCTTTCAGAATGAAAGTGATTCATCTTGCTTTTGTTTCGGGTCGCCTTTTATTTTTTCCCTTCCTGGGAAATTTCTTTTCCATTAGGAGGCAGGCACTTTTTCCTTTCACCTGTCTTCACAAACCAGGACTTTGATCTGCAACGTGTTTATGCTCAGCTCTCACAGTCCAATTTAACTCTCTCTCTCTCTCTCTCTCTCTATATATATATATATAATTTTTCATTTTGCCAAGTAGTGATTCACATAACACGGACCATATTGACGTGAAATGGGTTAAAAAATATTTTAATGATCCCTTTCCTTGGAAATGGTGTGTGTCTGTTTGTGCATCGCATTACAAATACCATCATCATTTATTCAGTCAGGAAGTATTTTTGCATTTTTTTCTAACTTCATGGCGCTGCCGAGGACATGAAGTATTTGCTAGGAGGCAGTCATTGCACTGGGAATATCTCTAAATGAAAGGCAACACAAAAAGTAGTTAATTCCGTTGCAGATGTTGAAGAGCAAAACGTCATGATACGAGACACCCCAAGGGCAACTTTAGAGGCTGTGTTCACCGCATCGAGAGAAGGAAGAAGAGGATTCATAATGAAAATTCATAATTCATTTTGACTTGTATCAGAAGCCTTTTTGACAAAAGACAGAGACTGAAGTAACACGAATATCTTCTTGGAGGCCCGTGTCTGCCAGGTATTAACCACTTTATTTCATTGTCTCTGTTCAGCTTCAAGCAGCCTTAGTAACGAGGTGCAGTGGCTCATACCAGTAATCCCAGCACTTTGAGCGGCTGAGTTGGGAGGACTGCTTGAGGCCAGCAGTTTGAGACCAGCCTGGGCAACATAGCAAGACCGCATCTCTACAAAAGATTAAAAAAAATAAATTAGCCAGGTGTGGTGGTGCACACTTGTAGTCCCAGCTACTCAGGAGGCTAAGGCAGGAGGATCCCTGGAGCCCAGGAGTTTCAGGATGCAGTAAGCCATGATTGCACCACTATACTTCAGCCTGTGTGACAGAGTGAGACCCTGCCTCAAAACAAAATAAAGCAAAAAAAAAAAAAGCAGCAGATTGATTAAACCTAAGTTTACAGCAATTGAGCACCTAGATTTATTTACAGCAATTGAGTGACTTTCAGAAAGCTCTATAGCTCAAGGACTGGTACGGTGGCTCACGCCTGTAATCCCAGCACTTTGGGAGGCCGAGTCAGGCAGATCACTTGAGGTCAGGAGTTGAAGACCAGTCTGACCAACATTGTGAAACCCCATCTCTACTAAAAATACAAAAGTTAGCTGGGCATTGTGGTGGTAATACCAGCTACTTGGGAGGCTGAGGCAGAAGAATCACTTGAACCCAGGAGGCGCAGGTTGCAGTGAGCAGAGATCACACCATTGCACTTCAGCCTGGGAGACAGAACAAGCCTCCATCTCAAATAAAAAAAAAAGAGTCCTTTCAGCATTGAATGGTTTTGGTTCTAAGTCATTTGACCACATATACAAGGGTTTATTTCTGGAATTGGTTCTATTCCATTGATCTGTTGGTCTGTCTTCATGCCCTATCAGTTCATTGTCAGCACCAGAAAGTTAGTTCCATGAGGGCAGGTGCCCTGCCTGGCTTTCCACAGCCCCACCCCTGACACAGAGGAGCTCACTGAATTTCCAGCAGCTGACGAGCTGTGATAGTTTCTAGCCTTCCCTTGCACAGCCCAGATGGACTTCCCTGCATGCCTCCAGCTTGTCCTGTGTTGGGCATATCACCTCCCCTGGGCAGTCTGTCATGCTCTTCTTCCTCAGACTTAAAAGGGTCCTGCCTTCCCTCTCTCCAAACTCATCTCAGTGTCTGCTGGATTAGTTTGACCTTGCCTAGCCCCGTCCTCATTCTGTTCATAAGTGGAGCTTGTGCATCCAGCATTTGCCATTTGCTCACCCTTCTTCCAGGCGTCCTTCTTGCACCTATGTTCCTGTCCTCCATAGACCTGTGTCCACCAGTCTCTCATGGACCCCCGCCTGCTTTCTGGGATTTCCTTGTTTCACTTGAGTCCTGGCATTTCAGGGGCATGTGGGGACAAAGGAAAGCTAAGCCTTGGGCTCTGTTCCAGCCTTGTTTAAGTCACATCAAAAGGCCATCCTGGTTTTTTTCTTGTTTTTGTTTCCAGTCTCATAAATAAGGCCTCCGTAATGGCAGGGAGGAAATCCAGAGGGCAGGAACACAGCATTACATCATCACATTACCTACAGGGATGCATTTTCAAGGCCAGCAAACTCAATTAGCTCGTTGGTAATAGCAGTTCCAGCACCAGGACGCACACAGCAGAGCTCATCGTGCTGAAGAAGGACACGGAAGACAGATGACAATGTGGTCCACCATGCAGACCCGCCAGCAAACTAGCCCAGAGAGACAGCTCCGTACCAAATGTGGTTTGCTTTCAATAATTTTGGGCTGCTATTTTTTATATATTTAAGTCTTGAGAAATAGAATGCTCTTTGTAAGCTTCATCCTCATTATTTGTTTCATCACCTGTCCCTGAGCAACCTTTCTTTTCTTCTGCAAATTTCCAGCTATTGTGCTGGACCCTTGTTGACTCCAATAGAGATGGCACCATGTCCCAGAAGCCAAAGAGGAGACCTGGAGCCAGTGAAGGTGACATAATATCAGTGGCAGGAGGCAGACAAATTCCTAGGCAGACAGGGCCAGGTCCCTGGTGAAATCCGACCTTCAAGCCAAAGACAGCCCAAAGCCTGAAAACCTAGCTACTACAGCCCAGGACTGGAGTGAGAACTTCCTCGATGGCTTTTTAGCCAATCAAATGATGCTTTTTCCAGGTCCACCCACAGACCAATCAGCACGCACTCGCCCATTCTGAGCCCATAAAAACCCCAGACTCAGCCACACACTGGAACTACCTGATTTGGGGAAGGGGCTGCTTACTTCGAGTTACTCTCTCATGTTGAGAGTTGTTATGTTGCACAGTAAAACTCTTCCCCACCTTGCTAACTCTCTGGTTGTCCATGTAACCTTATGTCATGGGACAAGAACCCAGAGCCTGCTTAACAGCAGCAGTGAAAAGGGTTGTAACATGTTCCTGCCTGGCTTACCAAGCTGTGGGTGGTGACATGCTCTCATTTGCTGGACTGTGAGGGAAGACCGGTAACCCTTCTGGGGGCCCAGGTCTTGGGACTCCCTGAGCCAGAGCTGTGACACGCTGTAACACCCACTTAGGCCTCTGTGGTTGCTGGTGTCTCTAAATTTTTGGGCACCAACATGTTCCCCTCATCCAGATGCCAGCACCCAAGGCAGAAACCGCTTGAGGCACATCTGGTCCAACCACAACCTTGTACAAAGCTCGTGCACGTGCTGGCACCTGGAGCTGCCCGCCCCGCCATAGCAGCTGGCACACTTGGCTGTGCCCCATGCTTGCTTGATCACACACCCCTCACCACTCTGTACCTGACTCACTCACAGTGGGTGTGGGATCTGGGTCGGTAGCGAGAGCCGAGCAGAGCCAGCCCAGCACAGCTTGCTGGGCTAAGTGGGCAGAGCCAGCCTGGTGGTCATGGGTGAAACTCGGGCATCTCTGCCAACCGCAGAGGTTTCCAGCTGGTGAAGCAGCATCCAAAGAATCCTGTGTCAATAGGGTTTATTGAGGACTTAAAAATGGGGCAGTCCAGGAGTGGCAGGCTGGACAGGAGACTCCCTGCTTTTTAAAAAAATGCACACAGGGGCCAGGTGCAGTGGCTCACGCCTGTAATCCCAACACTTTGGGAGGCCGAGGCAGGTGGATCACCTGAGGTCAGGAGTTCGAGACCAGCGTGACCAACATGGTGAAACCCTGTCTCTACTAAAAATACAAAATTAGCTGGGTATGGTGGTGCATGCCTGTAATCCCAGCTACTTGGGAGGCTAAGGCAAGAGAATTGCTTGAACCTAGGGAGTGGAGGTTGCGCCGAGCCAAGATCGCGCCATTGCACTCCAGCCTGGGTGACAAGAGTGAAACTCCATCTCAAAAAAAAAAAAAAAAAAAATGCATGCAGGTTGTAATACTTTGTCACTTAGCAACCTCCACCTAGCAACCTCCATGTATCCCAAAACAAAGGGCCTCGAACCCCTGTAGAGCCTGCATTTCAAGGGATGGTCCAGGGATTCTGATGTCCTTTACAGATAAGCAATGAATCTTCAGGTTGGCCACTTCTGGATTCCTTAGCTTGGAGCTTTTTTTTTTTCCTTTGAGATGAAATCTCACTTTGTCGCCAGGCTGGAGTGTAGTGGCACGATCTCGGCTCACTGCAAACTCTGCCTCCTGGGTTCAAGTGATTCTCCTGCTTTCAGCCTCTGAGTAGCTGGGACTACAGGTGCCCACCACCATGCTCAGCTAATTTTTGTATTTTTAGTAGAGACGGGGTTTCACCATGTTGGCCAGGATGGTCTCTATCTCTTGACCTTGTGATCTACCCGTCTCAGCCTCCCAAAGTGCTGGGATTACAGGCGTGAGCCACCGCGCCCAGCCAGAACTTTGAACACACATTTCCTTAGATGATAGTGTTATTTTCAGGGTGTGCTTAAGTTATTGCTCTCAAGTGTGTCTTCCATACACTAACATTGAGGCCTAGAGAGGTTAGAACGCTTACCTACATACATTTAGTAAGTGGCCTTATCTCAGTCACGGTTTAGTCATTGTTCAGTGTGTCAGATCATCAGCTGTGCTAATGTTTTGGGTAAGTTAGAGCAGGCATAAAATCCTCATCCAGAATCAGTGGGGAAGAAGGACAGTCAGGATTACTGAGAAGTCAAAATAACATACTATTTTAACCAGAGTGTCATGACAGCAGAGAATGTTTTGGGCTAACAGTTCTGAGAATTTAACTTGTCCAACCTTGTAATTTTATGGATGAGGAAACCAAGAGCCGTAGAAAGTTAAATTGTGTCTGCCAGGCAGCCATGGCTCATTAGCACACGTGCAGAATGACTATAAATAAGCCACAGTCCACTTACAGCTTTTCTAGCCACTCTTGCAGAGTCTCTTCAGAGCGTGCTTTATCACCCAGAGATGAGGCGGATTCCAAAGCAGCACACAGTGGGCCTTCAGGTGCTGTCAACTTTATGTTGATAGGTTATTTGCTTTTATCTGCAAACTAAGCAAGCCCTTCAGAATTTCAGTTAACTTTCTATTTTCAATAAGGAGTTCTTTGTTTATAGTGCTAAGAGAAGTGTTGGTTATGCTGGTAAACAGCAAAACTGTCGAATTAGAGGCATTCAAATACTTTTGCAGGAAGGTTATGTGAACCTGAAAATCTGAGACCGGTCTCAGTTAATTTAGAAAGTTTATTTTGCCAGGGTTGAGGGCACACACCTGTGACACAGCCTCAGGAGGTCCTGATGACATGTGCCCAAGGTGGTCGGGGCACAGCTTGGTTTACACATTTTAGGGAGACATGAGACATCAATCAATAAGTGTAAGGTGTACATTGGTTCAGTCCAGACAGGTGGGACAACTCTAGGCAAAGGCCAGGCAACTCGAAGTGGGGAGGGGGCTTTCGAGTCATAGGTCAATAAGAGAGAAATTGTTGGATTTTTTTGTTTCTGATTAGCCTTTCCAAAGGAGGCGATCAGATATACAGAGGGGTGACTTTGAATAGAATGGGAGACAGGTTTGCCTTAAGCAGTTCCCAGCTTGGCTTTTCCTTTTAGCTTTGTGATTTGGGGACCCCAAGATTTATTTTCATTACATCATACTTCTCTCAAAGCAACCTCTGTTTCCCAGGCCTCTTTAGCCCTAAGATGCATTTTTCATCTCCTGCCTTTTCTGGAAAAAGAAGACGAATCCTGTGTACAGAGGCCTTTATATCTTGGCTACCAACAATCCCTGCTTCTATGCAGAACACACTTAGAAAGCATGTGGATTCCGGCCTGTGTTCTAAAATGGCTCATTAATCATGCATTTCCTTAAGAAGGATTCTAAAGAGCTCCGATTTAGTGGGGAGCATTCCCCTTCTTCCCTCGGGCGGACTAGCAAGTGCAGAGTCTTGCAGTTCTTTCATCTATTTACAGCTCACAGAAGCCACCCCGAAGGGGATGATGGTGATGTGTGATTCCTAAGGAGAAATCACTCAAATTCATGAAGATTATCCCTGTGCCTTTATAACGTAGGTACATCGTTAAATGTGCTTTGTTGAAGCTATGCTAAAGTGTTGGACATTTCAGTGGATAAACAAAACAATAAAAACAGACAAGATGGTTTTCTAGTTATGGGACTCTTAAAACTCTACTTGAATTTAGCAGGGATTAGGTATATGTGTTTGTGTTGCTTCCTTTCTCCTCCCTCCCTTCCTCATTTTCTCTATCTTTATCTTTGTAACGAGGCCATGCGTGTTACTGGGAAATACAGTAAATTTGGAGACAGGCTTGGGTTCCCATCCAAGGTTCATCATCACTCATAATTGAGTGACCCCGTACACATTATGTGACTGTTCTGACTCTTAGCAATTGAAGGATAACAATAGAGAAAAAAATTGTGTAAGATTATGTATAAATGGATAAGATTATATATAAATTGTATAAGACTATATATAAATGGATAGATAGATGGATAGATGGATGGATGAATGGATAGATAGATAGACGGATGGATGGATGGATGGAAGGAAGGAAGGATGGATGGATGGATGGATGGATAAATGGATGAATAGATGGATGGATGGATGGATGGACGAATGGATAGCTAGCTAGATGGATAGTTGGTTGGATGAATGGATAAATGGATGGATGAGTGGATAGATGATAGACAGATATGTAGATGGATAAATTGATAGACAGATGGATGAACAGGTAGATGGATAGATAGATAGATGAATAGAGTCCACAGGACAGTGCATAAATAGATCATAGACTCTTTTCATTCTTTTTTTGTTTATTCTTTTTTAGTGATGAAGTCTCACTCTGTCACCCAAGCTGGAGTGCACTAATGTGATCGTAGCTCATTGCAGTCTGGAACTCTTGGGCTCAAGCAGGTATTTGTCATCATGCTTAGCAGATTTTTAAAAATATCTGTAGAGATAGGGTCTTACTATGCTGCCCAGGCTGGTCTCAATCTACTGGCCTCCAGCAATCCTCTCACCTTGGTCTCTCAAAGCGCTAGGATTACAGACATGAGCTACTATTCTTTATTCAATAAAAATGTGTTTCATTGAGCACGTTCTTTGGCCATCCCACTTGTAAATGCTAGGGATATAACACTGAATAAAAGCGACAAGCCCCTGCTGTTGTAGAACTGATATTCTAGTGAAGGAGCCAAACCTGAATTATAGTATATAGAATGCAACACCCGTCATAGAAAGAAACAAGTCAGGGAAGTAGGGCAAGAAGTGTGGCTGGGGAAGAGGTGTTTCAAATTTTAAATGGGTCATCAGGGAAGGACTTATGCAGAGGATGGCATTTGAATAGAGGCCTTGAGTGGTGCTGGAGGGTGCAGCAGATAATCCAGGGAAGAGGGATCCCTGGCAGGGGCCTACTGCAATACATAGTGATAATTTATATGTAAAGAGAAGCTGTTCTGCCTTCTTGTGAATGGGATGAAGTTACAAAGCAAGCGCAGTTCTTTATACCAATCCCTTTCCTACTTATCTTCCTCAGATGTTGGAGCACAGGGGAATGAGTTGACCAGTGACCCAGCTGCTGCTCTCAGAAATCTACCAATCGCCATGTTTCCATGGAGGCCAAGCTTTCCCGACTGCTCCCAGACAGTGATTGAGCATGGCAGGATTCTCAGGCAAGCCCACTCCTGGGAAATGCACCACTTCTATCATGGGCTCCCCATCAGCTTTGCAGAAACTTTTGCAGAACCTCGTGCGAAGTCTTGCCCTGCCCTGTGTTCCCATCTTTCCCTTCTCCCCTGGTGCTAGACTTGCGCTGTGGTCTGATGACTCTCCTGGACTCCGCTGGCTTCCTTCCCATTTTCCCTTGCAGGAGTTTTCTCTAATAAGTCTCTTACACTCTTATTAGAGTTTTCCCTAATAAATCCAGACTTAGCATCTGCTTGGAATACCAAGACTGACACAGGCACCATTGAGGAACTTTAGGTGCCCAGGTAACAGCCAGCACAAACTGTTGGACCTTTGAGTGAGGCCAGCTTGGACCTTCTTGTGCAATTGATAAATTACAGCCATGTGAGATATTGAAATCCTTGTGAACTATTGGTAGGAATGTAACATGCTACAGCCATTTTGAAGAACAATGTGGTGGTTCCTCGAAACATTAAAAATAAAATTGGCCTGGCATGGTGGCTCATGTCTGTAATCCCAGCACTTTGGGAGGCCGAGGTGGGCGGATCACCTGAGGTCAGGAGTTCAAGACCAGCCTGGCCAACATGGTGAAACCCCACCTCTACTAAAAAATACAAAAATTAGCCGGGCGTGGTGACGGGTGCCTGTAATCCCAGCTACTTGGGAGGCTGAGGCAGGAGAATTGCTTGAACCCAGGAGACGGAAGTTGCAGTGAGCCTAGATTGCACCACTGCACTCCAGCTTGGGCAAGAGAGAGAGACTCATCTTAAAAAAAAAACAATAGAATTACCATATGATGCAGCAATTCTACTTCTGGTTATATACCCAAAAGAACTGGAAGCAGGGACTCACAGAGATCCTTCTGCAGTCACGTTCATAGCAGAATTATTTACAATGGCCCAAGTGTCCATTGCACATGAATGAATAAGCAGAATGTGGTATATACATACAATGGAATATCATTCAGCTTTAAAAATAATGGAAATTCTGACACATGATACAACATGGATGAAACTTAAGGACATCATGCTAAGTGAAATAAGCCAATCCCAAAAAGGCAAATACTGTATAATTCCATTTATATGAGGTACTTAGAGTAGTCACAATCGTATAGACAGAGAGTTGATTGGCAGTTTCCAGGGACAGGGGAGACAGGAAAATGAGGAGTTACTGTTCAATGTATATAAAGTTTAATTTTTTTATTTTACTTTATTTTTTTTTTAGATGGAGTTTCGCTGTTGTTGTCCAGGCTGGAGCACAGTGGCACAATCTTGGCTCACTGCAACCTCCACCTTCCAGCTTCAAGCGATTCTCCTGCCTCAGCCTCCTGAGTGGCTGGGATTATAGGCATCCACCAACATTCCCAGCTAATTTTTGTGTTTTTAGTAGAGGCGGGATTTCACCATGTTGGCCAGGCTGGTCTCAAACTCCTGACCTCTTGATCTGCCCACCTCAGCCTCCCAAAGTGCTGGGATTACAGGCGTGAGCCACCATGCCGGGCCTAAAGTTTAAGTTTTTAAAATGAAAAGAATTATGGAAGTGGATAGTGATAAAGATTGTACATTATAAATGTATTTAATACTACCAAAATGTACACTGAAGAACTGGTGAGTTAGTCTGTTTTGCCATGCTGTAAAGGAATACCTGAGGCTGGGTAACTTATAGAGAAAAGAGGCTCACACCTGTAATCCCAGGGCTTCGGGAGACTGAAGCTGGTGGATTGCTTGAGTTCATGAGTTTGAGACCAGCCTGGGCAATATGGTGAAACCCTGTCTTTACAAAACATACGACAATTAGCCAGGTGTGGTGGTGCACACCTGTAGTCCCAGGTACTTGGGAGGCTGAGATGGGAGGATGGCTTGAGCCTGGGAGTTTGAGGCTGCAGTGAGCTATGATTCCATCACTGCAGCACTCCACCCTGGGTGATAGAGCCAGAACTTGTCTCAAAAAAAAAAAAGGCTGGGTGCAGTGGCTCACGCCTGTAATCCCAGCACTTTGGGAGACTGAGACGGGCAGATCACAAGGTCAGGAGATCGAGACCATCCTGGCTAACATGGTGAAACCCTGTCTCTACTAAAAATAC
This sequence comes from Homo sapiens, assembly GCF_000001405.40. Classification (NCBI taxonomy): domain Eukaryota; kingdom Metazoa; phylum Chordata; class Mammalia; order Primates; family Hominidae; genus Homo; species Homo sapiens. Next base: position 68,213,628 of record NC_000007.14, read on the forward strand.
AAAAAAATTATCCAGGCGTGGTGGCAGGTGCCTGTAGTCCCAGCTACTCAGGAGGCTGAGGCAGGAGAATGGTGTGAACCGGGAGGCGGAGCTTGCAGTGAGCCGAGATTGTGCCACTACACTCCAGCCTGGGTGACTGAGTGAGACTCTGTCTCAAAAAAAAAAAAAAAAAAAGAGGTTTATTTGTCTCATGGTTCTACAGGCTGTACCTGCATGCCACTAGCATCTGCTAGGCTTCTTGTGAGGCCTCGGGAAACTTACTTACGATAGAAGGTGAAAAGAGAACAGGCAGGAACATCACATGGGGAGAGAGAGAGCAAGAGAGGGAGAGAGAGGGAGCAAGAAAGAGAGAGAGAGAAGGAGCTCCTTGAAACAACCAGCTGTTGTGTGAACTAACAGAATGAGAACTCTCTCATCACCATGGGGAGGGCACCAAGCCATTCATGAGGGATCCGCCCCCATGACCCAAATACCTCCTGCCAGACCTCACCTCCAACATTGGGGATCACATTTCACCATGAGATTTGGAGGAGACACACATCCAAACCCTATCAGATGGTAAATTTTAAGTTGTGCATATTTTAGCACAATTTAAAAAAAGAAAAAAAATTATAGCCAGATGAAAGAGCCCAGGAAAGTCAGCAAAGTAAACTTGTACCCAATGCACAGAAGTGTAATTTTGTTTTTGTTTTTGAGATGGAGTCTCGCTGTGTGGTCAGGCTGGAGTGCAGTGGTGCGATCTGGGCTCACTGCAACCTCCGCCTCTCAGGTTCAAGCGATTCTCCTGCCTCAGCCTCCCAAGTAGCTGGGACTACAGGCATGCACCGCCCCCAAGCCCAGCTAATTTTTGTATTTTTAGTAGAGACGGGGTTTCACCATGTTGGCCAGGATGGTCTTGATCTCTTGACCTCATATTCTGCCTTCCTCAGCCTCCCAAAGTGCTGGGATTACAGGCGTGAGCCACCGAACCCGGCTGTATAATTGTTTTAAGGCACTTATGTTTGGGGTGCCTTGTTAGGTAGCAAAGGCTAGGGACACAATACCAGGGGAAGACTTAGAGGAACCAGGAACAGAGGAATAAACTAGCAGCTGAGGCAGGAGAATCCTTGAACCCAGGAGGCAGAAGTTGTAGTGAGTTGAGAGTGCACCACTGCACTGCAGTCTGGGAGACAGAGGGAGACTCAGTCAAAAAAAAAAAAAAAAGAGAGAGAGCTCTCAGTTCTGCAGGCTGGCTCAGGTGTGAAGAGAAGATATGACCAACCCAGCACGTGCTGAGGAGCCCTGCCTGGGTCCTTAGCTGAGCAACCATTCCCAGACCAAACTGTCTTTCCACAACCTACTCCTGTTGACCTGATTGTTTAGTAGAGTGTCATACTATGCCTGTGTTCACACTTTGATTTAGGCCTCAGTAAGTCCCACATTGGATTCTGTTCCTGCCTCTAACTGGGCTCTTTAATGTCCACCCATTCCTGTCTTACCAATGTATATTCAGACTTGGGCTTTTTAACTAAATATTTGGCTGGGCACAGTGGCTCACACCTGTAATCCCAACATTTTGGGAGGCCGAGGCAGGAGGATTGCTTGAGGCCAGGAGTTTGAGACCAGCTGGGGCAACATAGTAAGATCCCGAGGTCTACAAAAAATAAAAATACTAGCTGAATGTTGCGGTGCATGCCTGTATTCCCAGCTACTTGGGAGGCTGAGGCTGGAGGATGATTTGAGCCCAGGAATTCCAGGCTGCATTGAGCCAGCAGTGAGCCATGCAGCCTGAAACTTCTGAGCTCAAGCCATCCTCCAGCCTCAGCCTCCCAAGTAGCACTTGTACCACTGTCCACCAGCCTGGGAAACAGAGCGAGACCCAGTCTCAAAAAATAAAATAAAATAGAATGAAAATATTAAATATTCACCTGCATGCCCCATCTTTTGCTGTTTCCTGCTGATCTCCTAAATCTGACCTGGCTCGCCACCTCCTTGTTCTGGTCCTTGGTTTTACCTTCTTACTCCAACCCATCAAGTGCCTTGGCAAACTCTGCATCAAGAAATTGGCATCACAGCTGAACCTTGGGGCTGGAACCCAGCCTTGGTTGTCTTTCATCATTTCCTTCTCAACATTGCACTCCCTTCTGCCACTGGAAGGCTGTCTTCTTCATTTATTTATTTATTTTTTTTTGAGATGAAATTTTTGCTCTGTTGCCCAGGCTGGAGTGCAATGGCACGATCTCAACTCACTGCAACCTCTGCTTCCTGGGTTCAAGCAATTCTCCTGCCTCAACCTCCTGAGTAGCTGGGATTACAGGCGCCTGACACCAAACCCAGCTAATTGTTTTGTATTTTTAGTAGAGATGAGTTTTCATCATGTTGGCCAGACTGGTCTCGAACTCTTGACCTCAGGTGATCCACCCGCCTCAGCCTCTCACAGTGCTAGGATTACCAATGTGAGCCACCTCGCCCGGCCCTGAAGGCTGTCTTCTAATGCGTTCCTGAATCCCTCACTGTCCCTGTGTTCTCATGGCTAACCTGCTTTCCAGCACATCAAGATGTCACTTACTGAGAATTTCAACTTCTGCCAGCCAGAAGTTGAAGGCAGCCAGTGGCAGGCAGTCTGATGCAGGCAGCTCTCTCCACCTGACCCCACAGAAGGGCTGCATTTCCAAAGTCAGCGGCTACTTCCTCCAAAGGATTACTCAGGACTTTCCTGGCAAGGGGGATGATTATGCCTGCCACAAAACTTATTAACTTGTCAATCCTTGGCAGAGGGGTTGCGCCTGAAAACTGTTTTCAAGTAGCAAGAATGCACTTGATTCATGGAGAGAGGCATTTTTTATTTGAGAAAAAAAAAAGTAAATCCCTTTTCTGCACTCCGATAAATTAAAAAATCCATACTATTAAATAGCACTAGGAAAAACTAGCTCTTAGAGGACTCATGAATACTTTCAAATTATGGTGAAACAAAGACACACAGAAGGCAATGTCACAAATATAAGATACTCTTTTTTTTGAAACAGGGTCCTGCTCTGTCATTCAGGTTGGAGTGCAGTGGTATGATGATAGCTCAAAGCAGCCTCTAACCCCTGAGCTCAAATAATCGTCCTGCCTTAGCCTCCTGAATAGCTGGGATTAGAGGTGAGCACCACCATGCCTGGCTAATTTTTGAATTTTTTTCTAGCAATGGGATTTCACCATGTTGTCTAGGCTGGTCTCGAACTCCTGACCTCAAGAGATCTGCCCACCCTGGCCTCCCACAGTGCTGGGATTACAGGCGGGAGCCACTTGCCCAGCCCATATCACTTTTTGATCCTAAAAATCCCTTTATGTGTCTTTGGGATATTTAAGGAGATAGGTATTAAAGAGATTTAGTGGGCCAGGCACTGTAATCCCAGCACTTTTGGAGGCCGAGGTGGACAGATCACCAGGTCAGGAGATCGAGACCAGCCTGGTTAACATGGTGAAATCCTGTTTCTACCAAAAATACAAAAAATTAGCCAGGTGTGGTGATGGACACCTGTAATTCCAGCTATTTGGGAGGCTAAGGCAGGACAGTTGCTTAAATCTGGGAAGCGGAGGTTGCAGCGAGCTGAGATGGCGCCATTGTACTCCAGCCTGGGCAACAAGAGCAAAAGTCTATCTCAAAAATAAATAAATAAATAGTAGAAGTTTCCAGGTGTGCATTTCAGGGTGACAGGAAGCTTTACTCCATGTAGTAGCTCAGGAATTCAAGCTGATGGCTTCAAAAGTTACTGAGTGTCACCTTTTCTGACAATGTGAAGATGGAAAGAGTGGAAGTTTAAACCTCCAAATTTCCTTTTCAGTAAATGAGGCAGAAATTGCACATATTACTTCCTTTCCAGTTCCACCAGCAGTATAGTTATACGGCCACCCTAATCAAACAGGGCTGGAAAATGTAGTCTCAAGTTGGACTCAGGTCTACTACAACAATAGCAATAGATGTGTAAAACTGATTACAATTGCAGCTTGCATCTCTACCACACCATGACTGGCATAGACAAATTGTGATTCATACCCCATCGTGGATGAGGGACATTCCTTCTTGAGATCAAAGGATGAGATACTACTACCTGCACTCAGCATGGAGATTTCATTAGGAGAAAAAGTGAGAATTGGCTATAGGTGAGGTAATAAATAGTGTCTAGTGTATACTTTTCATATAAATAACTGACAGTTGGGAAAAAGTAAATTAAGGCATTATATCTCTGCTTTGGTTTTATTACACTGTGTCTGACATGTTTAATTCTACATGAGTCTTCAGGACCAGACTCTGTCCTCTGAGGACAAGGATTTTGTTGGTGACATCCCTTTGCCCCCAACCTCTCCCTGTGGCTCTATGCTTGAAACACTGGAGGTGTTCCATGTTTGCTAATGACCAGAATGTACAAGGTTCAGGTTTCCTGACTGTTATGCATGTGCATGTGAAGAGACCACCAAACAAAAAAGAACTGGAATTGGAAGGACAAGGAGATTGAAGGGTAGTGAGAGAGGGTGGAGAAGAGAGTGAAAAGACTGCTTCCCTGATTTGAAATTGGTGAGATGTTCCTTGGACTGGTCTGAGGACCCGAGGTCGTAGGTGGATCTCCTCACGGAGTGAGGACGAGGACAGGGAACCAGTCTCCTGAAGGAGTCCTCCTGTCCCGGGTTTTGGCACCAAATGTCACGTGCGTCCATGTGAAGAGACCACCAAACAGGCTTTGTGTGAACAATAAAGCTTTTTAATCACCTGGGTGCAGGTGGGCTGAGTCCGAAAAAGGAGTCAGCAAAGGGAGATAGGGGTGGGGCAGCTTTATAGGATTTGGGTAGGTAAAGGAAAATTACAGTCAAAGGGGGTTGTTCTCTGGTGGGCAGGGGTGGGGGTCATAAGGTGCTCAGTGAGGGAGGTTCTGAGACTCATTGTCCAGGAGAAGGAATTTCACAAGGTTAATTGATCAGTCAAGGTGGGGCAGGAACAAATCACAATGGTGGAATGTTATCAGTTAAGGCAGGAACCAGCCATTTTCAATTCTTTTGTGGTTCTTCAGTTGCCTTAGGCCATCTGGATGCAGGCTTGGGCTCGGAGGCCTGACAATGGCCATAGCCCTGGGCTGTGTATCTACCCACACCAAGGAAAACAAGGAGTTGGAAATCAGGGTGGTTCATGGTTTTAACCATTGAGCCAACTTATACCAATGGTTGAGGACAGAAATGGAGTGATAGTAAAGTGAGCACATGTGGTTATAGTAATTGCAACATTGGGTTGGTATCATCCTTGACCTCTGTGTGTTGGGTTGGTTCTATGTCTATGTATTGAAATTTTCTCTGCTTCCCCCTGTCCTGTGGTGTATACACTTGGTACATTGCTTTGTATAACTCAGTCTTGTTGCCAAAATAACCAGCTGTGTGCATATCCCTTCTCTTTCCTTGAGAATTTAGGATCCTCAAAATCAAGGGACATTTATTAATCTTATTTTTTTCCAGCATCTTTTATAATGCCTAGGAGGAAGGGTTTTTTTTTTTTAATGTTGAGAAAACTGAATGAAAAAATAGTTTGCTTATGCTGACATAATACATCTTTCAAAACCCCTGACATGATTGGCCAATTATATAAATATTACTCACCACGACTTTAGGACAATAAGCAACACTATTGAATTTATAGATTAAACACATATTTATTGAGCATGTATTATGTGCAATAAAGTCGTCTACTACACAGCAGGGAGTAGTTCAAATGCAAAGTGGCTCCATGCAGCGAAGGCATTATCTAACACTCCTAACTACAGGAATATGGGCCCTTTTTCTATTTAAAGTTGAATTTAGGGATTAGTTAGATGTTATGGGGATTTCTACCAATAGTGAACTTTCTATAATTAGCCTTATCCAAGTAGATGGTGAATGATCACCAGAACAGAATATTACTCAAGGGAGGTAAAGCTCCATTTCTGAAAAAGCCCTTCCAAAACAAAGTTTCCATAATTATAAGGGGCAAAGGGTGATGCTTTGGCTACATTCTATAGGAACTAAACTTACACCACCTTGTTCAACCATTGGTAAGGACTTTGACCATTCACTAATGAGCTGAAATATCAGGATAATTTTTTTTCTTTTTTTTGAGACAGAGTCTCACTCTGTCGCCCAGGCTGGAGTGCAGTGGCATGAACTTGGCTCACTGCAACCTTCCCCTCCTGGGTTCAAGTAATTCTTGTGACTCAGCCTCCTAAGTAGCTGGGATTAGAGGCATGTGCCACCATGTCCAGCTAATTTTTGTGTTTTTTGGTAGAGATGGGTTTCACCTCATTGGCCAGGCTGGTCTCGAACTCCTGACCTCAAGTGATCCACCCACCTTGGCCTCCCAAAGTGCTGGGATTACTGACATGAGCCACTGTACCTGGCCAATGCCAGGAGAATTTGATAGTGATAATACGGTGTTTAGGGGCTAAGAATGGTCTAATTTTGTCCAATGCCCTAATTACTCATCATGGTGATATAGGAGTTAAGAAGAAATTACTTAGGCAGATAGTGAGGGTATGGGTGTCTTCGGTAATGTTTTCCTTTTTAATGAAAAGCAGCATGAAAATCATTTTCTACCAAAGAGCAGCCTGTAAAGAACTGCAGACAGAGACAAGCAAGCTGGAAGCTTGCACGGGTGAATGACGGTAGGAAAAAGGTACCTGGGACTAGACATGTTCAAAATAACCATCTTCCCTTCCCCTTGCCAGCCATGTGTGCAGTAAGGAGCAGACAAGACGGCACCTGTCAAGGGGACAGTCCATTTGCATGGTAAGATTAGGGTGGGATGGCCAGACTTCCTAGAGACTATGTGTACCTAACACCTGATCAGACCAATCCGTGAGCCCTGTGTAAATCAGACACTGCCTCCTCGAGCCTGCCTATAAATCTGGTGCACTCCACTGGTTTTTTTCCTTTTCAGAAGCCCCTCTCTCTCACTAGAGAGAGAGCTTTTCTCCTTCCTCTTTCCTCTGCCTATTAACCTTCTGCTCCTAAACTCCTTGCATGTGTCCATGTCCTAAAGTTCTTGGCACAAGACGACGAACCCCAGGTATTTGCTCCAGACAATGATGCCATGTCAATGGTGAGTTTCAGAAGGAAATGTCCTCACTTTAGGGGCAAAGCCAAGAGAAAAGAAGAAGAAAAAAAAAACCAACATGACTAAGGATAGCTGGGCCTGGATCCTAGACCCCAATTCAGAGCTCAGGTAAGCTCTACTGGACCACATGTTAAAACATTTATCCTAAATTCTTAGGTATTAGCTTTTTCACATACAGTCCAGTTTCTTATACCTGCCAGTCCCAGTGGAGAATCAGTCAGGACATATTCATTAAGATTGTCAGTGCTGGCTGGGCACAGTGGCTCACAACTGTAATCCCAGCACTTTGGGAGGCCGAGGTGGGTGGACTACCTGAGGTCAGGAGTTCTAGACCACCTTGGCCAACGTAGTGAAACCCTGTATCTACTAAAAATACAGAAATTAGCCGGGCGTGGAGGTGGATGCCTGTAATCCCAGCTACTCGGGAGGCTGAAGCAGAATTGCTTGAACCCAGGGAGCGGAGGTTGCAGTGAGCTGAGATTGCGCCATTGCACTCCAGCCTGGCTACAGAGTGAGACCATATCTGAAAAAATTTTTAAAATTAGCCAGGTGTGGTGGCATACACTTGTAGTCCTCCTAACTACGCAAGAGAGTGAGGCAGGAGGATTGCCTGAGCTCAGGAGTTCGAAGTTTCGGTGAGCTATGATTGTAGCACTGTACTCAGCCTGAGTGACACAGAAAGAGCTCATCTCTAAAAAATTTCAAATATTCGCTGGGCATGATGACATGTGCTTGTAGGCCCAACTACTTGGGAGCTGGCTTGAGCCAGAAGTTTGAGGCTGCAGTGAGCTATGATCATGCCACTGCTTTCCAGCCTGGGCCATAGAGCAAGACCCAGTCTCACAGAAATTAATAAATAATAATAAATAAATAAAGGGCTGGGGGTTGAAGGGAGGGCTCTCTCTTGTTCCTCTTCTCTTCTGCTATATCTCTTCCATCCAGAGGGTATAGCAATAAGGCATCATCTTGGAAACAGAGAGTAGCCTTCACCAGACACCAAGCCTCCTGCTGGCACCTTGATCTTGGACTTCCCAGCCTCCAGAACCAGGATACATCAATCTCTATTCTTTATACATCACCCAGTCTGTGGTATTTTGCTATAGCAGCACAAACGAACCAAGACACTATTGACACATGGAAGAAAAATGGGTCCCAGAGGCCCCCCTCCCCCGATCTGGCTTTCACCTGTACCCTTTGTCATGGAAGCAAGAGAGGTGGATGTCGCTTTCTAGTCTTCAGGTTTCCAGAGCATAGACAGAAGAGTGTTGATAAAGGGGGGTGTCACAGAAAGTCAAATAACTTCTGGAAGGTCTCCACTAGGATATTATGTTGTAAATGACTTTAATAAGGAGATTTTCAGGCTGGGTGCAGTGGCTCATGCCTGTAATCCCAGCACTTTGGTAGGCCAAGGTGGGAGGATCACCTGAGGTCAGGAGTTTGAGACCAGCCTGGCCAACATGGTGAAACCACATCTCTACTGAAAATACAAAAATTAGCCAGGCGTGGTGGTACATGTCTGTAATTCCAGCTACTTGGGAGGCTGAAGCAGGAGAATCACTTGAACGTGGGAGGTGGAGGTTACAGTGAGCTGAGATGTGCCACTGCACTTCAGCCTGGGCAACAGATTAAGACTCTGTCTCAAAAAAATAAAAATAATAAGGAGACTTTTAGAGGCTGCAACCTAGAAACTCAGCCTCGGGTTGGCAACAGGCAGACACTTAATCAAGTTGGAAAATGCATTCTAATGCAAAAGGAGAAGAATTGGCAGACAGCTGGCAGGGATGCTGTACCCTGGCTGGGCTCTGGAAGGCCCTGCTGGGCAACTTTAACAGGTTGCAGCTGAGAAACAAGAGATGGGTCACATAAAGTAACTTTCAGTGGTCTTCAGCAAATGTGGCTGGCCAATGGCTTACAATGCAACTCCCTGAGATTCTTTCCCCTACTCTGGATGTGGAAGGGTATAGAGGGGTATGAAATAGTGTCCCTCTAGGTTGAGCTCATGGGCCAAGTGTGATGAGATGGAATGTAGTAGATATAAATGCAAACTTCCTCCCTTTAGTTCTAAAAACAATTGCATGAAAATCAAACAGGGAACTTGGCTTTGACTTATTGGTTTTGACTGGCTCAACAAAGGTTTTTTATTCTGATGCTTAGTTGTGTAGAGATCTGCCTTATTGTGCATGGGCTGGACAAGTTCAGATTTAAATGCTATATTTAAGAGGAGCAACACAGGCAACCTATATATTGTTTAGAGGACATTAATAAATGGTATAGGAAATTGAATTAGCAAGTGCCTAGTTTATTTAATCTTTAATATTCCAGGATCTCAAGTTTGTGAAAATATAGCTGAAAAGGATGTGGTCCCTGGCATAGTGGCTCATATCTGTAATCACAGTGTTTTGCAGGGCTAAGGTGGGAAGATCACTTGAGCCCCTGGGTTCAAGACCAGCCTGGGCAACATAGCAAGACCTCATCGCTACGAAAATTTTTAAAAAATTAGCTAGGCCTGATGGTGTATACCTGTATCCCAGCTAGTCAGGAGGCTGAAGCAGGAGGATCACTTGACCCCAGGAGTTGGGGGCTGCAGTTAGTTATGATCATGCCCCTGCACCCCAGCCTGGGCAATAGAGCAAGACCCTGTCTCTAAAAAATAAATAAATAAAATAAAATAAAAAATAAGGGGGCTTGGGGTTGTTGAATTCCCACCATATCCTAAGCACTATGGTATATAATGCTGTGGCTATGTTCTCCAGTTTGATCATTCTGGTCATTGTTCCCATTTCACAGATGAGGAAACCAGGGCTTTGAGAGGCTAGGCAGTTTTCCTACTCACCCAGCCAATCAACAGCATACCTTCTTTCTGCCCAATTCAATTCCACAACATCAAGCATGTCACATTCTGTGACTGTAAGATTCTTTGCTTCAGTGATCCTATGAATGATTCTTTGTATTTTTTGTTGTTGTTGTTTGTTTTTGTTTTTTTTGGGACACAGTCTTGCTCTGTAACCCAGGCTGGAGTGCAGTGGCGCTATCTCGTTTCAATACAACCTTTGCCTCCCAGGTTCAAATGCTTCTCCTGCCTCAGCCTCCCAAGTAGCCGGGATTACAGGCAAGTGCCACCACATCCAGCTAATTTTTGTATTTTTTGGTAGAGGTGAGGCTTCGTCATGTTGGCCAGGGTGGTCTCAAACTCCTGACTTCAGGTGATCTGCCCACCTTGGCCTCCAAAAGTGCTGAGATTGCAGGCACGAGCCACCGAGCCCGGCCCCTATGAATGATTCTAACATTGCAGTGTTCAGAGACTGCACAGAATGGCTGTGCAGGAATAGAAAGGTTACAAAGGGGCACGGGGAGCACGAGGTGGAAGAAGGAACAGAGAAATTACAGAAGTGGTCATTCATTAGGTCCCCTGCCCCGCAAACAAAACATTCTTGTTTATTTCTCTGCATTTCTGCCAGGCAGCCATGTGACCTGAGAAGAGCTCCCTTGTGAGACAGGATTTTTCTCATTTCCTGGCTCCTAATCTAATAGAAATGTCTAAACTAATTGGCTGGCTCTGCCTGAAGAGGGGGGAGTGGGGAGAAAAGGTAGAATCAATCACTCCATTTGAAACTGCATCTGCTGAAAAGATGTCACGAAGAGGCAGGGAGGACCAGAATTCTGTTTACCCAAGCACTTCTCCTAGCAACCGCTGGCCCATTTCTTGTTTCTTGGCTGCAACCTGTTAAAGGTGCCCAGCAGAGCCTTCCAGAGCCTGGCCAGGGCACAGCGTCCCTGCCAGCTGTCCGCCGATTCTTCTCCTTTTACATTAGAACGCGTTTTACAACTTGATTAAGTGCCTGCCTGTTGCCAACCCTAGGCTGAGTTTCTAGGTTGCAGCCTCTGAAAGTCTCCTTATTAAAGGCATTTACAAAATAATATCCTAGTGGAGAGCTGCCAAGAGTTATTTGAAACTCCAGTTATTCCCATGGGATAGTCAATGTGAGTTTTCCCCAGTTAGAATTCATTTGGCTGGAAGACAGAGTCTTTGATACACACTTGTAAAAGTAACTTAATATTTGTGGGGTTTTCTTTTTTACTTTTTATTAAATCTTTTTTTATTTGTACAGATTTATGGGGTTCAAGCGTGATTTTGTTACATGCATAGATTGCATAGTAAGGTTAGAGTTTTTGGGTATCCATCACTCAAATAACATACATTGTATCGATTAAGTAATTTCCCGTTATCTGCCCTCCCTCTCACCCTCTCACTCTTCGCAGTCTCCATTTTCTATCATTCTACACTCTACATCCATGTTTAAATATTTATAATTAAAGGAACTGCAATTGTGATTCAGCTCCGACGTGGGTGGCAGAGACCTTACCTGTGTCCTAGCTACAAACGAAAGCTGCAGAATCTAACAGTTCTTGGTCATTTGTAGTGCCAGATCTCAGGAGGCAGATGAGTTCTGCAATAAGCTCACACTTCCTTGGATGTTTAAGATCATTGCACAGGCTGAGCATGGTGGCTCACACCTGTAATCCCAACACTTTGAGAGGTTGAGGTGGTTGGAACACTTGAGGTCAGGAGTTCGAAATCAGCCTGGCCGGTATGGTGAAACCCTGTCTCTATTAAAAATACAAAAATTAGCCAGGTGTGGTTGTGCACGCCTGTAGTCCCAGCTACTCAGGGGACTGAGGCACGAGAATCACTTGAACCAAGGAGATGGTGGTTGCAGTCTTGCCACTGCACTCTGGCCTGGGCGACAAGAGCGAGACTCCATCTCAAAAAAAAAAAAAAAAAAAAGATCTTGTTGCTCAGAGTTTGGCAGAGATCACAAAGGCCAAGACAAGCATGAAATGTGTCAAGGACACGAACATCCTTCATTAAGGTCCTAGACCTTGTTCAGGACATGCTAAGAGATGCCAAACCGCTTCAGCTAGCATTGGTCTTGTGACAGGCTGCTTATATAGGAATGGATTAAGAAGGGTATGGAGGATTTCTCTGGAGAGACTTGTTAGTATGCCATATCTCCACTCAGGGCCTCAGGAGGCCTCAGGGCAAGAGAGTGGGCTAGAAGAAAGCCATCTGGGGGTATTCTGTGTGGCTCTGGGGTTGGAACATCATAGGGAACTAGGCATCTGACTCACTTGTGACTGAGCTGCAGAAAGGGGCTTGTACTCTCACACCTGGCCATCACACAGAGAAAGAACTGTACCAGAATGGCCTGTAGGTCTAGAGTGGGCAGGGCAAACTCTAGTGAGATCTCTACGTGCCAGATATGGACCTGCTAAAGGGGCTCCTCCGTAAGGGTCAAGATAACTCCAACAGAGGGTGAACTTCAGGACAGGAGCTGAGCAGAACACTAAAAGCCGTGAGGGGAAGAGGCATTGCCCACTTCAAGGGAAGCTCAGGTGCAGGATTCCTGATGACCGAGAGGGGATGCCCAAAGAACCCTCAAGAGACCCCCATAAGGAAGAGAATTAACACACACCCAGCAGTTCCAATGGTAAATCCAATGGCATCAGTCAAGTGTACCTTTCCTCTCCTCCTTCATCCTTTCCAACTCACAGAGACCCAAAGTACAGTCAGAGAGTGACAGAGGGAAGGAGAAACAGGGAAGGAGGCCACCATCATCTACTGCCCACTCCCACTCCCCACTGCAGGTTTCCCAGCCACAAAAAGGCTGAGCTAGAGACTGAAAGGGGGACATTTTTTTACTCAAGAATGACCTTAAAAGCTGAAGGAACCTAACTGAAATTTCATGTAGCATTAGTGGAGATGAAAAAACCAGGGAAGTGGTCAAAAGTTAAAGTACAGTGACAGATAGAATCGTGTTACATCCAAGTCTACATCCAAGTCCAGTTTAATTATTAAATCTGTTGGTAGAGTCTTCCTAAAAGACAGAAGACTCCAGAACCAAAACAACAACAAAATAAAAATATGTGCATTATCAATCAAAAACTACAGTAATCATATGATTGGGACATATAATATACATTTTTTCGGGGAGGTTGTTTTTTGTTTTTTTGTTTGTTTGTTTTGAGATGGAGTTTCGCTCTCATTGCCCAGGCTGGAGTGCAATGGTGCAATCTTGGCTCATTGCAACCCCCGCCTCCCGGATTCAAGCGATTCTCCTGCCTCAGCCTCCCGAGTAGGTGTGATTACAGGCATCTTCCATCTCACTCGGCTAATTTTTTGTATTTTTAGTAGAGACTGGGTTTCACCATGTTGGCCAGGCTGGTTTCAAACTCCTGACCTCAGGTCATCATCCACCTTGGCCCCCCAAAGTGTCGGGATTACAGGCTTGAGCCACCGCACCTGGCCTGAGTTTTTATATGAGAAAAACTGTTAGCACAAGATCATGCCTCCTTCCTGCTAACTAAAAACATTCTCATGAGTCATTGAAGGGATAAAATATTCTAACACTTAGGCCATCTTAGTCTCAATCTCACAATGTCCCTGTTTTACTCTTATAATGCTATATACCGCTGGAAATGTTCTGTTCAGAGTGTTACATTCAATACCCTGTCACTGATTTCTTTAAGAAACAGAATATGGTTTTATAGCTTATGAAAGCATTGGTGTGCAGAAAAACATACTGTAGCCACATATTTTCTTTCTCATACCCTCACATTTCTGGAGAAACATAATCTACCCATTTAATAAGAAATGCAGAATTCTGCATTTAGTTGAAAGAAGCCCCTTTTTCATAAGAGATTTTATAATTCCTGAGTCTCGTGTGCAAATGGCAGAGAGTTACTCCCACAGCTCCCCTGCCAAACCCTCTCTTGCAGTAGATGAGATGTATCATTCCTTTTCTTATCTTGCATACAGAGTTGGCCACTGACAACTTATAATAGCTCCAGCTGACATGGGTTTCTCACATCTGGCCAGACACTCATTCCTCTTTTCCTTTTTATATGTAGTGGTCTTAAGACATGTGTTTAAATTTTTTGACATTTCTACCCATCAAGTCTAGTTCTCCTTCCCTAGAACATGAGCTGGTCTTAAGGATTCACTTCTCAAAAATAGAAAATGGCAGAAGCAATATTGCGTGGCATTCAGAACTAGATCAAAAAAGACAATACAGCATCAGCTTGGAATAATTTGGAACTCTTGCTGTTGGAACCCAGCCACCAGGCTGGGTCCCAGGCCACACAGAACAAACTCATGTCAGTGATCTGGCCAACAGCATGGCTCAGACCCCAACTCACAACTAGCATCACCCATCAGACAGGTGAGTAAGGAAGCCTCAGCTATGGTTTGACTACAACTCCATGAGAGACTACAACTGCCCAGCTGAGCCCAGCAACATGAGAGATTATAATACATAATCACTGCTGTTTTATCCCACAAAGTGTATGGTGGTTTGTGACACAGCTGTAGGAAATCATCACACTATCAAGATGCGATTCTTTAAGCATGTAAAGAAGTAATACCCACAAATTCCATATCTGGCAAAACTATCCTTCTGCAAGGAAAGAGAAATAACATTCTCATAGTAAAGAAAACTCTTTAAAAAGTCCCTGGCTTAAAGAACTGGCTAAAAGAAGTTCTTCATAGAAAAGAAAATGATAAAAGAATAAATCTTGGAGCATCAGGATGGAAAAAAGAACAATGGAAAGAGCAAATCTGGGTACATACAATAGACCATTGTTTTCCTCATGTGCTTTATAAATCATATTTGATGATTGCAACAAAAATTATGAAACTATCTGATACTCAGGACTGACACGTGAAAAGGCAGAGAAGGCAAAGAGACCCCACTGGAAGTAAGACTTTCATGCTTCACTCAAAGTACTGGAAATTCTGGTACTCTTAGACCATGATAAGTCACATTATGTATATTTTAATTTCCACAGCAACCACTAAAAACATTATACAAAGAAATACAGTCAAAAACATTATAAATTAACTGAGATGGAATATTTAAAAAATATTGACAGGATCTTCAGGAAGGTGAGACAAGAAAAACAGAGAGAACAAATCAGGAAAAAAGGTATATTTAAGCACTAATAAATCAATAATTACTTTCACTGAACGTGGCCTTAAAACATCATCAACAAAATTTAGACCTTGGTAGGGTAGATAAAAACATTGTGACACAACTATATGGTGTTTACAAGAAACTGACATCAAATCCAGATAGGAGGTCAAAAGTGAAAGGATAGAAAATATATACCAAGAATACTATAATAAAAGAAAATCAAGGGTGGCTATAATAATATCTGTTAAAGTAGACTCTTGGGAAAGGAAATTACTACAAAGAGAGACATATCATTATTATATATGATAAACAGATCAGTTCTCCAGGAAGACCTGGATGTGTATGGACCAAAGAATAGAGTGTCAAGATCCCTGAAGCAAAAATCAATAGAGCTGAGAGGAGAACTAGACAAATCCACAATTAGAGTTTAAGAATTTAACACTTCTCTCCCAACCACTAATAAAACCACTAGGTAGAAACTGGCAAAGATATAGAAGATTGGAATCATGCAATCAACCAACAGGTTCTAATTGACATATGTAGAACGCAGCAAAAAGCAAAAAAATAATAAGCTATGTTTTTCCCCAGTGCTCATGGAACATATTCTAAGATAGGCCATATCCTGGACCACAAAGTACACTTCAGCAAATTTTTAAAAACTGAAATTATAGCCGGGCACAGTGGCTCACACCTGTAATCCCAGCACTTTGGGAGGCTGAGGTGAGCAGATCACGGGGTCAGGAGTTTCAGACCAGCCTGGCCAACATGGTGAAATCCTGTCTCTACTAAAATTACAAAAATTAACCAGGTGTGATGGCGTATGCCTGTACTTCCAGCTACTTGGGAGGCTGAGGCAGAAGAGTTGCTTGAACCTGGGAAGCTGAGGTTGCAGTGAGCCAAGATCATGCCACGCACTCAAGCCTGGGCAACAGAGTGAGACTCCATCTCAAAAAAAAAAAAAAACCACAAACAACAACAACAACAACAACAAACCACCACCACCAACAAAAAAAACAACATTGAAATTATATACAGTGTGATCTCTGGTCATGGATTCCAACTAGAAATCAATAAGACAAAAACAATGAAAACTAAACAGGAAAAATTAAACAACACACTCCTAAATAATCCATTGGCCAAGTAGGAAGCTTCAAAACAAATAAAAGTGCATACAAGCAAACAAAAATAAAACATAACAAAATATTGGGATGTAGTTAAGAGATTTTGAGAGGAAAATTTATAACACTAAATGCTTACATAAAGAAAAAGGAAAGATCTCAATAAGTAATCTAAGTTCCTATGCCTCAGGAAATCCAAAATATCAAAATCTAAAGCAAGCATAAGGAAGGAAATAATAAAAATTACATCAGGAATTAATTAAATTAAGAAAAGAAAAACAATACAGAAAAATCAATGAAACAAGAAGATGGTTCTTCAAAAGAGTACATTTGATAAAACTTTAGGAAAAACTGACAAAAATAGAAGACACAAATCATCAATATCAAAAATATAACACCGTACATATAGAGTATATTAATATCATATTCTGGGATATCGCTGCAGATTCTGTAGCCATTAAAACATTAAGAGAACACCAAAAACCACAACTTAGGAGAAATGGACAAATTCCTGAAAGCCACATACTGCCAAAACTCAACCAAAATGAAGTGGATCACCTGATCAGCTCCATAATGATTCAAAAATTGAATTTGTAATTTAAAATCCTCCCCAAATTAAACTACAATAATATATTTCTAGACACCTAGCAAAATGACCAAATCAAAAAATAGTAAGAACACTAAATGCTGGTGAGGATATGGAGAAACTGAATCACTCAGTCACTGTTGGTACAAATGTAAAATGGCACAGTCACTCCATAAAACAGTTTGGCAGTTTCTTATGAAGTTAAATATACAAATGTTACACAATCCAGAAATTGTGTGCTTGGTCATTTAACTCGGAGGAATGGAAACTTATGTTCACAAAAAATCCTGAAAATAGTAGCTTTATTAGTAACAGTCTATGGAAATAACCCAGTGTATTTCACCCAGGAATGATTACACAAACTGTGGTATACGTATACTGTGGGTACTATGCAGCAATAACAAGGGAATAAATTATTGATTTTTTAAATGAAAAAATTGGGATGAATCTCCAGAAAATTTATGCTAATGAGAGGTGTGACAGCGTTCTGGCAGTCCTCACAGCCCTCGCTAGCTCTGGGCGCCTCCTCTGCCTGGGCTCCCACTTTGGCGGCACTTGAGGAGCCCTTCGGCCCACCGCTGCACTGTGGGAGCCCCTTTCTGGGCTGGCCAAGGCTGGAGCCCACTCCCTCAGCTTGCGGGGAGGTGTGGAGGGAGAGGCGCGAGCGGGAACTGGGGCTGCGCGCGGAGTTCCGGGTGGGCGTGGGCTTGGTGGGCCCCGCACTCGGAGCAGCCAGCTGGCCCTGCCGGCCCCGGGCAGTGAGGGACTTGGCACCCGGGCCAGCGGCTGCCGAGGGTGTACTGGGTCCCCCAGAAGTGCCGGCCCACTGGCGCTGTGCTGGATTTCTCACCCCCAGCCTTAGCTGCCTTCCCGCGGGGCAGGCCTTGGGACTGCAGCCTGCCATGCCTGAGCCTTCCCCCGCCTCCGTGAGCTCCTGTGCAGCCCGAGGCTCCCCGACGAGTGCCGCCCCCTGCTCCAGGGCGCCCAGTCCCATCGACCACCCAAGGGCTGAAGAGTGCGAGCGCATGGCGCGGGACTGGCAGGCAGCTCCACCTGCAGCCCCAGTGCGAAAGCCACTGGGTGAAGCCAGCTGGGCTCCTGAGTCTGGCGGGGCCTTGGAGAACCTTTATGTCTAGCTCAGGGATTGTAAATACACCAATCGGCACTCTGTATCTAGCTCAAGGTTTGTAAACACACCAATCAGCACCCTGTGTTTAGCTCAGGGTTTGTGAGTGCACCAACTGACACTCTGTATCTAGCTGCTCTGGTGGGGCCTTGGAGAACCTTTGTGTGGATACTCTGTATCTAACTAATCTGATGGGGAGGCGGAGAACCTTTGTATCTAGCTCAGGGATTGTAAATGCACCAATCAGCGCCCTGTCAAAACAGACCACTGGGCTCTACCAATCAGCAGGACGTGGGTGGGGCCAGATAAGAGAATAAAAGCAGGCTGCCGGGACCAGCAGTGGCAACCCGCTGGGGTTTCCTTCCACACTGTGGAAGCTTTGTTCTTTCACTCTTTGCAATAAATCTTACTGCCGCTCACTCTTTGGGTCCACACTGCTTTTATGAGCTGTAACACTCGCTGGGAAAGTCTGCAGGTTCACTCCTGAAGCCAGAGAGACCACAAACCCACCAGAAGGAAGAAACTCCGAACACATCCGAACATCAGAAGGGACAACCTCCAGATGCGCCACCTTAAGAGCTATAACACTTACAGCGAGGGTTCGCAGGTTCATTTTTGAAGTCAGTGAGAACAAAAACCCCCCCAATTCCGGACACACACTAAGTGAAAAAAGCCAACCCCGAAGTGTTAACGTACTACTGTATGATTTTATAGAATATTTTTGAAAAGACAAAATTTTAGAAAAAATAAGATTACCAAAGATTAGGGGTGGGAAAGGAAAGGAAGATGGGTGTAGTTATGGAAGAGTGACATGGCCTGGCGCTGTGGCTCATGCTTGTAATTCTAGCACTTTGGGAGGCCCAGGCGGGTGAATCATGAGGTCAAAAGATCGAGACCATCCTGGCCAACATGGTGAAACCCCGTCTCTACTAAAAAATACAAAAAATTAGCTGGGAGTATTGGCGGGCGCCTGTAATCCCAGCTACTCAGGAGGCTGAGGTAGGAGAATCACCTGATCCCGGGAGGCGGAGGTTGCAGTGAGCTGAGATCGCACCACTGCGCTCCAGCCCAGGCAACAGAGTGAGACTTTGTCTCAAAAAAAAAAAAAGAAAAAGAGTGACATGATGAGGTGTCCTCCTGGTAATGGTGTTGCTCAATGTCTTGATGGTGGCCGATAAAGCTTCAGATATGATATCTTTGTATAAAATTAAATGTGCATGCACACAGACACAAATGAGTTATACATACAATTGGAGAAATCTGAAAAAGATGAATTGATTATATCAATGACATACTGGTTGTAATATTGTACTATAGTTGTTCAAGATGTTACCATCGGGAAAACTGGATATAGAGTGCTCTGTAATTT
The DNA here is from genome assembly GCF_000001405.40 of Homo sapiens. NCBI lineage: Eukaryota > Metazoa > Chordata > Mammalia > Primates > Hominidae > Homo > Homo sapiens. The sequence goes on from NC_000007.14 coordinate 68,232,893, forward strand.
TTCTTAGAACTGCATGTGAATCTATAATTATATCAATAAACCTTTTTTTTTTTTTTTGAGACAGAGTCTCGCTCTTTCACCTAGGATGGAGTGCAGTGGCACAATCTCAGCTCACTGCAGCCTCTGCCTCCCGGGTTCCAGTGATTCTCCTGCCTCAGCCTCCGGGGTAGCTGAGATTACAGGCGTGCATCACCATGCCCAAATTTTGGTATTTCTAGTAGAGACAGGGTTTCATCATGTTGGCCAGGCTGGCCTCAAGCTCCTGACCTCAGGTGATCCGCCTGCCTGTGCCTCCCAAAATGCTAGGATTACAGGTGTGAATCAATAAAACTTTTAACTAAACATTATGTTTATAAAGTGGTTGTGATAGTATGAGATAAATTGTTTGTAAAATAGCCATAGGCTTAAAAAGCTAAAATGTTCATGAAATTTACCTACACCGTGAATATAGTTAAACAGAAAGCAAAATAAAAAGGGTATAAAATGTAAAATTGGGCTGGGCGTGGTGGCTCACGCCTGTAATCCAAGCACTTTGGGAGGCTGAGGTGGGCGGATCACCTGAGCTCAGGAGTTCAAGACTAGCTTGGCCAACATAGTGAAACCCTGTCTCTACTAAAAATACAAAAAAATTAGCTGGGTGTGGTGGCAGGTGCCTGTAATCCCAGCTACTCGGAGGCTGAGGCAGGAGAATTGCTTGAAACCGGGAGGCAGAAGTTGCAGTGAGTCGAGATCCCGCCATTGCACTCCAGCCCGGGCAACAAGAGCGACACTCCATCTCAAAAAAAAAAAAAAAAAAAAAAAAGTAAAATTAAAAAGGAGGCCGGGCATGGTGGCTCATACCTGTAATCCTAGCACTTTGGGAGGCCAAGGCGGGTGGATCGCGAGGTCAGGAGTTCAAGACCAGCCTGGACAACATGGTGAAACGCTGCCTTTGCTAAAAATACAAAAATTAGCCAGGTGCGACAGGCACCTGTAATCCCAGCTACTCGGGAGGCTGAGGCAGGAGAATCGCTTGGACCCAGGGGGTGGAGGTTGCAGTGAGCTGAGCAAAGATTGCACCACTGCACTCCAGCCTGGTCAATAGAGTGAGACTCTGTCTCAAAAAAAAAAAAAAAAAAAAAGAATGGAAAGGTCAAAAGGAGGTGAAGGTGAAGTATACTATGTTAAAACTTTTGTTTTTCAAATTTTTTATAATGAGCATATGAGACTTTTATAATAGGAAAACATTAATTTGATTAAAATATATACTTTTATTCATTCTGATCCTTTCTGGGTCCCTGGTACTTGTCGCATTATCAGAATCACCCACTTTTCTCTTGCTTAAGGCTGCTTACATGGCTTCCTTATGGATTTCTTCCCCATTCCTCTGCTAATGTACTTTGGGCTTGTCTTGAAATTATCCAACTGTGAAGACACAGAATTTCAAATTTGCCTGCCTATGCACAAACATTGCCACAGCTGGGAGGATTCTCTAGGGAAATGTTGAAAGCAAGTCGAGATGCTAGAGGAGTTTGGAGAAGATTTTTTCACATGGAGAGTTCCGGCTGCAATTAAGTTGTACTCAAAACCAGATAGGCTAGAAAATATTGGGGAGGAAAATGTGGTTCCATCCTTTATACAAAGAATAGTGTTTCATATCCGGATAAAAGAAAATCTTCAATGAATTGCAAAATCTTTAGAGGCAGAAGGCACCCAAGAGACAGGTCACCATGCAGAACAATTCTAGGTGGCTCCATTCACATTTAGCCTATGTACGTGGTGGCCCCTGGGATTGTGCAGTGCGCAACTTACACAACTGTATGCAGGGATTCTGCTGAATCCAGTCATTACCACCCTTGCCCTTTCTCACACACAGATTTAGGATCCTTTTACAGAGGAGGCAAGTGAGGCCCAGAGGAGGAAAGCAAGTTGTTCAAAGCCACCCAGCTAACCACAGAGCCAGACTAAAATCCAGATTATTGAATTTTAGAGCAATATTCTTTCCTCTCTACAATGATGACTGGAAAGGATATTGTCACTCAAAACAGCCACCTCCACCACAGCAATAAGTTCATTCTTAAACGTATTTGTTTCAGGCCAGGCATGGTGGCTCACGCCTGTAATCCCAGTACCTTGGGAGGCTAAGGCAGGCAGATCACCTGAGGTCAGGAGTCCAAGACCAACCTGGCCAACAAGGTGAAACCCAGTCTCTACCAAAAATACAAAAATTAGCCGGGCGTGATGGTGGATGCCTGTAATCCCAGCTACTCAGGAGGCTGAGGCAGGAGAATTGCTTGAACCTGGGAAGGCGGAGGTTGTAGTGAGCTGAGATCGCACCATTGCACTCCAGCCTGGGCGACAAGAGCAAAACTCCATCTCAAAAAAAAAAAAAAGTATTTGTTTCAGATCCACATGACTGTAGGCTAAACCAGGGCTATTTTTATAGCATCTCAAATTCTAAATTGAGTGAAAATTCTAAGTACACTTTTCTCACATACGAAATGACAATAATAGTACCTACCTCTTAGGGTTCTTCTGGAGATAGATGAGTTAATATTTGTGGAACACTTAGAACAGTGCCTGTCATAAAGTACTATATAGGTATTGGATATTATTATTATTACTATTAGCATGTATTTCTCCCCTATTAATACGTGGGTTCTTCAGAGACCACATGTTTTATCTGTGGTTTCATTGGACCTCGCATGACTTTGAGGAGTGATGTATCAATGTTGTTTGATGATGGATGGACGGATGGGTGGATGGATGGATGAATAGATGAATGGATGGATGGTTGGATGGATGGATAGATGGACAGATGAGTGGAGAGATAGATGGATAAAAGAGTATGGATGAATGAAAGGATGGATGAATGGATGGAAGGTGGATGGATGGATGGATGGATGGGTGGATGGATGGATGAATAGATGAATGAATTGATGGATGGTTGAATGGATGGGTAGATGGACAGATGAATGGAGAGATTAGATGGATAAAGGAGTATGGATGAGTGAAAGAGGATGGATGAATGAATGGATGGATGAAGGGGGATGGATGAATGGATGCATGGTGGATGGATGCATGGTGGATGTATGATTGAATTCAAGCTCTTGTTAGTAACACAACGGAATGAGTATTTCATTGGACTTTTTTTCATGGAGAACAAAGATATGACACCATTCACAAGTGATATGTGAATGCTTTAGTTTCATTGAATTCTAGACAGTTCAAGGCCTTTGATGACTCATCTTACCCAACTTATGGCTTGATGCAGGAAATCACATGACCAGTAGCCTGAACATGCAGCTCTAGTTTAAAAACTGTGGCAAAGTGAGAGCTCATTCCATGGGAGGCAGACAGTCCTGTGACTGTACCACTGTAATGATTAGCAAGTTCTTCTCAGGTCCATTCTATGCCTTCAACTTACCTGGACCTCCTGGTGACACCAAGAAGGAGTCTAATTTCACCACCACCAGGTTTTTTGTTCACTTGTTCAGCAAATATTTAGGGAGCATACAATGATTAAAGAGTAAACATGGTTCCTGCTGTCTTGGAGATGACTTTGCTATGGAAGAGACAGAAGAGAAAATGATTTGCTGAAGATATAAGGACACACTATGGAAAGTGCTACAGAGGAAATGCACAGGGGAAGCTGTTTTGACCAGGGCACCCCTGAATCTGCCCTGAGATGCAGGAGAGAGGAGGGGTGCTGGTTTTCAGTGCTGCAGAGTCTACTAATAGTGTAGATAGAAGCAAGGCGCAGTGGCTCACACCCATAATCCCAGCACTTTGGGAGGCTGAGGTGGGCAGATCACGAGGTTGGGAGTTTGAGACCACCCTGGCCAACATAGTGAGACCCCATCTCTACTAAAAATACAAAAATTAGCCAGGCGTGGTGGTGAATGCCTGTAATCCCAGCTACTCAGGAGGCTGAGGCAGGAGAATCACTTGAACCCAGGAGGCGGAGGTTGCAGTGAGCTGAGATTATGCCATTGCACTCTAGCCTGGGTGACAGAGCAAGACTCCATCTCAAAAGAAAAAAAAAAAGTATATATAGAGTGTAGATAGAAAAGTGTCAGGACCACACATTAATTCAATGATTGTTCAACTCTCAACTAGGTGAGGTAAGAAAGACAGTGTCAGCCAGGCATCTGCTTGCAGATGCTTAGGTATTCTGAAAAAAAGCACCCCAAAATTGAACAGCCAGATGGATCATCCAAATTGGAACAGACTTTGGAGATCACCCGGGTCATACTGCTCCCTCAGCATGTGCTCCTTGTGCACACACCCACACACACAAACTGACGACACTTAATAAGAGAAAGGGGTAAACTTCAGATGTCCTGACCCCAGCTCTCTCTCTCTGACCATTGGTACATTGTCTTTGCTTATGCTAACTCCTATATGCTGTGGTCCTCAGGATTTTCTTAATGAGTTTAGAAATGTCATTTTACTAACTCATTCAATCATTTATTCGTTCATTCATTCATTTGGCAAAACTGAAGCTGAGATGTTCCAAAAAGCACTATCTACCCCTCCCTTCCCTTCCAAATCCCCTACCACAGTTTTTTTTCGGGGGTTTTTTTGTTTGTTTGTTTGTTTTTGTTTTTTTTTGAGGCAGTCTTGCTCTGTTGCCCAGGTGCTGCAGTGCAGTGCTGTGATCTCAGATCTCGGCTTACTGCAACCTCCACCTCCTGAGTTCAAGCAATTCTCGTGCCTCAGCCTCCCAAGTAGCTGGGATTATAGGTGTGTACCACCACACCTGGCTAATTTTAGTATTGTTAGTAGAGACGTGGTTTCACCATGTTGGCCAGGCTGGTCTCAAACTCATGAACTCAGGTGATCCTTCTGCCTTGGTCTCTCAAAATGCTGGGGTTACACGCGTGAGCCACCATGCCCGGCCCCCTATGTCCTCTACTATAGTCTTAACCCCACAATGTGCCTAAACAACTAATCCCAAGAAGGAGGCTATATTAGAATCAATATACTGGTATATTGATTCTATACATATATACCTATATATATACCAATATATATTGGTTTATATCAATATATTGGTATATTCCTAAGATACCAATATCATTTGTTTTAATTATCAGTTTAACCCACTGAGGGTTGATCATGCCCATTTTACAGATAGAAAACTGAGGCACAGTGAAGGAGAAAAATTTGTACACAGTGGGTTCAGGAGAAAACCCAAATAGCCTGGCCTTACAGCCTTATGACATTGGCATTAATGCTGTGTTAAATAATGTTAAATAGATGGGTGTCTGTCTGAGTGAATGTAGAGCTGAATAACCGTTCAGGTCAGGTCAGTTCTTATAAGGAAGGAACATGGACAGTAACAATCTTTGAGTCAGTGGTGTATACTCCTGGACACAAATGAATTCCTCATGGAAAGGGTTAGACATTTCTGCCCTCTGGACCTTAAGGGTTCCTGACAAGTCTTTTACATATGTTTCCCTAATGGATGGCTCGGAAAAATCACTGAAATATATTATGTGTGGGAGGGAGGAAGAAAGAAAATAAGTAAGCGGGATGGGGGTGTCAGAGACATTCGAACCAGAGTGACTCCATTTGGAATAGGGGCTGGGTAGAATTAGGCTGAGACCTGCTAGGCTGCTTCCCCAGGAGGCTAGGCATTCTTAGTCATAGGATGTTTATGGTTAAGGGAACAGGTTAACAATGTTTGCCAAACAGATCTAGGAGTTAACAGACCCAGGAAATGGCCTGCTGTCTTGATATCTTAAGAACAAAAGCATGATTTGTTTAAGAATAAGTTTTGCCGCCTGGCCTGCAATCCCAGCACTTTGAGAGACAGAGGTGGGAGGATTGCTTGAGCCCAGTAGTTTGAGACCAGTCTAGGAAACCCTGTCTCTAAAAAAATACAAAAATTAGTCAGGCATGGTGGTGCACCCTTGTAGTCTTAACTACTTGGGAGGCTGAGGTGGGAGGATTACTTGAGCCCAAGAGGTTGAGGCTGCAGTGAGCTATGATCACACCGCTGCACTCCAGCCTGGGTGACAGAGCAAGACCCTGTCTCAAAAAAATAAAAAAATAAACATAAGAACAGAATGAGTTTTGCTTTAAATATAGTAACATAGATTCTTGCAGAAAACAGTAGTTACAGAAAGATGAAAAATCCTTTGTCCCAGCACCTTGTAGTAGAGTACACCACCCCCGTGAGTTTTTGCCTTTTTTATCATATACGAACAAACGTTGCAACTAAGGTGGGCGCATTCTTCCTTTTGCTTTGGGGGGATGTCTTGCTGTTGGTGGAGCAGCCTTTCTTTTATTTCTTTCTTACTTTTTCGTTTTGTTTTGTTTTGTTTTGTTGTTTGTTTGTATTTTTGAGACAGAGTCTTGCTCTGTTGCCAGGCTGGAGTGCAGTGGTGCTAGCTCAGCTCACTGCAACCTCCACCTACTGGGTTCAAGTGATTCTCTTGCCTCAGCCTCCCGAGTAGCTGGGTCTACAGGTACACGCCACCATGCCCAGCTAATTTTTGTATTTTCAGTAGAGATGGGGTTTCACAGTGTTGGCCAGGATGGTCTCTATCTCTTGACCTTGTGATCTGCCCGCCTCAGCCTCCCAAAGTGCTGGGATTACAGGAGTGAGCCACTGCACCCTGGCTATTCCTTTACTTTCTTAATAAACTTGCTTTCCCTTTACTCTGTGGATTCACCCTAAATTCTTTCTTGCGTGAGATCCAAGAACCCTCTCTTGGAATCTGGATAGGGTCCCCTTCTGATAACAGGGGGAGAAGATGGAAGAGGTGGCAGTGAAGGGAAGGAGGAAAGAGAAGGTTTAGAAAAGGAAGACAAAGCAATTCAAATTCTATTGAGGGTAGAGAGTCTTCCATTTGTCTCTGGCAACCACTGATCTCCTTTCTGAATGTAGAATTTTTTTTTTTTTTTCGAGATGGAGTCTTGCTCTGTTGCCCAGGCTGGAGTGCAGTGGCACGATCTCGGCTCACTGCAAGCTCTGCCTCATGGGTTCACACCATTCTCCTGCCTCAGCCTCCCCAGTAGCTGGGACTACAGGAGCCTGCCACCACGCCTGGCTAATGTTTTGTGTTTTTTTAGTAGAGACAGGGTTTCACTGTGTTAGCCAGGATGGTCTTGATCTCCTGACCTCGTGATCCGCCTGCCTCGGGTTCCCAAAGTGCTGGGATTACAGGCTTGAGCCACCGAGCCTGGCCATGAAAGTAGAATTAATGTGTCTTTGCAAAGGCTTGGAGCATCATCAAGGCTCATTGCTGAACAAGGTAAGGAAACTATAGCCTGTCTTGTATCTAAGCCCTGGTCTTTACTGGCACTGCCTCCTCTAGAGTGGGTAAAGGGTCTGCTTGGTGAGACCCTCACAGATTCCCCATTTTTCAAGAATAGGAGCCTGTAGACAGTGCAATACTACATCCTAGACAGAAGAAAATCTCCTTGGCTTTCTTAACATCCTCCCTCTATGCCCAACTCTGCTGACACTATTCAACAACCCACATTGACTTTGGGAGGAGAAAGAAAAAATGTAATTGTTAAAGTGTAAATCCCCTTAAATGCTAAGATCAAAAGGAAAGTTTCCATCCAATGACATGTAATTAAACATGCAGATGTGCCCCACTCTGATTCATGAATGCTTATGCACTTCTAAATTGTTGCCAGGGAGATCAGGGCCTGAGAAAATTAAAACCATCACATCTTAAAAGAATACATGATTTTCACAGCTTTCTAACGTGATTTCCTGTCGTGCAGAACTTTGTGTTTTCCCATATTCCACTCTTTGCCTCTGTACTGCTGTTCAGGACTGAACGGAAGCAGCTTTGCAAACATCTTTCAGTCAAGAATTTCCGCAGGCCCAGGCTGATGTGAGCATAGAAACAGACAGCAAGGCCCAACATTGTCCTACTGCTTCATGTTCAACCAGAGGATAAATGCCCCCATTACAAAGTACACTGAGGGTAGTCTCAGGGGCGAGGGGTGGGGAGAATGTAGCATTGTAAGTAAAGTTACAATGTAACTCAAAGTTATGAGGTGTCTCAGTTTACATCAGGGTGACCTGCACAATTTATTTAGTTTCTCTACGTCTTAATGTCTTCTGTTGGGTTCCCCTAGAAGTAGACAAGGAGACAAGTATTTTTGGACAGAAAAATACAGGAAACAGCAGTAGAAGACTGGGCAGAGAAGGGGAAGTATACTAATAAAGCCAATTACCACTGTGGATCCTACCAGGGATTGCTGGGAAATGGTAGAGAAGTTCTGATATAGTTTGGCTCTGTGTCCCCACCCAAATCTAATGTCTAACTATAATTTCCAGTGTTGGAGGAAGGACCTGGTGGGAGGTGTTTGAATCATTGAGCAGACTTTTCTTTTTGCTGTTCTCACGATAGAGTTCTCACAAGATCTGGTTGTTTAAAAGTGTGTAACACTTCCCCTTTCACTCTCTTTCTCTCCTGCTGGCCATGTGAAGATGTGCCTGCTTCCCCTTCACCTTGCACCATGATTGTAAGTTTTCTGAGGCCTCCCCAGAAGCAGAAGCCTGTATAGCCTTAATGTTATTGGTTGGGAACCATGAGCCAATTAAACCTCTTTTCTTCATAAATTGCCCAGTCTCAGTTATGTTTTTATAGCAGTGTGAGAGTGGACTAATGCAAGTTCACTTCAAAAAGCTTTCTCTCCAAAGAGGCAAGGGAGTTGGAAATTTATCTAACTCGCATTGGACATTGCCTGAGGTTATTCACAGGTAACGGTAATACTTCTCTTTGCCTTGAAAGCAAGTAGAGAGGACCTTCCTGGCATCAGTAAAAGGCCCCCAGAAAAAGAGACACAAGTACTAGCAATTGCAAATTATCCAGAGCCCTTCTAAGTTGTAAGATCTGAAGGAAATGCCTGCCATCTATAGTCTCAGCCACACTTAGTTTCTTAATCTGCAAAATGGAATTAGTACTTACTTTATGAGGCTGTTGCAGAAATTCATTGAGTTGCTACATGCAAAACACTGAGAACTCAGCTGGGCATATAATAAGCATTCTATTGCATGGCATTATTGCCATCGTTTTTACTTCTGTTACTGCTGCTACTGCTTGTATTACTTGTGCTTTTTTGATATGAAAGTCCACCATCAGGGAGCACTGTAGTGGAAAAGGTATTAGGCCGGGCATAGCCTTTAGTTCTCTGGCCTTGAGTCCTTCATTTGTGATATTCAGTTAACAATCCTGTGCCAGTAGGGGTATTAAAGATTAAATAAATGTGAGAATGTGCCTGATGCTAAATCTTCCTCAAAGCATTATGGACTCTCAGAGCCAGAAGGAGCTCATCTCTCCTGTGCCCCTGATATGCTGGGATCTGCAATATTACTGGCAACAGGTGGGCCTCCAGAATCTGCTCCAGGGCTTTTGGAAGTCCTGACACCCTCTCGATCTTCTTCTCTGTAACATGCACACTTTGGCCTGTGTCAGTTTGCTGGACCCACATCAGGCCAGCCCTCTTCCTAGGATAAAATTTTCTTTCTTTCTTTCTTTCTTTCTTTCTTTCTTTCTTTCTTTCTTTCTTTCTTTCTTTCTTTCTTTCTTTCTTTCTTTCCCTCCCTCCCTCCCTCCCTCCCTTCTTTCTTTCTCTTTCTTTCTTTCTTTCTTTCTTTCTTTCTTTCTTTCTTTCTTTTCTTTCTTTCTTTCCTTTTTTAGACAAGATCTCACTCTAGTGCCCAAGTTGGAGTGCAGTGCAGTGAACATGGCTCACTGCTGCCTTGACCTCCTGAGCTCAAGCAATCCTCCCACCTCAGCCTTCCAGTAGCTGGGACTACAGGTGCATGCCACCATGCCCAGCTAATTTTTGTATTTTTTGTAGAGACAGGATTTCACCACATTGCCTAGTCCAGTCTCAAACTCCTGGTCTAAAGTGATCCTTACACCTTGGCCTCCCAAAATGCTCAGATTACAGGTATGAGCCACCACATCTCTGCCCAGGAACAGAATATTGACTGTCATTTTAAAAGAATTCAAGAAGTTTGCTTGAATTCATGATCTAGCAGCTCACCAGCTGGGAATAATATAATGCCAATTTTTAGAGTAATGGCAAAATAAATCAGGATATAGCCGTAGAACAGAATACTATGTAGAAAGTGAGAAAGAATGAAGTATTCCTTTATTTCTTCTTAAGGAAATAACTCTAAGCATAACATTGAGAAAGAATGATGTATTGCTTTATTTCCTATTAAAGAAATAACTCTGAGCATAATGTTGAGTGATAAAAGCAGGTTGTATGCTATAATAACATTTAAAGCATGCAAAATATAGCATATTTTAATTATATAGGAATGTTTATATGCATTCCATATTGCAACAGTTAATTTTAAATATCACATGGTTAGGCCATGGCTGAATACTATCTTAGATGTTTCTGTAAAGATATTATTTAGATGAGATTAACGTTTAGATCAGTGTGCTTTAAGTAAAACAGCTTACTCTCCATAGTGGGGTGGGCCTCACTTAATCAGTTGAAGACCTTAAAAGAAATAAGGCTGACCTCCCCCAGGGAAGAAGGAATTATTCCTCCAGGCTTTCTTTGGACCCAAGTTGCAACATCACTTCTTCCCTGGGTCTCCACACTGATGGTTGGAGCTACCCTGTCTGCATATTTTGGACTTACTAGCTTCCACGATTGTGTGACCCAATTCCTTACAATAAATCTCTTTCTCTTCTCTCTCTTTCTCTCTGTCCCTCTGTGTGTGTGTGTGTTTGTATATATATATATTTTATATATATAATTATATATAATAATATAATTATATATTATATATTATATATACATATATGGGTATATATGTATATATGTGTATGTGTGTATATATCAATACATACACACACATAAGTATGTATCGATATATACATGTATGTATATATAAATAAATCTATGTATACATATATATTCCTTACCAATTCCTTACGATAAATCTCTCTGTTCTCTTTCTCTCTCTCTATATGTATATATACATATACATATATAGATATATACATGTATGTATACATAAATCTATGTATGTATACATAGATATGTATGTGCACATATCTATGTATACATACATAGATTTATGTACACAGATATGCATGTGTTTGTACACATATATTTGTACGTATATGTATATTTGTATATACATATGTATATGTGTGTATATATGCATGTGTACGTCATGTATATATACATATATATGTATATATATGCACATACATATACACACACACACATATATACACACACACACAAATTCTCACCCATGCACCTGCACATACACACTTCTGGAACCAGATAGGGAAGGAGGGACAGTAGGAACTAGGGACATTTTAGACTTATCTGTATTGTTTTCACTTTTTAACAAAGAAAACTTATGCAAGCATTAATTTTGCAATTAAAAGGCGTTCAAACATTTTGCTGCAGGCATTGAGTAATATCACCTGTGAACTGTCACTAATGTCATGCTACCACTGTCAATGTTACAAAATAACACTATTTCTGTTTTCTGCTTTCCTAGTTTCCTGTTGCGCCGTTTTTGATCTCTGCATGGTTCCACTGTCATCTAGCTTTTTGAAAAAAATCATTTTGTTTGCTCTTCTTCCAGGTCCTGGCTTCCTGTCCTGGCCATCCAATCTAATCCACCACAAACAGGCCTCGTTCCCCTTTGTCACTGCAGGCCAACTCTGAACCGTTTATTTTCTTTCACTGACATAGAAAGATGAGATGCGTCAGCATCCTTGCAAACATGAAAGCCTAGCCGGTGAAGTGCTGAGTGCTGGAAACTTTGACTGGGCATGAACAGGTAGAGAAACTGGAGATTCTGTATCAGATGAAGTGACTCAAAGGGACAGAATGGCCATCGTTGGACAGTTTAAGTGCTTTCATAAGGAAGAGGAATCAGGACTCACTTCATGTGGTGCATGGTGCAGAATCAACGGGATGAATGTTTCCAGGAAGCAGATTTCAGCCCATGATAAAGAAGAACTTTCTGGTACATGGAAGGACTCCACAGTGGAAGGGGCTGACACTACAGAGTGAGCTTCCTATTACAGGAGATATTCAAACCAGATAGACGTATCATTCTCAGGTTCCTAGACTTAGTGTAAAGTAAAATTAGATAGCCTATAAGTTCTAATACTATGATTCTCAAAAAACACCAGTTCTGTAGTTTAGATCACACCAAGATTTCAGTTAGACCATGGAAAAGAAGGAAATTCGATCTGGTGTTTTCAAATCAATTATTGGGCAAAGAATCAAGATATCCAGTTTCTGCAGTAGAACTTCGGGGCTTGAGGCTTGATATGGTTTGGCTATGTGTCTCCACCCAAATCTCATCTCCACCCAAATCTCATCTCAAATTGTAATCCCCACGTGTTAAGGGAGAGACCTGGCGGTAGGTGATTGGCTCATGGGGACAGTTTCCCCCATGCCGTTCTTGTTATAGTGAGTAAGTTCTTAAGAAATCTGATGGTTTTATAAGGGGCTTTTCCCACTTTGCTCTCGTTCTCTTTCATGCCACCTTGAGAAGAAGGTACTTGCTTCTCCTTTGCTTTCCGCCATGTTTGTAAGTTTCCTGAGGCCTCCACAGCCAATCAGAACTGTGAGTCAATTAAGCTCCTTTCTTTGGTAAATTACCCAGTCTTGGGTATTTCTTTGTAGCAGTGTTAGAATGGACTAATACAAGGCTCCACGAAGGTTCTACACCACACCAAATCGGATTAGTCACTGGGGCATTATGCAAAAAAATTTCTCTTGATGAAAATTGTGTGGATCCAGAGTCATCCGCAATAAAAGGGATGATCTGATAGAATTAGCAAATGTTCCAAACACTTCACCGGTTTCCTAAGAAGTCCTCTTGAGTTCTTGGAGCATGTGACTCATTGGAGCATCTGTGGAATCCATTCCTTTGCTTTGACATACATTCGTGTTGAATTTAGAGAGCTCTGGCTTTGCTAGTACTGGTCTAGACTGAAGACAAAAGGAGAATTGATGGCTGTAGTTGGTTGAAGTCAAGACAGAAGGCTGGAGTAGCAAGGGCACTCCCCGAGCTGGGAGTGCAGGGACCTTGACAGTCTCATTATCTCATCCCTTATATGGAGCCTGCTATGGAGTAAGTGTGATTCATGCTTCCATTTGAATGATAAATGAAGCCTGAGGAATGTGTGATAGCCAGGGGTTGGCAACCCCTTTTCTTAGCCCATAGTTTCTTGCAGCTAATTATGGTGGTTCCCCAAATGCAAAACTCATTCTGGCTCTTTCCCCAGCCAGAGTAAAGTGGGAACATCCTCATATTCCACACGAATAAGAAGCAATTCCTCTTGCCCTTCAAGTAAAGGCCCAAAACTACAGCCAGCTGTCTCATGTGATACCACGGACTCTGCCATTGTGTCAGCCCACCTGGGCACTGCTATTCTGTATCTGTTACAAGGAACAAGTTAAATGGTGGGAAGTTGCCCAGACTGAAAGAGCCCCAGGGGAGAAAGGAGCAGTCAGCATCAAAGCATTCCCTGCTCACTCAGTGACTTTCAAATGTACTTCAAGCAGGCAGTCACGCCACTCTAGCTAAGCAGGGGGAAGATGCAGGGAGGATGCGCTGGCTCTTGCAATTAAGCATACTGAAACCCTGCGGCTCAGGCTGGTGTTGTGGGAGGAAGGCAGGACTAAGTGACTCATTTATGACTTGGCACTTATGTGTTCAGCCAAGCAGCTGGTGCATGGAGATCAACAGGTTCAGCAAGCTCAGGTGTGGTTCTGGCAGGTGTCTGTGACCAGGAGACAGACAATACTCAGAATCATGATTGTCGCAGGTGGGCTGAAAGCAGACTCCAGTTCCCTGAGAAAGAGTCAAAGTGTGTATAGTAGACCTCATCATTAAGCAGGCTGCAATCCAGGCAGAGCATATATTCCTGGAAGGCACCTGTAGGGTTGGGCAGGAAAGCTGAGCTGGAAGCCCAGGTATACTGAACTGATGAAATCTACTGAGCACTGGGATGATAGGGGGTTCATGCCAGTATATCTGACACGTAGTGCCAGTAACTCCACGAATGCCCCTTGTCCCTCGCTCAGGTAGGGGACATCCACATACCTTGCTTAGGATCATTTCAGGGCCCAATCAAGACTGAGACTATAAAGAAGGCACCAAGGACTCCATGCAAGAGGGGCTCAGGGCTATAAGATTGTTCAGAAGTCTAGGAAAATTGCATCATCCTCTAGCAGGACACATCTCTGCCCCAAACGGGCAGCAATGGCAAAATCGCCAATGCAGCATGGTGTCATAGAGAGTTGATTGTGGCTGCTTTCCATCCTGCGCCAGTGGGATGGACCATTAAATGAACACGTTGCCAAATAATGATTTTGTTGTAGCATGTTATTGATAACGAGAAAAGACTAGCTCACAGACTCTAGCTCACGGACTCTCCGTGTCGATCCAGCAGACAGCCCAACTCCCCACTTCCCACAGGTAATTATCTGTTCCTAATTGGGTCTGAAAGCAGTGAGTTTGTATTTAAAGGTAGGAGTACAGAACACTTTGTATTTTTTTCAGAGACTGCATGGAGTTGAGTGCTCTGTGTAACTGTGGCTTAAAGAGCCAGATGGGTTCTCCATGCAACCCAGGTCCTGCTCATAAAACTCTGTGTCCTTGGGCAGAATGTGTCACTTCTCAGAGCCTATGTTTCTTTATTTATAGATAGAAAAGGAGGGCTATGATATTTAAATAACGAACACAAAAGCAACTGTCCCAGTGTCTAACACATGTGAGGTGTTCAGGGATTGCTAACTGGACCTGAATCTTTCTTGTTCAATGAACAGAAATGTTTTTTCAACTCTACCTCTTGTTGCTGTGGTGTGTGTTGTAAATACTGTCATCATTGGCCAGGCATGGCAGCTCATGCTTGTAATCCCAGCACTTTGGGTGACCAAGGCTGGAGGATCACTTGAGACCAGGAATTCAAGACAAGCCTAGGCAACACAGCAAGAACTTGTCTCTAGAAAAAAATTAAAAATTAGCCAGATGTGGAAGCATGTGCCTGTATTACCAGCTACTTGGGAGGCCAAGGCAGGAGGATTGCTTGAGCCCCGGATTTTGAAGTTACAGGGAGCTATGATCATGCCACTGCACATCAGCCTGGGTGACAGAGTAAGACTCTGTCTCTGTAAAATATAGTGTGTGTGTGTGTGTGTGTGTGTGTGTGTGTGTGTGTATTATTTTGTATATTATCTCATTGAATTTTCTGTCTTTTTTTTGAGACAGAGTCTCACTCTGTTACCCAGGCTGGAGTGCAATGGTGCGATCTCAGCTCACTGCAACCTCCACCTTCCGGTTTCAAGAGATTCTCACGCCTCAGCCTCTATCACGCCTGGCTAATTTTTGCATTTTTAGTTGAGACAGGGTTTCACCATGTTGGCCAGGCTGATCTCGAACTCCTGTCCTCAGGTGACCCACCCACCTTGGCCTCCCAAAATGCTGGGATTACAGGTGTGAGCCACCGTGCCTGGCCTACCTCATTGAATTTTCAATACAGCTCTGTCACACAATCAAGACAGGCAAAGTTATTTTCAGTTTACAGATGGGAACATCAAGGTTGGCAGAGGGGTTGTGCCCATAACTAAGATGATAATGTCAGAGTTTGTCGCAGCAGGGTCCAAAAGAAATATTGAGCTTCAAGGAAGAGGAAGTAAGAGAAAAGCCTGCATGGATGCCAAGAAGATTCAAGGAAGCCACAGCCTTGAAGAAGCTGGACAATAGGTACAGTTCTCAGCCATCCCTTGATGAGATGAAGGGGAACAGAAGCAAATTCCAGTTCCCAGGACAAGAGATACATCCTTTCACTACCATGGATGAAATGTAGGATGGCTGGGGAATAACACAGGGTTTCCCTTCCCAAGGGACTATTGCTCTGGGGGAATCCTGAAAACTCAAAGGCCCAACTAGAACTGGGGGCAGGTATGGCGAAGCCACTGCCTAGCCTTAGCTTGAGAAGTCTGAATTAGCTGATGAGCCCCGGAGAAGGCAGCAGATTCCACCTGCATTTTGCTGCATGCTCTTTGAAACAGCAGCATTGAGACCAAGATGGGGCAAAGGTTCCTGCTGAGCCTGCCCTGTTCAAGCCCTTTCCATTCACCAGAAACATTCTTGGAGGTTTGCTCATGGAAGGCACAGAGGCCACTCTGGGTGCCTGCCCTTGACCTGGGGAGTTCTGCTAGGCTACCTGCCACCTTCCTGTCTAGCTTCCCTGGTCTCCTGTCCCACTTTGGTGCTAGATCTTAACTCCCACTCTCTAGTGAGTTCTTACATAATGCTGTGGATAGATTTAGAACAAGCATGGCTTTTGTCCCAGTCTCAGAATGCAGTTATGTTTTTTACCTACCTTACTTTCTTGCTGAAATGTAAGTACCTCCAGGGTGAGGTCTTGTCTTTCTCACCTTTGAATCCCCCAGACCTGCTGCTACACCTGAACCATGGTGGGTGCTTCTTGAATGAGTGAATGAATGAATGAGTGAATGAGTGAATGAGTAAATGAATGAGTTAATGAATTAGTGAGTTAATGAATGAATGATGGTGACTAACTGAATGAACTAGTGGATGAATGGGTTAATGAATGAATGATGCTGAGTGAATGAATGAATAAATGAGAGAGTGAATGAATAAATGAGAGAGTAAATGAATAAGTGTGAGTAAATGAGTGAGAGAATAAATAAATGATTGAACAAATTAGTGGGTGGATGAATGAATGAGTGAGTTAATGACTGATGAGTAAATGAACGAGTGAATAAATGAATGAGTGGATGAGTGAGTGTGTGGATGACTGAATGAATGAATAAGTGAGTGAATGAATAAGTGAGTGAATGAATAAATGAGTGAATGAATGAGTGGGTGGATGACTAAATGAGTGAATGAATGAGTGAGTGAATGAGTGAAGTGAGCAAATGAATTAGGGAGTGAATAAAGTGAGTGAATGAATGAGAGTGAATGAATGAATGAGAGTGAAAGAATGAAGGTGAATGAATGAGTGAATAAATGAGTGAGTGAATGGAGTAAGTGAATAAGTGAATGATGAATGAATCTGGCATCCCCCAAATCACTAGAATTTAAGCTTCACAAGGACAAGGAATGTTATCTGTCTTCTTGTTCATTGCTGAATTCCATGCCTGGTACCTGATCGACTTTCAATAAATATTGCTGAATGGATAAAAGATGGGTCTTAGCAGCACTGACCTTCACATTCTCTTCTGATTTCTATAGCACTGAAGCTGAGGGAGACTTTAAAGAAGAATTGGGCCTCAGGAAAGTGTGGCTCAGTGAAGGGAAAGGCATTGCCCAAGCACACATGGCTGGGCTGGAACCGGAGTGGGGATTCTGGCTTCCAGTCCAGGGCTCTCTACTTACCACCTGCCCCTTCTTCATGAAGCTTACACTCTATAGAAAGTGCATTGGACATCCAGCCTCACATTTGCTCAGCGCCATACTTGTGGCAGAGCAGTGGAAGTGCATGCTCACTGGGTGTCTGAGAATGAACTCTGTCTGTTCTGTTTCTTGGTCAGAGGGACCCAGGCCCTACGGTATGCATAGAGCAAGGCCATAGCAATAGCAAGAGCTGGAGCTTGAGCTAGGAAAGCCCCCAGGGCAGACTGCTCACACTGCCGGGGGGCCCTGGGAGCCTTGGGTTCACTTGTTTTTCCCTCCGGGTTTGTCTCTTCTTGAGCTCCCAGGGCTCACAGCCTTCATCCTCCACAGAGGCAAGTGCTGCAGAAATAAACAGGTATACCACTTGGCTACCTCCCTGAAGGCAAGAGGTTAGCCCAGCAGCACTGGCTTCGGAACACCTGGATTCAAAGGTTGGCGCTGCCGCTTCCTTGCAAGGAAAACTTGGGCAAGTTACTGATCTTCTCTAGGACTCGGTTTCGCCATCTGTAATAACACCCATGGTAATATGTTTAGGGGAATAAACAAAATGAAACATGTGAAAATACTAAGTACAGTGTATGATGTGTGGCAAGCATTGAAGCAGGTGATACACTCAGCTGGAGAGATGATGTAGTAGGGTGCTTAGAGCAAGACTGCCTGGGTACAAATCCCAGCTCTGCTCCCTAGCAGCTATGAGCCTGGGTGCAGGTTACTCAACCTCTCTGTGGTTCAGTATCAATATCAATAAGATAAGGCTCATAATGGAGCAATTTCATTGGGTTTACATCTGACTCAAATGAGCTAATTCACAGAAAGCATTTAGGACAGTCTGCCATGTGCTAAGTGCTGAATAAGCATCAGCAATTCTACTCTTTTTACTTTCTAGTTTTAAGAATGAATTTAGAGAGCCAGATTCTTTCTACTGAAAGCCTCTGCATTGAAGAGATTAATGCAGGCACCAAGACATTGGTGCCAACATTGAGCTTATTGGCTGGTAATCTCATTTGTTTCTCCTTGCTGTTTTCGAGCGTGACCCATACCTAGCAGAGCAATATGCTTGTATGATACTCACAAGCTGGGCTTGCTGGGCAGTGACTTCTCCACTGCATGCTATAAATGGCTGCCAGCAGTGAAATTACATTTGTATTGATCTAAAGAACATTTTATTGATCAAACACAAGGAATGAAACCTTTGAAACATAAACCCATTATTTTAACAATTTGTTGCCAGGAGTAGGCAAAGGCGGCTTTTCCATTTCTTTTGGTGACTTGGCTTTCCAAGGACAGTTTCTGGTCTATATAGAGGGTCTGGAGACCCAGCCCCATGAGCTTATTAATGACCTTCTCGGTGTCTCCAGCTCCCTTACCCTCATCTTTCTTCTCCATGGTTCTGTTCCTCGAGGCATATCTGCAGGCAGGCCTTTCTGCCCCTAAACACATTTTCTCTCTCTTCCTTGCCTGAGTCACCCTTTCACAGCCTTTAAAACTCCTTTCCATCCTTATCTCATGCACTGGGTTAGAGGTCCTACCCCTCCATGTTCCTGGATCATTCTGAGGAATCAAGGATGATGGTGAAGGCACTAGCTTTCCAGGACTCCCCTGGGAAGCTCTCAAAGCTGTCTTGGCAGGTCTGGAGCACAAAGTCATCTGAATCCATTATTCCTCTGGCTCCTGCATCTGATTTCATAATCGAAATTAACATTGTTGAGGGCTATCCAAGAAACTTAGGACCTCTAGGTGAAAAAATACTCACAAGGGGGTAGTAGCTCAGCAGCAATTTCCAAAATATTCAATTAACATGTGCACTCAGTCTTTGAATAAACCTGTGCCTGGTCTCTTGGGAGGAGCCAAAGATTCATCCTCTGTCTCAGTGGGCTGACAATCTAGCCTGAGAGAGGAGAAATCCACATAAAGGGGTGAACCATAGAAGAAAGGATTTTACTAGGAGTTATAAGGGTAGCACAACAACTCAACGAGGGAAAGAGTAGTCTCTTTAACAAATGGTGCTGAGACAACTGGATATCCACATGAAAAAGAGGGAAGTTGAACCCCTGCCTCACACCGTATACAAAAATTAGCTTAAAACAGAGTAAAGACCTTAATGTAACAGCTAAAACTATACAACTCTTAGAAGAAAGGATAGGAGTAAATCTTCATGACATAGGATTAGGAAGTAGTTGCTTAGATATGATGCCTAAAGCAGAAGCAACCAAATGAAAAAAATAATTAGGTAAATTGGACTTGATCAAGATGAAAACATTTTGTGGTTCAGAGGATGGCCATAGAATATGCAAATCTCATATCCAATGAGTCTAATATCTATAATAAAGAACTCTTACAACTCAACAATAAAAAGACAAATAACCCAATTTTATAAATGGACAGATAATTTGAACAAACATTTCTCCAAAGTAGATATATAAATGGCCCATAAACACATGAAAAGATACTCAACATCACTAGTCACTGAGAAAATGCAAATCAAAACCACAATAAGATATCACTTCATACTCACTAAGATGGCTATCATCAAAAAGACAGAAATAACAAGAGTTGGCAAGGCTACAGAGAAATTAGAATCCTTGTACATTGTTAAAAAAATGCAAAGATGGTGCAGCCACTTTGGAAAACAGTTTGGCAGTTTCTCAAACATTAAGCCTAAAATTAACATATAACTTAACAATTCCACTTTTTGGTATTTATTCAAGAGTATTGAAATATTTTTACACAAACGTGTATACAAATGCACATATCAGCATGAATGATACAGCCAAAAGGTGTAAACAACTCAAATGCCTATCAACTGATGCATAGATAAATAAAATATTGTATATTTATACAATAAAATATTATTTAGTCATAAAAAGAAAAGAAGTACTGATGTTTTCAAGGTTTACTAATGAACCTTGAAAACATTCTGCTCAGTGAAAGAAGCCAGACATAAAGGCCACATATTATATGATCCCATTTATTTATTTATTTTTATTTATTTATTTATTTATTTTTGAGACGGAGTCTCGCTCTGTCGCCCAGGCTGGAGTGCAGTGGCGCCATCTCGGCTCACTGTAAGCTCAGCCTCCCAAGTAGCTGGGACTACAGGTGCCTGCCACCACGGCCAGCTAATTTTTTTGTATTTTTTAGTAGAGACAGGGTTTCACCATGCTGTCAATCTCCTGACCTCGTGATCCTCCCACCTCAGCCTCCCAAAGTGCTGGGATTACAGGCGTGAGCCACTGCCCTGGCCTATATGAACCTATTTAAGTGAATTGTTCAGAATAAGAGAATCCATAGAGTCAGAAGTAGATTAATGGTCGCCTGGAGGTGGGAGGAGGAGAATGGGGACTGAGCACTAATGGGCATGCAGTTTCCTTTTGGGGCAATGAAAATGTTCTGGAATTAGTGAAGATAGTTGTGTAACGGTTTAAATAAATGTACTAAAAGACACTAAATTGTACATTTTTGAAAAGTAAATTTTATGCAATGAAAATTATATTTCAATTAAAAAAAAATTAGTAGCGTAGGACCCAGGTTGCTTTAGATGATGGGAGAAAGGAGAAAGTGGTCAGACCAGGGCATCACTGGAGCTGGGCTGGAGTGAGGGCTCTCTCCCCTTTCCCTGCAACTTTGCCCTGAGGGCTTCTGTCTCCCCACAATGACCCCTGTGACTGAGAGAACAACAAAACCATGATTTCTGGCAAATAGAAGTCCTATGGCCCAGGATGCTCATTCTTGCATGCAATTTTAAAGGGAATTTACTTTTGTTTTTGAATTTCCATTTTCTCTTGGAGAAGAGAGGCAGAAACTGTTGACAAGTCTGGAAATTGGAAATGTAAATGAAAAAGGGAGTCCCTGGGGAGAGCGTGGGTATCCAGCCTCCCCAGCTCAATCACCTCGTGCCAGGGAGGCTCACGGCTCAGGGACTCAGCAGCAAAACTGGCTGAAACGATTTCCCATCCATCTCTCAGACAAGGTAAGCTACCCTGGGAGTGATGCCACAACGAAATGGAATAGATCATTCCTTCATGTACACCACCAGGCATGGTAGCAAGAGAGTGCCAGTCTCTATTACCTCTGCATAGAACACAGCACCAGTTTAGGCAGTGGTTTTGACCTTGACTGGCACGTAGTTATGGTATAGTGTGGACAGCCACCCGGGAATTGATGGAATGGGCTGACTCTGTTTATGGGGAAGTGGGACAAATCTTGCGCATACACTCTGGGCAGTGGCAGACAGGCTGGGTGTGTGCCCGGAGAGCATGTGCAGGCACCTTCATCTCACAGGGGTGCAGAACGGCTGAGTGGCTTGGCCAAGGTGACAAAGCTTATTGCTAATAGATCAAATGCTAGAAGCCAGATCAGCTGTCTCCGGATTTATTCTTTACTCCCTTACTTCACGCTTCTCAAATGAAAGATGCAATGACCATGGACTCAAACCCTGGCAAACACCCTGACTTTGACTATGTCTCTCTTTAGACAGAATTTCTCTTTCTCTTCCTCCTCCTTTTCTTCCTCTTCTTTTCCTCCTCCTCCTTCTCCTTCTTCTTCTCCTTATTCTTCTTCTCCTTTTCCTTCTTCTTCCTCTTCCTCTTCTTTTCTCCTTCTTCTGCCTTTCCTCCTCCTCCTTCTCTCCTCCCCTTCCTCCTCCTTCTATTCTTCTCCTTTCTCTTCCTCCTTTTTCTTCTTCTCTTCCTCCTCCTCCTCATGCTTCTTGTCCTTCTCCTCCTCCTTCTCCTCTTTTGTCCTTTTCCTCCTCTCCTCTTCCCCTCCTCCTCCTTCCTCTTCTTCTTCTCCTTATTCTTCTTCTCCTTTTCCTTCTTCTTCCTCTTCCTCTTCTTCTTTTCTCCTTCTTCCGCCTTTCCTCCTCCCTCTCTCCTCCCCTTCCTCCTCCTTCTATTCTTCTCCTTTCTCCTCTTTCTCCTCCTCCTCCTTTTTCTTCTTCTCTTCCTCCTCCTCCTCCTGCTTCATGTCCTTCTCCTCCTCCTTCTCCTTCTCCTCCTTTGTGCTTTTCCTCCTCTCCTCCTCCTTTTCCTCCTCTCCTCCTCCCCTCCTCCTTCTCCCCTCCTCCCCTTCCTTCCTCTTCTTCGTCTTCTTCTTCTCCTTATTCTTCTCCTTTTCCTTCTTCTTCCTCTTCATCTTCTTCTTTTCTCCTTCTTCTGCCTTTCCTCCTCCTCCTTCTCTCCTCCCCTTCCTCCTCCTTCTATTCTTCTCCCTTCTCCTCCTCCTCCTCCTTTTTTTCTCCTCTTCCTCCTCCTCCTACTTCTTGTCCTTCTCCTCCTTCTCCTCCTTTGTCCTTTTCCTCCTCTCCTCCTCCTCCCTCTTCTTCTTCTTCTTCCTCTTCCCCTTCTCCTTCCCCTTCTCCTCCTCCTCCACCTCCACCTCCTGCTCCTGCTCCTTTCTCCTTTTCTTTCTCCTCCTACCCACCTCTTCCTCCTTCTTCTCCTCCTTCATCTCTTTCTGTAACCATCCAATGGGTTCACTTTGCCTGCTGCCTAAACAGAGCCTATTTCTCAAGACAGGGGAACTGCAATAGAGAAAGAGTAATTCATGCAGAGTCAGCTGTATACAGGAGACCCGAGCTTTATTACTACTCAAATCAGTCTCCCCGAGCATTTGGGTGAGGAGAGTTTTTAAGGACAACTTGGCGGGTGGTGGGGAGCCAGTGAACCAGGAGCACTGATTGGTCAGGGATGAAATCATAAGAAATTGAAGCTGTCTTATTGCACTGAGTCAGCTCCTGGGTGGGAACCACAAGATCAGATGAGCCAGTTAATTGATCTGGATGGTGCCAGCTGATCCATCAAGTGCAAGGTCTGCAAAATATATCTCAATTGCTGGTCTTAGGAGGAGTTTATGGAGGGTCAGAATCTTGTAGCCTCCGGCTGCATGACTCCTAAACCATAATTTCTAATCTTATGGCTAGTGTTAGTCCTACAAAGGCAATCTAGTCCCCAGGCAAGAAGGAGGTCTGCTTTGCTAAAGGGTTGTTATCATCTTTGTTTTAAACTATAAGCTCAGTTTCCTTTAAAGTTAGTTCAGCCTATGCCCAGAAATGAACAAGGACAGCTTGGAGGTTAGAAGCAAGATGGAGTTGGTTAAGTTAGATCTCTTTCACTGTCTCAGTCATAGTTTTGCAAAGGTGGTTTCAGTTCTCCTTCTCCTCCTCTCTCTCTTTCACTCTCTCTGCCTCCCTCTCTCCCTTTCTTTTCTGACTGCATCAAGTATAATTCACCGATGTACATAGTGAACTATGTACATCGATGTACATAGTGTACAAAGGCAACTCTAGAGCAGTGATTCCCAAACCTGAGAAGCATCAGAGTCACTTGCAGGGCTTGCTAAGAGAGATGGCTGGGCCCCAACTTCAGAGAGCCTGACTCAATAGGTCTAGGGTGGAGCTGAGAATTTGCATTGCTAATCATTTCCCAGGTGACAAGACTGCTGCCTTAGGGATCACACTTTAAAAACCCTGCTCTGGAGTATAAAAGATCCACTGCCCAGCCTGCAGACAGGACTCCTCCTGCACCATTTTACACAGGTGAACACCTCTCTCATTTTTATACGTTTCCAGAAAATGAAATTCTACAGGCAAGTAATTATTATATCATAATAATTTATTAAACACTTACCAAATGTCAAGTGAACTAAATTCCATAAGGAGGCTTTTCTGATTCCAAGCCCCTGTACTGCAGTGAGTTTAAACTCATTGTTGGTTAAGAAGCAACCTCCCTTTGCCTCTCAGTGCTGAGAGCAGGACTCACGTGTGACTGAGGCTGGAGATATTGAGTGATGGAAATGATGCAATTGTCACTCACTGACTTTTCAGCTGCAGTCAGTTCTGGGAGCACTTGTTTAAGGATTTTGGTTTACTTGCTCCCAAAATATCCCTAGAAACCCAGAATCATAGACTTGCATATCTGGATAGGAATCTAGATATCACATCACCTCTCTTCATATAGCAACATCTACCTTTCTCTTGGTTTTCTGCTACAATCCTTCATTAGCTCCTATCTACAATGCCACAGCTTCCATAAAGCCTTCCCAATACCCAGAAGGAGATGGGCTCATTCCCTCTTCTGTGTCTTCATTGCATTACTCCTTTTTGATATATCTAGAGAGGAAAGCAAGTAAATGCCAGCTCTTAGAGGATTCTTACAGACTTAGTATGATTACTTTATTTGATAGGATGGAAAACTTAGGCCCAAGGAGAAAATTAGAATGTTAAGGACACCTGCACTCATATGTTTATCACAGCACTGTTCACAAAAGCAAAGACATGAAATCAACCCAGGTGCCCATCAGTAGTGGGTTGGATAAAGAAAGTGTGGTATATATACACCATGGAATACTATGAGTCATAAAAAAGAATGAAATCAGCTGGGCACGGTGGCTCACGCCTGTAATCCCAGCATTTTGGGAGGCCGAGGAGGGTGGATCACAAGGTCAGGAGTTCAAGATCAGCCTGGCCAAGATGGTGAAACCCTGTCTCTGCTAAAAATACAAAAAATTAACTGGGCGTAGTGGCGGGTGCCTGTAATCCCAGCTACTCGGAAGGCTGAGGTAAGGAATTGCTTGAACCCGGGAGGTGGATGTTGCAGTGAGCCAAAATTGCACTCCAGCCTGGGCGACAGAGAGAGACTCCGTCTCAAAAAAAAAAAAAAAATGAAATCATGTTTTGTTTTGTTTTGTTTTTGCAGCCACATGGGTGCACCTGGAAGCCATTATCTTAAGTGAATGCAGAAACAGAAAACCAAATACCACATGTTCTCACTTATAAGCAGAAGCTAAACATGGGGTACACATAAATATAAAGATGGGAACAATAGAGACTGTGGACTACTGAGTGGGGAGACAGGGAATAAGGGTGAAAAAGCTACCTATTGGGTACTAATTTCACTACTTGGGTGATGGGATCATGACAAATCCAAACCTCAGCATCACAGAATATACCCATGTAACAAACCTGGACATGTGTTAGCCTTCCTTGGATCTGTAACATTTTTCTAACCATCTCCCATATATTGGGTATTGAGTGATCATGGATTGTTGCCAAATAGTTGGTAGAAATGATGGTTCAGAGAAAAGAACATTAAATACAGAGTCAGGAGACTGGAGTGGGGTCCCCATCTTTTGAGACATTACTTAATGTGTCCAGGGAAAAGTTGCCTGAATTTTCTGAGCCTCAGTTTCCTTTGTGTAAGAAATGAAGGTTGAAGGCAATAGCTTCCAAGGTCGTCTCCTCTACACTTAATAAAAAATGAAAAGATCTGGTGATATTTGATACATTACCAATGATACCACCAACTGAGGGCCAGGAGTCCCTGCCTTAAGAACTGACCTCCTACTACCCAGACTCTGTGTTCTACCTTTAGGGTTCTGAAACGAAAGAAGTACCGCAAAGCCCAGGAGCTGGGTCAGGAAGTCTGATGGCTCCAGGCAGTGACAGCTTCGTGCTCCAGTGAACTCACAAAATGCAGTGTAATTTCCTCTTCCATTTAACTATCAGCAGCACGGAAGGAGAGCCACTCTCTCCTGCCCTCCTCTCCCTGCCTTCGTTAGTCATGACTCATTAATTGCCACCGGCGAATGAGTATTATTCTAATTTTCCAAATCTAATTCGCAGATGTTTTCAGCTAAAGATCAGGATATAGGTTTTTGGCTTAGCTAATGAAATATCTAATGAATTTGCATTAGTGACAATTACAGACAGGACACCCATAAGAGAAGGGCCAATCACAGCCCTCAGCTGATGCCACTTGCTAACGGCTGCTTTAAGGAGAAAAGTACAGTTCTTGAGGTCCTCTCCCTCACTGACAATGCCATTCAGGAGACAGGGGCCAGAAGAAGGGAATTGAAGAAGAAGCACTTGCCTTTCCTTTATCTTCTTTTGTGCCGTGGCTCTGCCTTCAAACCAACAGCCGGAAGTGAGAGTTCAACCAACGCCTTTCAAATGTAAAAATGGCGTCCTCAAAATAGGATCCATTTATAAACTTGGACGCAAGTGAGATTATCTTAATCTCAACAAACAGACAAGCAAGCAAAAAAACCTGGACCCTAGAATAATGACTCAACCAGGGAAGGCAGATTATTTTCCTAATCAGATAGGAGTCTAAGGCAAATAGTCACTATGGAAAGCTAGTGAGCATTTAAACTACAGTCTTGGGACCTGCTCATGCCTGTAATCCCAGCACTTTGGGAGGCCAAAGAGGGAGGAGCACTTGAAGCTAGGAATTCAAGACCAGTCTGCGCAACATAGCAAGACCACTATCTCTAAAAAACGAAAAAAAAATTTAGCTTGGCATGGTGGTACACACCTGTAGTCCCAGCTACATAGAAGTCTGTGGTGGGAGACTTGCTTGAGCCCAGGAGTTCAAGGCTGCAGTGAACTATGATCACTCTCTAGCCTGGGTGACATAGCAAAGCTTGCTTTAAGAAAATAAATAAATTGATTAATTAAACAAAACATAGTCTTGGAATTCTTGTTCAGCCCCCATGTAAAAGAGGGTGTGAGTCTGTGAGATTCCTCTTTTGCCCCCACACTCCTCTTTCTTTGTTTCATAGGGTGCAAATCTCAGTTGAAGTCTGCAAAACCTAGAGATAGAAAAGCCTTTAAAACCACAGAGCTCGATCAGTTGGCATTGACAATTTTTATGATCTCTGTTCCACTGCAAGCCAGTTGTCCAATCAGAGTCTAAGACAAGGTCTAAGCGAGTTAAGGCTGTGAAAGCAAACTAAAATCTTGGGACCTCAAGCTTCTCATGCCAAAGAGAAAGTTAAGCTTGGAAATTGAATCATGCAAAAAAACTACCTTCCTTTTGTTCCCAAGTGGATAGCTGTAATTTTACATGCTGACTTTATCTCATGTAAAATGTAGATTTAATAAGTGGGAGACAAATGCATGATTGACTTTCACCCCACTCCCTTCGTTTCACACGTAAAATGTAGATTCACTGAGTGTTAATTAAAACAAGAATGTGACCACTTGCTTCATTGCCTACCTTCCCTTCCTCCTTCTCTTTTGTCTCTTTCCTTCCTGCTTACTCTTTCTCCTTTAAATACTGAAGATCCCAAAACCCTTTTTGGAGATATCACAGGCCACAGATCCTACTGTAACTTGTGTTTCTTTTTCCCAGGGACATCCTAAACCTCAGCAAAATAAACCTCTAAATCAATAGAGATCTGACTTAGTCACTTTTTGGTTTACAAGGCATAGGCTGTAGGAACAGAAAAAGCAGTCCCTCAGTGAGCTGAATGTATGCCAACCTCCCTGTTACCTGGTTGTGCCCATCTCCCTATATAAGCCCAAAGTTGTAGGGGAACAAATGGGTCATCCCCCATGTGCAGGTCATAGCCCCCAAGTTAAATGCAATCATCACTTTGGGGAATGAAAGTTGGAGGGGTTTGATCTATTTTTTTTCTTCCTCCCTTGCTCTCCATCCTCCTTCTTCTTTCCCTTCACTTGGATATTAGATCACCTCTGTTGACCTCCTTGGATCTTTTACTGGCCCTATTACTGGACATTCTTTTCTATATGAAGGTGAAAAATGATTTCTTTAATCTCCTATCAGCTCCCTAATCATGTGGAGTGCCTGGTTTGGCCAGTTCTTCTCAGGAGTTTGACAGCCTTGTGCATGAGCTAGTGTTTCTTATGTAACCTTGATTGATTTTTTTGTAGTCAGAGAGTAGCTCTCTTAAATGTAAGAGATGAAGATGGGTCAGGCACAGTGGTTCATGCCTACAATCCCAGCCCTTTGGGAGGCTGAAGAGGGAGGATCACTGGAGGCGATGACTTTGAGACCAGCCTGGGCAACAGAGGGAGACCCCCATCTCTACAAAAATTAAAAAGAATAAATTAGCTGGGCATGGTGGCAAATGTCTGTAGTCCTAGGTACTCAGGAGGCTAATGTGGGAGGATTGCTTGGGCCCTGGAGTTTGAGGCTGCAGTGAACTATGATTGTGCCACTGCACTCCAGCCTGGGTGACAAGGCAAGACTCTAACTCTAAGAAGAAAAAGAGAGAGAGGGAGAGGGAGGAAGAGAGATCAAGATGGTGGCATGAGAGAGGGATCTAGTACAAGGATAAAAATAAAAATTATTACCTGCTTGGGGAAACCATCATACATTCTCTGGCCCTGGTGACCATGGCGGTAAGGAGAGACAAGCCATGTCTTACCCATTTATGTTGCCCCAACACTTTGCATAGCACTTAGTACAGTTTCGGGGCTGGAAATGTGTGTGGAGTGAATCAACAGATGGATGAATTCTGGGCTGTCTTCCTAGAGTAAGAAAGCTGGAGGCCAGGCATGGTGACTCCCGCTTATAATCACAGCACTTTGGGAGGCCGAGGTGGGCAGATCACCTGAGGTCGGGAGTTCGAGACCAGCCTGACCAACATGGAGAAACCCCGTCTCTACTAAAAAAATACAAAATTAGCCGGGTGTGGTGGTGCATGCCTGTAATCCCAGCTACTTGGGAAGCTGAGGCAGAAGAATCGCTTGAACCTGGGAGGTGGAGTTTGCAGTGAGCCAAGATTGTTCCACTGCACTCCAGCCTGGGCAACAAGAACAACACTCTGTCTCAAAAAAAAAAAAAAAAAAAAGAAAGCTGGAGATAGACCATCATCACAATTGAGATGTTAATCTCTAGAGGAAAAGAAAACAAGAGTCGCTGATGTAGAGATCAAATTTGGGGTTGGCGTTGTAAACTTAAGCCATTCTGTGTAAGAAGGAAGTTGACTGCCAAAGAAATTTCATCTTGATTATCCTAAACACAGGCCAAAACTTAGCCTTTGCTAAGCCCCTTGCCCTTTCACATGTACTTCCCATTTTAAAAAGAGACAAACAGGATTTCAAAAACATATGCCATCATGAAAAGCTAGCACTGGAAGGAGACAGAGTGATCCAGCCCATTGGTAGGTAGGAGGTTCCATGCCAGGCATCCTAACTGACTCCAACAAGGTGTTTGACCCAACGATGGAGTGGCCTGAGCCAGTGCTGAATGTGCAGACTCGCCAAGCAAAAGAGGAGAGAGAAAAAACCAAGGGGGACAGGGAAGAGAAGCAGCAATCTCTCCTTCTGCTTGGGTAGAGGCCGGAAGAGGAGCAAGGCATTGTCCATCTTTGCACCAGACAGGGTGTGAGTTCAGATGGTGAAGGCATAGATGAGTGTGGTAGTCACACAAAGAACGTGAGCTATTGAATAAAACAGGTCTGTTTTCTCAGCTGAATAGATATGCAGCCTACTCGTTGAACCTTCTGGAACCGTTCTTATTTATTTGAGATGCAGTCTCACTCTGTCGCCCAGGCTTGAACACAATGGCGCAATCTCAGCTCACTGCAACCTATGCCTCCCAGGTTCAAGCGACTGTCCTGCCTCAGCCTTGCGAGTACCTGGGATTACAGGTGCCCACCACCACACCTGGCTAATTCTTGTATTTTTAGTAGAGGTGGGGTTTCATCGTGTTGGCCAGGCTGGTATCAGACTCCTGGTCTCAGGTGATCCACCCACCTCGGGCTTCCAAAGTGCTGGGATTACAGGCATGAGCCACCATGCCTGGCATCTTATTTTATTTTCGAGATAGGATCTCACTCTGTTACCTAGGATGGAGTGCAGTGGAGCGATCTTGACTTACTGCAACCTCTGCCTCTCAGGCTCAAGTGATCCTCCCACCTCAGCCTCCCAAGTAGCTGGGACTACAGGCCCGTGCCAACATGCCTGGTTAGTTTTCATATAAATATATTTTTTAAATATATATATTTAAAATATATTTAAAAAATATATTTATACATATATATTTGAAATATATATTATATATATAATATTATTATATATATTATATATAAAATATATATTTTATATATATATATTTGTTGTTGTTGTTGTTGTAGAGACAGGGTCTCAAACTCCTGGGCTCAACCAATTTGCTGGCCTTGGCCTCCCAAAATGTTGGGATTACAGGGATTACCTCATCCATAAAATGGGCATAATTATAGTCTGCCACTGCTGGGATTATAGACAGGAATAAATTAGATACTTAAAATTTTTACTGAGGGCTGAGCATGGTGGCTCAGGCCTATAATCCCAGCACTTCGGGAGGTCCAGGCAGGAGGACTGCTTGAGGCTGGGAGTTCAAGACCAGCCTGGACAACATAGTGAGACAACATCTCTAGAGAAAATAATAAAAAAATAAGCCATGCAGGGTGGCATGCACTGTAGTCACAGCTACTGGAGCAGCTGAGGCAGGATGATCGCTTGAGCCCAGGATGCAGTGAGCTATGATTGTACCACTGCACTACAGCCTGGGTGACAGAGCGAGACCCTGTCTCAAAAAAACAAAAATATTTCGCTGAGACTCCAAGCCAGGAAGTATTCTGAGCTCAGGGGATAGAGAATAAGACAAATAAGTCTCTGCTTTTGTGGAACTTACATTCCAGTGAGAGGCAGCACTTAAACACTCAACAGAACAAGGTAACTTTAGGTTAAGATACATGCTATGATGAAAATAAAAAGAGCTGATGTGTAGTAGCTCCAGACTCAGGGGTAGAAGGAAGAGAAGATGTGAATGGGGTGAGCAGGAGAGCAGGCCAGATGACAAGGGCCGCTAGAGGATCCCCGGGAGGGGGAGTGGGATCTGGTTTATGTCTTTAAAAGATACCTTTAGGGCCAGGCGCGGTGGCTCACACTTGTAATCCCAGTACTTTAGGAGGCCAAGGTGGGCGGATCACCTGAGGTCAGGAGTTCCAGACCAGCCTGGCCAACATGGTGAAACCCTGTCTCTACTAAAAATGCAAAAATCAGTCGGGCGTGGTGGCGCATGCTTGTAACCCCAGCTACTCGGGAGGCTGAGGCAGGAGAGTGGCTTGAACCCGGGAGGCAGAGGTTGCAGTGAGCCAAGATTGCGCCATTGCACTCCAGCCTGGGTGAAAAAAGTGAAACTGTCTTAAAAAAAAAAAAACAACAAGGTGGCTTTAGGTAGTAAGGTTAGGCATATAAAACAGCTAAAGCCATATGTTAGGTGTGCATTGTTGGTGGAGATTATAGAAATGTTTGTAAGGAGTTTAACAGCATCAGGCACATAATAA